>NC_000005.10:111321928-111624958 GCF_000001405.40 Homo sapiens
TAAACATATTATTTTCCCTTCTGTAACAATCATGACTGAATCAAATTCAATAAGGTGATAAAAATTAAGACTATGGGGGAGGACTTCTGCTTGTGAGAATCAAAGGTACTACACTTGCCCTTCTTCTATAAACAACCTAGACTATAGTTATAAGACAGTTGTTTTCAGGCATTGAGAAATGGGCAATAAAGGGCTGTGATCATTGAGAGAAGGGAAACACAGGTGAGTACCATATTCACCTGGATTCTCTAACTGGGACAATGAATGATGAGATTTTTTGAGACGAAGTAGAAACAAATGTGGAGAAGCTGAGAGGTAACAGAGATCTTTGAGGGTAGGTAGGCATGTACAACTGGAAGACATTAGATCTCTGGCCAGGCCAGGGTGGAGAAACATTGCTGATCACCTCAGATATTTATTTGAGACCTCAAAACGATCACACTTAAATAAGAAGGATCACGTCCTAGGGCAAGGACCATGACACAGAATCAATATCAAAATTCAAATAGTTTTATCCTAATAACAAATAAAACCAAACTTGATAGGATCAAAAGGATTTATCAGCAATGTAACTGCCTGCTACTAAAAAAAGGTAAACTCTGTTTAAAAGTAGATAACATAATCCAGACTCTCTAGTGTGTATCATTTAAAAATATCTATCATACAATTTAAGAAATTACTAGATATTCAAATAAGCAAGAAATTGTGACCTAGAATCAGGGTGGGGTGGGTGTAGGGAGAGTCAATAAAATAGACTTGGAGATAATACAGATGTTGGAATTAGAAGATAAAGACTGTAAAACAAATTATTAATATATTCAAGAACATGAAGCAAAATATGGGCATAATAAACATAGAGAATGTTTCAGCACAGAAATGGAAACTATGTAAAAGAGCCTAATGGGAATTTTAGAATTGAAAAGTACATTATATGAAATTTAAAATGAATAAGCTTAAGAATGGATTAAAGGCTGCAAAAGAAATAGTGAACTTGAAGACAAATCAATAGAAATTGTCCAATCTGAAGAATAGAGAGAAAAGCAACTGGTAAAAAGGAACAGTCTTAACAACTTGTGGGAAAATATCAAGAAGGCTATCATAAATGGAATATATGTCTCAGAGGGAGTGGAGAGTGATAAATGGGCAGAAAAAATATTTACAGATGTAAGAGGAAGGCATTTTCCAAAGCTGGTAAAGAACATTACAGATTCAAGAGGCTTACTGAACAGCAAACATGGTAAATGCAAAGAGAACCAAAGGTAGGCATATCCTCAAAAGCCAGAAACCAAAGATAAAGAGAAAATCTTAAAAGGAACCATGAAACAAAGATATGATATACAGACAGTCCTATACTTACGATTTTTTTTACTTTATGATGGGTTTATCAGGGCAAAATCCCATAGCAAACTGATGATTTCTACTAAATGCATATCATGTTTGCACTATTGTAAAATCAAAAAATCACAAGTCAAACCACTTGTAAATTGAGGACCGTTGGCTGTGTTGCCAGCATTAAATGCATTTTCCACTTATGATATTTTCGATATACAGTGAGTTTATTGGGACCCTGTAAGTCAAGGAGCATTTGCATACAGGAAAACAGTGAATATGAATGATGACTAATGTCCCATTTGAAAAAAAAATGAAGACCAGAAGACAATGGAACAACACCTTCAAAGTTCCAGAGAAAAAATAAAATAAAACCTGTCTTCCCAGAATTGTATATCTTGTTAAAATATGTCTCAAAATGAGACTAAAATAGACATTTTAAAATAAATGAAAACTGAAAGAATCTATTGTCAGCACACATAAACCACAAGTAATGCCAAACAAACTTTTTAATTTGAAGGAAAATAACACTAAATAGAAGTTCAGATTTATAGAAATCAGTGAAGAGCATGGGAAATAGAATGTAGGTAATATGAGAGACACATTTTTATTCTGCCCTTACTATCTTTTAAGTCAATTGATCGTTTAAAGCAAAATCAAGTCCCTGAAGTAAAATATAGGATAATAACAGTCCAAAAGATAGGAAAGCAAGAGGAGGTGGTTAAATGGAATTACTGTTTTAAGATGTTTATATTTTACAGTGTAAACTGAGAAAAATAAGATATATACTATAATCCTGAGGACAACCACTAACAAAATAATAAAATATCCCTTAAAGACCAAGAGAATTGATAAAGTAGAAGATTAAAAAATAATAAAATAATCCAAATGATAGCAGGAAAGTAGAAAAAATGAAACAATTTTTTAAAATAAGGATGACTTAACCTAATTATATCACAAATAATAATAAATATAAATGAACTAAATACTCCAATTCAAAGGCAGAGATTGATACATTGAAAGAAGTTTCAAGATTATCTATAGGAGATGCACTTTAAATATAAAGACAAATAGAATGAAAATAAAAGGATATAAAAAGAAATATTCAAATTCTAAATATAAGAAAGTTGTCTTTTATATTTAGCTGATGATAAAATAGTTCATGCTATTTTTAGTATGATGGAAAACAAACTTCAATTAAAAATGCATTGCCAGAAATGAAGGGGCATTTCATAATGATTTAACTAGTTTAATACATCAGAAAGTCATAATTCTAAATGTATATGCAGCTACTAACAGATAAGGCAAAAATTGAAGGAGAAGAGAAAAATAGATTCACAAAGCTAGAGATTTTAACACCCCCCTCTCAAAAATTGTTAGAACAAGTGAACAAAAAATAAAGAATATATATGATTTGAATATTACCAATCACCTTGACTTAATTGACACTTACAGAACATCAGATTAAATAACTGCAAAATATATTCCTTTTTGAGAACACATAAGCAGTTCTTCAAAATAGATCATATATTGAAACATAATATACATCTCTAAAAATTTCAAACTTTATAGTATGTATTTTTTTTCTTATTTTACTTTAAGTTCTGGGATTCATGTGCAGAACATGCAGGTTTGTTACATAGGTATACATGTGCCATGGTGGTTTGCTGCACCTATCAACCCGTCATCTATGTTTTAAGCCCCGCGTGCATTAGGTATTTTCCTAATGCGCTCCCTCCCCTTCCCCCAACCCCCCAACAGGCCATGGTGAGTGATGTTCCCCTCCCTGTGTCTTTGTGTTCTCATCGTTCAACTCCCGCTTATGAGTGAGAACATGCGGTGTTTGGTTTTCTGTTCCTATGTTAGTTTGCTGAAAATGATAGCTTCCAGCTTCATCCATGTCCCTGCAAAGGACATGAAGTCATCCTTTTTTATGACTATATTGTATTCTGTGGTATATATATATTTATATATATGCCACATTTTCTTTATCCAGTCTATCATTGATGGGCATTTGGGTTGGTTCCAAGTCTTTGCTGTTGTAAATAGTACTGCAATAAACATACATGTGCATGTGTTTTTATAGCAGAATGATTTATAATACTTTAGATATAATACCCCGTAGTAGGATTGCCGGGTCAAATGGTATTTCTGGTTCTAGATCCTTGAGGGATTGCCACACTGTCTTCCACAATGGTTGAACTAATTTACACTCTCACCAACGATGT
This sequence comes from Homo sapiens, assembly GCF_000001405.40. Taxonomy (NCBI): domain Eukaryota; kingdom Metazoa; phylum Chordata; class Mammalia; order Primates; family Hominidae; genus Homo; species Homo sapiens. Next base: position 111,325,486 of record NC_000005.10, read on the forward strand.
AAAAGCATTCCTATTTCTCCACAGCCTCGCTAGCATCTGTCTTTTTTATAATTGCCATTTTTCTGACTTTTTAATAATCACCATTCTAACTGGCATGCGATGGTATCTCATTGTGGTTTTGATGTGCATTTCTGTAATGACTGGTGATGATGAGCTTTTTTCCCTATGTTTCTTGGCCACATAAATGTCTTCTTTTGAGAAGTGTCTATTCATATCCTTCGCCCACTTTTTGATGGGGTTGTTTTTTTTCTTGTAAATTTGTTTAAGTTCCTTGTATATTCTCTATATTAGACCTTTGTCAGATGGACAGATTGCAAAACTTTTCTACCATTCTGTAGATTGCCTGTTCACTCTGATGAGTGAACCATGGGATAAAGCCATGGGATAAAGAAAATAATTAAAGGAGATCTGGTAAATATTTTCAACTAAATGATAATGCAAATACAACATATCAAAATTTGTGGGATACAGCTAAAGTAGTGTTTAAAGGAAAATTTTAGCATTGAATGTTTTTTAAAAAGGTTTACAATTAATGACCTACATTTCTACATTAAGAAGCTAAATAAATATAAAAGAAGAGAGATACAATTCAGTTTCAAAGGAAGTAGAAAAGAGGAAATAAAGATAATGTAGAAGTCAATAAAATTGACAGCAAATAATGGGAAAAATTTAAAATGCTAAAAGTTGGCCCTTTGACATGATTAATGAAATTTACAAACCCCTAGCAAGACTGTTGAAGAAAACAAGCAAAAAAATGAAGTCCAATATTAGGGATAAAAGGGAATATCTCTATAAACCCTATAGATATTGAAAAGATATTATGAACAAATAACAATTTTGGGCTAATACATTCAACAAACTAAATTAAATGGAAAATTTTCTAAAATAATTCAAACTTCCAAAAGTGACATAAGAAATAAAAATAGAAATAACCTTATATCTGTTAAGTAAATACATTTTCTATTAAAAGTCTTCCTCAAAAGAAGACTCCAGAGCCCAGATATTTTCACTGTTGAATTCTACAAAAGCCTTAAAAAGTAAATAATGCCAGTATTACACAATCTTTTGCAGAAAATTAAAAAAAAATCTTCCACCTTTTTTTTTTAAATAGAAGGAAATTTTTTATTAACTTCGGTAACAGGCAAACTAGAAAATATATGCTTTGCGTGTCTCTCTGTGTGTGTGTAAAGCTATAAATAAAAAAAAAGAGTACAAAGAAACATTCTGTGAATGTTGCCATTTGCAGATAAGGACGAGGCTAAGCAGTTGCACAATACAGGGAAGGAGTACATTGGTAGGTATTTCTTATAGATACTTTTTGAGTCATTGGACTGGATTATCTACTTAATAAATTATTATGTAATTAATATTAAATAGGGTTGTGCATGGACCAATGGCAACAGTGTGTCATGAAACAGGGTGATGACTAATCGAATTCTCTGCACATTGTTATTATATGTTTAATTAAAATAAAATTCCAAAATAGAAAGCTGAGTGCTTTCTAAGAAACTGTTTTTTTTTTAAATTTTATTATTATTATACTTTAAGTTTTAGGGTACATGTGCACAATGTGCAGGTTTGTTACATATGTATACATGTGCCATGCTGGTGTGCTGCACCCATTAACTCGTCATTTAGCATTAGGTATATCTCCTAATGCTATCCCTCCCCCCTCCCCCAACTCCACAACAGTCCCTGGTGTGTGATGTTCCCCTTCCTGTGTCCATGTGTTCTCGTTGTTCAATTCCCACCTATGAGTGAGAACATGTGGTGTTTGGTTTTTTGTCCTTGTGATAGTTTGCTGAGAATGATGGTTTCCAGTTTCATCCATGTCCCTGCAAAGGACATGAACTCATCATTTTTTATGGCTGCATAGTATTCCATGGTGTATATGTGCCACATTTTCTTAATCCAGTCTGTCGTTGTGGGACATTTGGGTTGGTTCCAAGTCTTTGCTATTGTGAATAGTGCTACAATAAACATATGTGTGCATGTGTCTTTATAGCAGCATGATTTACAGTCCTTTGGGTATATACCCAGTAATGGGATGGCTGGGTCAAATGGTATTTCTAGTTCTAGATCCCTGAGGAATCGCCACACTGACTTCCACAATGGTTGAACTAGTTTACAGTCCCACCAACAGTGTAAAAATGTTCCTATTTCTCCACATCCTCTCCAGCACCTGTTGTTTCCTGACTTTTTAATGATCACCATTCTAACTGGTGTGAGATGGTATCTCATTGTGGTTTTGATTTGCATTTCTCTGATGGCCAGTGATGATGAGCATTTTTTCATGTGTCTTTTGGCTGCATAAATGTCTTCTTTTGAGAAGTGTCTGTTCATATCCTTCGCCCACTTTTTGATGGGGTTGTTTGTTTTTTTCTTGTAAATTTGTTTTGAGTTCATTGTAGATTCTGGATATTAGCCCTTTGTCAGATGAGTAGGTTGCAGAAATTTTCTCCCATGTCGTAGGTTGCCTGTTCACTCTGATGGTAGTTTCTTTTGCTGTGCAGAAGCTCTTTAATTGAATTAGATCCCATTTGTCAATTTTGGCTTTTGTTGCCATTGCTTTTGGTGTTTTAGACATGAAGTCCTTGCCCATGCCTGTGTCCTGAATGGTATTGCCTAGGTTTTTTTCTAGGGTTTTTATGGTTTTAGGTCTAACATTTAAGTCTTTAATCCATCTTGAATTAATTTTTGTATAAGGTGTAAGGAAGGGATCCAGTTTCAGCTTTCTACATATGGCTAGCCAGTTTTGCCAGCACCATTTATTAAATAGGGAATCCTTTCCCCATTGCTTGTTTTTGTCAGGTTTGTCAAAGATCAGATAGTTGTAGATATGTGGCATTATTTCTGAGGGCTCTGTTCTGTTCCATTGGTCTATATCTCTGTTTTGGTACCAGTACCTTGCTGTTTTGGTTACTGTAACCTTGTAGTGTAGTTTGAAGTCAGGTAGCGTGATGCCTCCAGCTTTGTTCTTTTGGCTTAGGAGTGACTTGGCGATGCGGGCTCTTTTTTGGTTCCATATGAACTTTCAAGTAGTTTTTTCCGAATCTGTGAAGAAAGTCATTGGTAGCTTGATGGGGATGGCATTGAATCTATAAAATACCTTGGGCAGTATGGCCATTTTCACGATATTGATTCTTCCTACCCATGAGCATGGAATGTTCTTCCATTTGTTTGTATCCTCTTTTATTTCCTTGAGCAGAGGTTTGTAGTTCTCCTTGAAGAGGTCCTTCACATCCCTTGTAAGTTGGATTCCTAGGTATTTTATTCTCCTTGAAGCAATTGTGAATGGGAGTTCACTCATGATTTGGCTCTCTGTTTGTCTGTTATTGGTGTATAAGAATGTTTGTGATTTTTGTACATTGATTTTGTATCCTGAGACTTTGCTGAAGTCGCTTATCAGCTTGAGGAGATTTTGGGCTGAGACGATGGGGTTTTGTAGATGTACAATCAATATCCTTGATGAACATCGATGCAAAATTCCTCAATAAAATACTGCAAACCGAATGCAGCAGCACATCAAAAAGCTTACCCACCATGATCAAGTGGGCTTCATCCCTGGGTTGCAAGGCTGGTTCAACATATGCAAATCAGTAAATGTAATCCAGCATATAAACAGAACCAAAGACAAAAACCACATGATTATTTCAGTAGATGCAGAAAAGGCCTTTGACAAAATTCAACAACGCTTCATGCTAAAACCTCTCAATAAATTAGGTATTGATGGGATGTATCTCAAAATAATAAGAGCTATCTATGAGAAACCCACAGCCAATATCATACTGAATGGGCGAAAACTGTAAGCATTCCCTTTAAAAATGGGCACAAGACAGGGATGCCCTCTCTCACCACTCCTATTCAACATGGTGTTGGAAGTTCTGGCCAGGGCAATCAGGCTGGAGAAGGAAATAAAGAGTATTCAATTAGGAAAAGAGGAAGTCAAATTGTCCCTGTTTACAGATGACAAAATCTTCCACCTTTTTATGAGGGCAGCATAACACTAATACCACATTATTTTATAAATATTTAAGAGAAAATAATATTATAGATTTGTCCCTCATGGTTTTATTTTTGCATAGGTATAAAAGTCCTTTTATAATTATTAGCAAATAGAACCCAGAAGTATAAATAATACATCATCAGCAAATGGGGATTATCCCAAGAATGCAAGGTGAGCTTAACATTAGCTGCTTGATTAGTGGAAGTAGCCACATTTAGATATTAATGAGAAAAAATCATACAGTCATCTCAATAAAGGTAGATTAAGTATTTGACAACATTCACTGTCCATTCATAATTAAAAAAAGAAAAATAAATCTCTCAGCAAAGTAAGAAAGAAAGGGAATTTTCTTAATTTGACAAACCACATCTATGAAAAAACTACAGCTGATGTCATTTTTATTGATGAAAAACTGAATGCTTTCACTTTAAGATCAGGAATAAGGCAAGGATATCTGCTCCCACTACTTCAATAGAATATTATATTTGAGGTCCAAGCTAGTGCAATTGGAAGAGAAAAAGGTAAAGTTTGAAGTAAAACTATTTATTCAGATAAAACATATTTTTTTTGGTAGAAGTCCTCAGAATTCTACTCCCCACCACCCCTACAAAAAAACAAACAAATAAAAAACTCTAGAAGACTAGTAAGTTAATTTGGCAAGGTTTTAAGATAAATGTCACCATACAAAAATAAGTTGTATTTATATATATTAGAAGCAAACACCCATAAAAGAAAATTCTACAATATTATTATAATTACATCAAGAAATAAAAAACAATGAACTGTAACTTTAACAAAAGACATAAAAGACTTTTACTAGGAAAACTTCAAAATATTGCTGAGAAATAAAAGGAAACCTAAATGGAGTGATACACACTGTAAATGGATTGGAGGACTCAACATTAAGATGTCAGTTCTCTCCAAATTGATCTATAGATTCAATATAATCCTAATTAAAATCCTAGCAGGATCTTTGTTTTTCTTTTTTTGTTGTTGTTGTTGTTTGGTTTTTTGTTGTTGTTGTTTGGTAAACATCAGTGAATTGATTCTAAGTGTTACAAGGAAAAGTAGAATAACCAGAATACCCCAAGTTATAATTAATTATAAGTAATCTAGAGATGATTTAAAGTATAAGGGGGAATGTGCATAGATTATATGCAAATACTATACCATTTTATATAAGGGACTTGAGCATCCATGGAGTTTGGTGTCAATAGTGGATCTGAGAACACCAATCCCCCATAGATAACTACTGTAAAACTACAGAAATCAGAGTAGTGAGGCGTTGGCATAACAATAGAGAGAATAGAGTCCTGGCACAGATCCATAGATCAATAGTTAGTTGATTTTTGGCAAAAGTACTGAGGCAGTGCAATGGGGAAAGAAAATCTTTTCAATTAAAGGTGCTGGAACAACTACATAAATACATGGAAAAAATATACCTTGATACATGCCTTATACCACAAACAAAAAAAATTCAAGATATGTCATATACATAAACATAAAAGTTAAAACTAGAAAACTACTAGAAGAAAACTAGGATAATATCTTTATGACTTGAGGATGAGCAATGATTTCTTAGAACACAAAAAAGCACTCACTGTAAAAGAACTGATAAATTGGATCTCAAAATTAAAAGATTATGATTATCAAAAGACACCATTAAGAACAATAACAAAGCAAACTATTGACTGGGAGAATACACATATATAACAAATAATCTTGTGTCTGGAATTTTAAAAAAACATAAAAATAATAAAAACAAAGTTATATTTTTTAAATGGGCAAAAGACCAAAATGCTTCACAAAAGATGAATGAATTACATATAAGTCCCTGCAAAAGTACTCAACATCATTATTCGTGGAAATGTAAATTAAATCACAATATGACACCACCTCATACCCACTAAAATAGCAAAAACTAAAATAATTGACATTTCCAAATGTTGATGAAGATGTGGAGCAACTAGAACTCTCATACCCTGCTTGTGGGAATGAAATGGTACAACCACATTGAAAAACTATTTGACAGTTTTTACAGAAGTTAAACATTGAGGCTCGAGTAAGATCATTTGTGTATAACACCTGCCAGTCTATTCTTTTGCCTTTGTTAGTCCCTATCCATCTTGAAGACCCACTTAAATTTGCCCTCCTACAAGACGGCTCCCCAGTTTTCTCCCTCCTTTTTAGTCACCAGTAGTAAGGGATTACATATCTCTGTTTACCAAGGATAGTCCTGATTTATATATATGGTTTTGACATAATCGATTAATCCTACTCAAAAACATACAGGCTTGACAATAAATTATAAATTTGTGCTACCCAAAGTTCCATAGTTTTGATCTTAGTATTTAGCCTACTTTGAAAATTATATATTTATTTATAGATTTTTTCTTATTTTCATATTATGTTTTAAGTTCATTAGGGGCCAGAACCATCCTTATATTCCCATAAAGTGCCTAGCACAGTGCCTAATAAATTTTCACTTGATGAAATCTAACTCCGTTTTAAAAATGAACAGTGATTTCTGCTGCTTTTAAATATACGACTAAATATTGCTCACACCCACACAATTTAAGCATCCTTTTCTTTTTTATTATTATTATACTTTAAGTTTTAGGGTATATGTGCACAATGTGCAAGTTAGTTACGTATGTATACATGTGCCATGCTGGTGTGCTGCACCCATTAACTCGTCATTTAGCATTAGGTATATCTCCTAATGCTATCCCTCCCCCCTCCCCCCACCCCACAACAGTCCCGGAGTGTGATGTTCCCCTTCCTGTGTCCATGTGTTCTCATTGTTCAATTCCTATCTATGCGTGAGAACATGCGGTGTTTGGTTTTTTGTCCTTGCGATAGATTACTGAGAATGATGATTTCCAATTTCATCCATGTCCCTGCAAAGGACATGAACTCATCATTTTTTATGGCTACATAGTATTCCACGATGTATATGTGCCACATTTTCTTAATCCAGTCTATCATTGTTGGACATTTGGGTTGGTTCCAAGTCTTTGCTATTGTGAGTAGTGCTGCAATAAACATATGTGTGCATGTGTCTTTATAGCAGCATGATTTAACCTCAGTCTTAAGGAGAGTGTTCGCTGCAATGAAATAACTTTTCTAGTACTTCAAAATTAATTACATTTTATTCTTGATGCTATTTGAGAATGCAAGCATAAAGATGCAGGGTGAGATTTCTGTGAGCTGCTGGTCTAGTGCATTTGGGTGTTATGCCTGACTTCAGGGATTACAACATTGGTGCTTTTACTTCTCAATTAAAAAGATTTCCCATAGACAGCAGGAAAAATTGCAGGGCCATTAGAAAATTACAACCAAATTGTGGAAAAACTTAGAAGAAAGAATATTCATTAAATTTTGGTTTGAAATAGTTAAAAACCGAAATGTCCATCAAAGTCATACTGAACAAGTAAAATGTGGTATATTCGTTGAGTGGCAGCAATTAACAGGACTTATTAAGAACTGTGTTAATCAACAATAATAGATATCAACATCATGTTCAGTGAAAAAATGCAAATTGAGGACTGAGGTATATAGTATAGTAACACTTCTATAAAATCTAAATAGTATATAAAAACAATGGTATATATTGCTTATTAATATTAAGCATAATTGAAGGTATGGAGATGGAATTGTGTAGATACACATTAAATATAGTAGATGGTATGGAATAGAAGGAAAGAGGACTGGGAATGGAGGATAAAGGTTAAAAAAGAACAATAGCTGTCTTCATTCATGTATTATAACATTAAATGGTTGATCAAAAATTCAGTTCTGTGTGCTGCATGCATGTGCACACACCCACTCACAGAAAAAAAGGAAAATAAACTTTTCGCAAGATGTTTGATTAGTTGATACTAATAGCTAACAATATGATGCATAAAATATTTTGAAGCAAACAAAGAGGACTGATAAGAGTTATTAAGACCCTTTATTCCATAGTTTTATTGTTATTAATGTATTTTGTGATTGAGAACCAATACTCAAGCTATCTGATAATTTGAGGCTGTTTTTGCTTTACCTTGTGGTAGCTAAAATTCAGCATTTGGGTTCCAGAGCTTCTTACGCTTTTACTTTATGTTAGGGCAGAAGTTTTATTAAATGTCTGAAATAAGAGGAGCCATATTTAAGCCAATGCTTATGGAGATCCAAGCACTAGGTCCAAAGTCACAACTGGATGCTGTTAGGCAACAACTTAAGGAAATTGTTCACCAGGCAAGCAAGGTTTTGAGAAACTGGAGCCACAAAGTAGAGAATATAATAATTCATAGTTTGAGTTGATCAGAGTTGAAGAGTTAATAGTTAGTTGCCAATATAAGGTCTTGAAAAAGGGTTTGTAGGTCAGGAATGATACCTGTAAGACAGTGGCTGTAGAATAAGCTGACATGAGGCTGAAACAACAAATGAGGACTCTATCTGGGAGACAGACCAAAAAGTTGACGTAAGGCACCAAGTAGGAGGACATGAGAAGACTGAAGTGAGGTGCTTACGCTTGCTTTCTGCAGGATTCAGCAAGTAAATGAACCTGATAAGAAAGAGTGCAGTTGTGGACAGACTGATGCCAAAACCTTGGGCTTGGACTTTTCTTAACATCTGGAGTTTAGTATCATTAGTATCATTCCTTGACATGATATATTTGAGATTTATTTTAGGAGTGTAATATTTAACTGACTTGGGAAACCTCCAGATCTAACGGCAACTTCTAAATTCTAAAGGTTAGCCATTCTTCACGTTGTAGACTGAAAATGTCAAATCACTAATTAAATCAATTAAGTAGCTTTCCTCCAGTTGTTTGTTGATTTTAAGGTTCAGACTTTTTTCCCTCTTGGTGACCAAAGAACATCTTGAAGCATTCTAGTGTTGAAGAGCATTGATGAGTTGCAGGCTAACAGAGATAGAGACTGAAACAATGAAAAGCTGTCCCAAGAATGGGCCAAGATGTATACTGATATTAAATGCTTACAGATTTTGACGTTTTTTAGGTTCCTGCTCTTTAATATGACACACTTTCACCCCTAAGAAGAATCAATTTTGAGGTTATAACCAGTCTTCTTTAATAATTCATATAACCTAAAAGTCAATAAAAAGAAGAGCTTATTAAATAATAGCAAGTCAATCATGTAAGAGTAATGTGATGATATATAGAGTTGCACACATTATATTTTCAACCTATGATTGACACTTCTTTTAAATCACAGCTTTGCTTTTAAACCTTTTCCCTAATGAGCATTAAGAGGATCTTTCCAGTAAGCACATAGATTGAAAACAAAAACTTTAACAATCAAATGCAAAAACAAAAGAATAAAATCAAACCAATTGAAATGTTAAAAAATGATTAATATTTTGACATAACTATACTTTGTAACCAAGCATCTTCAACATTAGAAAAAGATAACAAGATTTTTTGATTTCATCTCAAGATACCTCCCATTTAAAAAAAAAAGTGAAACTCTTTAATAGCTTACGTGACCTAATAACCTCAGCAAAGACACTTTTACATGGCCATGAAGCATATCATTGCAGAGATCCAGCTGGAGCGGAGAAACATGGTAGTCAGCAGTACTTCCAGACTTCTGTGTGATAAGAGATTCCATATCTGAATTTCCCTTGCATTTGCAAGGAGTACATTGTAGACTTGATGGCAAGGGAAGTCAAACTTTAATGCTTCCCTCAAATAATCACAAACATCCCACTATGTCCTCTCCTAGAAGAGACAATTTCTGATTTATAACCTCCCTTAATAGGAGAATGCCCTTGATGCTAAATTGTCTGAACATTGTGCAATCTCATCTTCATTCCCAAAAATATTAATATGAACCCAGACTTCCTAATTCCATTTTGAATCAGATTTGATCTGTATTTGGCCCTTTGAATCCATATGGGTATCTGTCTCTCAGCTAGTGGGTGAATAGTTATGTCAACACTCCTGCATTGTTTTTTGGAGGAAAAAATAAAATTAAACCAATTTATCTTTTTTTAAAGCAAGAAAGAAGACAGGAAGAAAAAAATGGTGAGATTATGGGAGAAAAAGAAAGAAAAGTTATTCCATATGAATTAGGCGTGAGGAGCATGTTAAGGCCAACTGACAGATGAAGAGCCCCTTTCTACACTACGTAGTCCTAAATGTGGTAGCAGTGGGCTTTATACTTGAAACATATTCAGGAAAATAAATATTATATCTGGAGCCTTCCCCTCCATCCATAAGTTTGGCATGCAGTGCCAGGTATCAACATCAGGTGTTAATAGCTTTACAGAACAATGTGTGGGGATATAATATATATTTTGTATATGTATGTACACATATTATAGTTTATACGTAGTATTTCAGTTATAATGTACAAATACTACATATGATTTTACAAACACATTACAGGTTTGACAACTCTCTCTTTTTGTGTAATGAAAAATATGGTGGTCTATATTTTTAACTTTTTGCCTTTAAATTTTTAAATAAACAACTAACCATATTAGACAAAACTAGAGCTCAAAAATAATTTTTCTAGAATTCCTGTTAAAACTAATGTAAAAGAAAGTAGTAGAAATCAGGCTCAAAGTATTAGTTTCATTTCTCATCAAATTCATGGCAGAAAAAATTATAAATGGAATAATTTCTATAATTCTTTGGTCTTTTTGCTGAAGAATATGTTATAAATGGATAGACATGAGCAGTAAAGCTTTATTTTTTTCAGTTGAATGACTCCATAAATATAATATCCTCTAATGTATAATCTCCTTGCTTCTTTTGAATCTCAGGCAATTTTGTGGTAGTTCTCTCTTTATTCCATTTTGAAATGAAGATGCAACACTGTACAAGATGTTCTTTCTGTATTAAAAATTAACTGTTAATATGCTTTATGTCAAAATAGTTTTTATTTTTATATGAACATGCTGAAAATGTGATTGCTTTCTAAAATTATATTTACACACTTAAGTCAACTATTTAATTTCAATTAATAATATAGGTTATTTTTTTGAGAAACTGTTGAATTGTTATTTCCACATAAGTTCTTCTTTTAGCTTACTCTTTCTTGCCTTTAAAAATTTATTTCTAGTATACTTGTGTCCTGAAGTTGATCAGCCAAAAACGTATTTATTAATTGTTTCTTAAAAAGCTTTGCTAAGACAATGATTTATATATGGAATTTATTGATAGGTTAATTGAATGTGATGAGGAAATTAAGAAATGGATGCCATTTAATATTTTTTATGTGAATTTTTGAGTAACATTAATTTTTCAATTTTATTTTCCATAAGAATGAAAATTAGATTTTTAGTTTTCTTCTGTTTGAAAATCTTTCTCTTATATTTTTTCTTTTTTTTAAAATTTCACCACTTACTGTTAAATGAACATAGAATGGGTTGAATGCTATAAGCCACATTTTGGTAATGTGGTTTTTAATATTTTTAAACAATATAGTTCTTTTGGAAATTTTTTTTTACTGTATTTTCATTGAACTATAATTTCTGGACAGTAAATTTCACCTATTTTATTGCAGTTTTACTTGTTTTTACAATTGTATATAGTTGTGTAAACACCATAACAGTCAAGATATAAAATAGTTCTATCATGTGAAAAAAATTCCCCTATACTACTTTGTAGTCAATCCCTCTCCAACCTGTGAGAGTATTATAAATGAGATTCAACCAAGTTGTTTTGTGTACCCTCATTAATTCCTTTTTTATTTCTAGGTAGAATTTCACCATATGGATGTATCACAAATTGTTAATCCACTTCACAGTTGAGGGATAGTGAAACTGTTTCTAGCTTTTGGTGATTACTCATAAACCTGCTGTGACAATTCAGGTTCAAGTTTGTGAGTGAACATTGTTTTGATCTTACTTGAGTAAATACCTAGAAGTGACATACATAGGTCATATGATATGTTTAACTTTATAAAACATCGTCAAGCTGTTTTCAAAAGTGGCTATACCATTTTGTATTCTTACCAGTGATGTGTGAGAGTTTCAGTTGCTTTGCATCCTTGCCAGCCTTTTTTTTTTTTTTTAGGTCATTCAAATAGTGTTGTTGAAGTCACAATAAAAATATAAAGACACATCTCTAAATTTAATGTTTTATTTGAGAAGAAATAATTGCAATTTGGGGTGTACTTTCAGACTAGGTGGTCTTCAGTATGTCAAAAGAACAAAGAGGTTGGAGGTTGTATAAAAAGTAGAAATGTTATATATTGCTTTTTGAGAAAGGTCATTGGCACTAGTAAGGTTCTGAGGAACTGATAAGCTCTGATCGGTGAGTGACAGCAGTGGGCCAAATTAGTACTAAAGTTGCAGCAGTTACAAAGAAAACTGGTCTCTAGTTACAACAGGCAAGTTTCAGCAGCCGGACTTGTAAAGAACTATGTTTTTGGAGCAATGTTATGTGTCCCTAATGTCTTGCCCTGCTGCCTCTAGACTGTTTTAGTTGGGTATGAAAAGGATAATCCAATCTGTGTAATCAGCTTTCACAATGTGTAGTTGCATCTTCATGTGATTTTAGTTTCCATTTCCCAAATGACTAATGATGCTGTGGATCTTTGCATGTTCTTGTTTGCCAGCCATACATTTTCTCTGGTGAAGTATATGGTCAAATCATTTTTCATTGGAAATAATTATATATTTTTATAGTGTAAATATGATGTTCTAAAATATGTATACACTGTGGAATGACTAAATCAAGCTAAATAACATATGAATTACCTCATTTTTAATGGTGTAAATTAAAATTTACTTAGAACTTAAGAACTACTCAGTAATTTTCAAGTATACAATACATTATTATTAACTATATTATTAAGAGCTCTTGCATTTGTTCCTCCTGGCTAATTAAACATTTGTATCCTTTGAGTAACATCATATCTCCCTAGTGTCTCCACTCCAATCCTCTGGTGGTTGTAGGTTGTCTGTTAACTCTGTTGATACTTTACTTTATTTTGCTGTGCAGAAATTCTTTAGTTTAATTAGGTCCCATTTGTCAATTTTTGTTTTTGTTGCAACTTCTTTTGAGGACGTAGGCAAAAATTCTTTGCCAAGGCCAATGTCCAGAAAGGTGGTTCCTTGATTTTCTTCTAGGATTCTTAAAGCTTGAGGTCTTACATCTAAATCTTTAATGCATTTTGAGTTAACTTTTGTATATGGTGAAAGGGAGGGTCCAGTTTCTTCTCCATATAGCTAGCCAGCTATCCTAGCACCATTTATTGAATAGGGAGAACTTTTCCCATTGCTTGCTTTTGTCGAATTGTTGAAGATCCGATGGCTGTAGGTGTGTGGCTTTATTTCTGGGTTCTATATTCTGTTCCATTGGTATATTGTGTCCATTTTTAATACCAGTACTATGCTGTTTTGGTTACTGTATCCTTGTAGCGTATTTTGAAGTCCAGTAATGTGATGCCTCCGGCTTTATTCTTTTTTGCTTTGGCTATTCAGGCTCTTTTTTGAATGCATATGAATTTTAGAATAGTTTCTTGTAATTCTGTGAAAAATGATGTTAGTAGTTTGATAGGAATAGTGTTGACTCTATAGATTGCTTTAAGCCATATGCTTTGCCCATGTTTTAATTGAGTTACTTAGTTTTTTACTATTGATGTGTTTGAGTTCCTTATATATTTTGCATATTAACCCCTTATCAGATGTATGGTTTAAACATATTTTCTCCCATTCTGTAGGTTGTCTGTTTTATTCTGCTGATTGTCTCCTTGGCTGTGCAGAAGCTTTCTAGTTTGATATAATTTCAGTTATCTATTTTTGCTTTTGTTAGCTGTACCTTTGAGGTCATATCCAAAAAATTATTTCCCAGACCGGTGTTATAGAGCTTTCTTCCTATGTTTTCACTTAGTAGTTTTACAGCTTCAGGTATTACATTTGTATTTAATTCATTTTGAGTTGATCTTTGTAAATGGTGTGAGATAAGGGTCTTATTTCATTCTTTTGCTTTTGGATGTCCAGTTTTCCCAGCACCATTTATTAATGAAAATATTCCTTCCCCATTATGTGTTCTTGGCATCTTTGTCAAAAACCAGTTGGCCATAAATGTGTGGATTTATTTCAGGGATCTCTATTTGTTCCATTGCTCTATGTGTTTATTTTTATGCCAGTATCATGCCATTTTGACTACTATAGCTTTGTAGTAGATTTTGAAATCAGGTAGTGTGATGTTTCTAGCTTTGTTCTTTTTGCTCAAGATTACTTTGACTATTTGGGGTCTTTTGTGATTCCACAGGAATTTCGGAATTTTTTTTTACTTGTGTGAACAATGTTATTGGAATTTTGATAGGGATTATATTGAATCTGTAGATTGCTTTGGGTAATATGGACATTTTAACAATATTAATTCTTTCAATCCATGAACACAGGATATCTTTTCATTTTTTTGTGGTTTCTTCAATTTCTTTTATGCATGTTTATAGTTTTCAGTATACAGATCTTTCACTTCTTTGTTTACATTTATTTCTAAGTATTTTATATCTTTATCTATTGTAAATTGAATTATTTTCTTCATTTCTTTTTTGGACAGCTTGTTATCAGTATAGAGAAACCCAACTGATTTTTTAATGTTGATTTTGTATCCTGCAACTTTACTGAATTCATTTATTATTTCTAACTGTATTTTGGTGAAGTCTTCAAGGGTTTTTGTGTATATAATCATATCACCTGAAAATAGCGACAGTTTAACTTACTCCTTTTTGATTCAGATTCCTTTTATTTCTTTGCCTTGCCTAATTGTTCTGGCTAGGGTTTCTACTACTGTATTGAATAGAAGTGGTGAGATTGAGAATCTATGTCTTGTTCCTGATTTTAGAGGAACAGCTTTCAACTTTTTACCATTGAGTATATTAGCTGTGGAATTGTCATATATGGCCTTTATTGTGTTGAGGTACATTCTTTCTATACGTAATTTGTTGAGAGTTTTTGTCATGAATAGATGTTAAATTTTGTCAAATGCTTTTTCTGCATCTATTGAGATGATCATGTGATTTGTCTTTCATTTTGTTAGTGTGGTATGTCACAATTACTGATTTGAATATGTTTACTTTTTCATCCCAAGGGTAAATAACACTTGACCATGATGAATGAGCCTTTCAATGTGCTGCTGAATTCAGTTTGCTAGTATTTTGTTGAGGATTTTTGTATCTGTGTTCATCAGGGATATTTTCTTTTCTTATAGTGGTCTTGTCTGGCTTTGATATCAGGGTAATGGTGGCCTCATAAAATTCGTTTGATAGTATTCCCTCCTCTTCAGTTTTTGAAAGAGTTTGAGACGGATTGGTATTAGTTTTTTTTAATGTTTGGTAAAATTCAGCAGTGAAGCCTTTAGGTCCAGGCTTCTTTTTTCTTTTCTTTTTGTTTTTTGATGGGAAACTATTACAATTTCAATCTTCTTACTCATTATTGGTCTGTTCAGATTTTCTATTTCTTCATTATTCAGTCTTGGTAGGTTGTATGTATCTAGGAATTTATTCATTTCTTCTAGGTCATCCAATCTGTTGATGTATATTTGTTCATACTAGTCTCTTAAGACCCTTTACATTTCTGTACTATCAGTTGTATGTGTTCCGATATTTTGCCTATTTTTAATGTGTTATTTTCTTATCAAGTTTTGAGAGTTATTTATTTATTCTAGATACAAGTCCTTTTAAGATATGTGATTCATAAATATTTTCTCCCACACTTTCAAAGAGCAGACATTCTTAAGTGAAGTTCAGTTTATTTACTTGTTCTTTCATTTATTGTATTTTTGATTTTGTATCTAAGAAATCATTGCCTAACTAAAGATCACAATCCTTTTTTTCTATGTTTTTTAAGAGAAATTTTACAGTTCCTGGTTTTGCATTTCTATCTGTGATCCATTTTGAGTAATTTTTTAATATAAGGTGTGAGGTATGGAGAAATTTTGTTTTTATCTTTTTACATATGGATATCTAGTCATTCAAGCACTAGGTTTTAGAAAAACTTTTTTTTGTCACCGAATTGCCTTTTTACCATTGTCAGAAAATAATCCATCATATATGTGTAGGACTATTTTTGGATCCTTTTTTAAAAAAAAGTAAATATAAAAATAAAATTACACTAGGAATACACCAAGAATTACATGAAGAATATGAGTATTTTCTTGTAAAAATTATAAAAATTTAGAAATATGTAACAATTACAGTAAATGCTTACATAGACCTTACTGTGCCAAGTATCACTCTAAATGCTTTAAATAGATTAACACATTTACTCTTTACAATTCATGAGATAGGTACTGTTATTTTTTCCATTTTACAGATAGGAACACTGAGGGCACAAAGAGGTCATGTAACTTGCATGGGGTCATGTAGCTAGTAATTGTTGGAGCTGCCTTCTTAATCACCTTATTATTTTGCTCACCTCTACCCCAATCCAATGCCTTATCTCGAATATGACAACTGTTCTTTATTTCGTTTGCAACTTTAGCTACCTATATGAAACACATGCAAAAAACATTTCATTTGTATTCATGTCTATTCTTTCTTCAACACCGCTCTCTCGATTACTGTAGCTTTATAGTAAGTCTATAAAGTATGTGAGTCCTATAACTTTGAAGAGAATATGTATTCTGATGTTTTGGTGGAGAGTTTTTTTTTCTAAATGTCACTTAGTATAATTTAGTTGGTAGGGCTGTTCTGTTGTTCTGTAATCCTTCCTGAGAGTTTGTCTGCTTTTGCTATCAAGTGCTGAGACAGTGTATTGAAGTTTCCAAGTGTATTTATGGATTTTTTATTTCTCCTTTTAGTTCTATAAGATTTTCTTTCAGGTATTTTGAAACCCTGTTGTTAGGTGCACACATATTTATATTTATTATGTTGTTTTGCATAGTTGACGCCTTCGTAATTAATGTCCCCCTTTATCCTTTTGCTAAAATTTACTTAGTCTGATATTAATAAGCTGTTCCTGCTTTCTTATGGTTAGGGTTTGTGTAGTATCTCTTTTACCAGGTTTGCACCAACCTAATGTATCATTTTATTTTTTAACCTATTTATGCCTATATATTTAAAATGAGTTTCTTGTACACAGCATATAGTTTGGTGTTGATTTTTTTTTATCCAATCTGCTCTTTAAGTTTTAATTAACAGTTTATAATGTTTACATTTAATGTAATTATATGATTAGAATAAAAACCACCACATTGTTAGCTGTTTCATTTTTAAATCTATTATTTTGTTTTTGCTCCTTTGCAATCCATTCTTGAATATTTCATTTTAGCTCCATTATTGAATTATTGTTGATTTTTCTATTAAAGAATTAGTCATTGCCATAGGTTACATAATATGCATCTTTAATCAGTCTATATTTAAATAATATTAGACTACCAGACATGTAGTATAAGGATTTAACAACAGTATTTCCCAATTTCTTCCTTCCATCATTTGTGCTGTTGTTGTCGTACATTTTTTATTTTTACACATGCTAGAAACACAATGCATTTTTAATTTTTTTAAATTTTAATATTTTTGCCTTAGTTATCTTTTAAAGCAATTTAAAATAAGGAAATGAATTTTATATTACCTTCATTTATTCTATTTCTTGAACCCTTTATTACTTTGTGTATATGTCATACCTTACCAAGGTTTTAAAAATACATGTTAATATTTTTAACTATTTGCATTTACAACACACCAGTCTTTGACTTCTCTTGGCTCTGTTAAAAATGTGTTGCCTTTAGATAGCTGGGAATGTGTTTTATTTTTATAATTCTTTGTGCTCACTTGGAATTTCAGGACCATGGGACCGAGTATAAGAGGTCCTTTGGCCTAATCTTCAAAGTCTGACAAGTTTACTGATCTTAAGCTGTTTCTAGAAGTTCTCTTTCTGAAGTTGAAGTGTAAGCCTGTTTGGTCTATATTTCTCTTTTATCTCTCTTTTACTCTTTTGCTTCTCATGTGGTGTTTGGAGCATTTGGACCACGTTGTCCTGCTTTTTAATGCTTTCTTATTAATAACCCTGTACATATGTGAAAATAGTTATTGAATGCCTTCTTACCATCTGCTTCACAGATTACCATCTCCTCTACACGTTAAAAAGTAGGAGGGGTGTCCCAGCTCTCTTGCCACACTGTGGAAGTACAGACTATATAGAGTGCTTAACCTAAACCCTCTCCCTGAAGTCATATGGTTTGTTTTATTCCAGACATGTACCTTTAGGAAAGCTCTGGGATTCTGAAATTGGGTGGGTTTCCTTCAAAAACAACATTCACCTGAGGACCTGATTTATTCCAGAGCCTTCTCAATGCAGTAGCCCTAGTTATGTTACTTGTATAGGGATAAGGCAGAAGGAAAAGAGCAAGCTGGAAAACCTAGAATTTTTTGAGCAAACTGTGTTCAATTGTGATAAAAAAAAAAATACTCTTGACAGCTAGGGCTGGTCCTATAATAGAACTTATAATAAGCACTTGTCAGTTATGTGGGTTATTGCAAGATACACTTATTTTCAAGCTTTCCCCTTTAATTCATGTCCAAAGCATAACATTTTCTTTTTGTCTTTTTCCCCCTCAAGGGGTGCTACATCCATTGTGTACAGATGCAAACAGAAGGGGACCCAGAAGCCTTATGCTCTCAAAGTGTTAAAGAAAACAGTAAGTTTATTTCTTATATAATGGCATCTCTAAGGGGCCTGTGACCTGGAGAAGGCAGGAACCTGATTTGAAGAACAAAGGGGCCAGAGAGCTGCTGTGTGCAAATAACCCATTTGACTCTTGATTACGGGAGTGCAACCCAAATAGGTTGTTGTCTGGTGGAAATTGCATGAGTCTTTGAAAGCAGCTGGATCTCAGATTGGATGTGGTTCTGGGGAGAAGATTGGCAAGGAAAAACATTTAGAATTGGCAGGTAGACCTTATTTTGCATATCAGGCATGTTCTTGGAGATTTTATATATATATATATGTATATACACACACACACACATACACACACACACACTATATAATAATTTCAATATTTAAATATTAAAACCACATTTTAATATTAGAAAAGCTTGCTATTGAAAAGAATTTGAAATAAAGCACAAATGTATTTGTTAAAGGAGTCATCAGATTCTAATTTGCCTTAATTTTCAAATGTTGCACTTGCTTCAGTAGAGTATAATTGAATTTTATTGAGTTAATTTTTCTGGGACTGAACCTGCTCATCTAGAAGTTTGTACTTGGAAAAAAAGGAAGGTTTTTGTTTTGGGGGTTGCTTCTTTTGCCCTACACTCATAGATAAGCTGAGGAGGCAAAAGTGACTTAGGCTTATCTCTAATGAGTAAGAAACACAGTAGATGGGAGTTCAAAATATAAATGCCAACACCTGTGTAATACTGTCTATACCCCCAGAGAGTATTTTGCCATTTTAATGCCCTACTTGGATTTTGTGTTCTTATGCAGTTTCTACTCATAAAACCACAAAAAGACAAGATATTCTTTTATAACACATTCATTTTCAAATTTCATGTGAACAAATATGTGAAATGTATGTATATATATGAAAACCCAGTTGTAAAGTATGCTGAGAAGTATCATAAATTTTGAAGTCAAATACATTTTTAGGCCAAGGAATTTTTTTTCCTCAAGGCAGCTTAAAATTACCAGCTGTTTATGTATTGTCTGGCACAGGGAAATTTTAGAATCTCATATAATGAAGAGCATAATACTACAAGGTTTTCAGCTAAATAGAAATAGAATGATATTTTTAAACAATCTGTTAGAATTTACAGTCATAGCAAAATAACAAAAACAATTTAATGAAAGTCAGTAATAATTTCAATGGCACTTGCTACTAATGAATTCTATATTCTGAATTTTCTGTTTGGTGTAGGCAATGATTTAACTTATTCCAGAATGTAGAGGAATCTGTTGATTGATAAGATTTGGAATTTTCCCTTAATTTAGTTTCTTACAGTCATAAAATTTATCTGAAGTAAGGATTATTAAAACTTTTATGAAATAGAATTTCCTGTTAAATATTTAGTTTGTATGAAAATAAAACGGCATATTTTAGCAGTAGTCACACACAAGATGTTTTAGGACTTGTTTGTACGATTTCTTATTGGTTAAAAAACTGTCAGTAAAATTTGTGAAGGGCTATTTGTTTTTCATAGTTGAGGAAACTTTGAGAGGGAAGAGACATATGAAAGTCTAGGAAATAAATACTTAGAAATTACATGTGAATGCTCAAGAATCCCCAAGGGCAACAGGCTGGTTTAAAGGCTGGCTTATGTCAAAAGTCTTTGGATAAATTGGAGAAGGAGGTCAGTGAAGCCATTTGGTGGGTTCATGACGTATATTCGTTGGGCAAGTGCCGCTCTGGTTCGTCCTTACTGTCTTCTCGCTGTTGTGAAAACATCTCCCTCAGAAGACAGGCAGGAAGAGCATGTGAACGAGAATGAAGTGTCAGATGGAGCTGCAGAATGGTGCTGTAAGGCAGATGTTGTCAAACACAGTTACTACTGTGCCAAATGGAATGAGAGAAAATGCCCTGGAAAAACCTCAGCTTTGAATGTGAATTAGATAGAATCCCCAGTATTGTCTCCTAGGATAAATCATGCACAGAGATGTGTAAACGAGAGAAATAGCAGACAAAACCTCAAAGACCAGTTGCCTCTAGCGTTTCATTCCATATAGGTCACGGAGACTGAAACTTCCTTGTCTAAAGGAAATGAATGAAGCCTAAGAATCTGTTTATAGAGGAAAAGTGATGTGGGGAAAATGTTTTCTTAGAGAATTCAGCCAAGGGGTCTGCTCCTGAGGAAAAAAAACAAAAGGGTTCAGAAAACTTGAATTATTTATGTAATCTATTAAGCTCAACCACATAAAATTGCCTTTATTAATGCAATTTTTTACTTATTTCTTGGCCTTCAAAAATGGCAATTTTATGTGGTCCAACTAACAACTTTGGGACTACTATATTACTTCAATGGATGGTTTCTTCAGTCCTCATTTTATGACTAGCCCTAAGCCCAAGAGGCTTGAAACTTTATCTATCTATCTATCTATCTATCTATCTATCTCCATCCATCTATCTATTTCCAACCATCTTGTTTTTCTAGAGCTGGTCCAATAAACTACCACAAACTAGATGACTTAAAAGAATATAAATTTATTCTCTTACAATTGTGGAGGCAAGAAGTCCAAAATCACAGAGCTGGCAGGGTTGGTTCCATCTTAGGGCTCTGAGAGAAGATCTTTTCCATGCCTCTCTCCTAGCTTCTGGTGACAGCCAGAAATCTGTGGCATTCCTTGACTTGTAGGTCATCATTCTAATATCTGCCTCCAATTGTTACTAAACCAAACTTGAGTCAGCTCACCCAGTGTGCAAAACAAACAAACAAACAAACAAAAACACTAACACCAGGACTTGTAGTGAGAGAAAGTGAGGCGTTTATTGCAGGGTGACAAACAAGGAGAATCAGGCAACTCACGCTTAAGACCCAAACTCCCCGATGGCTTATGAGCACGGGTACACTATGAAAGGTAAGGGTACATTTCAGGAAAGCAGAAGTAACAGGCAAAATCATAAATCAATATATGGAGGTTATGCATTGGTTTGGCCCCAAAAGGTGGGAGTATCTTAAAGTAGAGGCTTACAAACAGGTGGGTTCTAAGATTCTTTGATTTACAGTTGGTTAAGGAAGCAATGTTTTGTCTAAAAACTTGGGGTCAGAAGAAAGGAATGTTAAGATCTAGCCTTTGGGCATGACTCTACAGGCTTTCAAGGAAGAAATTTAGAATAAGGACAGTAGTCAGCATTCACTTCTTAGTTCCTCCTTATCTGAGGTCTACATGACAGTGGTTGGCATTTTTCATCTGGTGAGGGTCAAGGTTTCTGAATAACAGCTCAAGGATATGAGATGCTATCTTTAATTTCTATAAGGAACCAAACATCTTGTGACTCTAACTTACTTGAATGACAATCGTTTAAGCTATTATTACCTTTTTAATTAGTGGATTATTTATATTTACTTTTCAAATTGCTTGTGGCAGGGCTAGCTAGATGCCTGAAATCTCCCTAGAAGGAACTCAAAATTTTTCTTTTATCTCCATGCTAGGGGGCCAGGGGAGACTGGCAGTCCCCTAAGTGGGGTCTCTGCTCCCTCTCACAATG
Organism: Homo sapiens; assembly: GCF_000001405.40. Classification (NCBI taxonomy): domain Eukaryota; kingdom Metazoa; phylum Chordata; class Mammalia; order Primates; family Hominidae; genus Homo; species Homo sapiens. The sequence continues at coordinate 111,347,610 of NC_000005.10, forward strand.
TCACATGGCCATCTTCTCCCTGTGTGTCTTTATATCATCTTACCTCTGTGCACATCCCTGTCCAGATTTCTCTCTTCTTATAAAAACACCAGTCCTCTTGGATTAGGGACCCACCCTACTCCAGTATGACCTAATCTTAATTAAACTAATTGTATCTGCAACAACACAATTTCCAAATAAGGTCACATTCTAAGGTACTGGGAGTTAGGATAATGTCTGTTTTGAGGGAGATTTAATTCTACTCTGTCTGTAAGGGAGGACCTCTAAGATGAATTTCAAAATATTCCATTCAATATTTTATTTGAAGATGAGTGAAACATATCACATTTAAGAAAGTTAATAAGGAAACCCATCTAATTTATAAATAATTTAATGTATAAATATTTTTAAGTCCGAGAAAGATTTCCTCAGACTGTCTCAGACTTAAAGTGAGAGACTTTTAAAATTCTCTTTTACAGCTAAATTTTTGATAACATGAATCTTCTTTGTCAGGATCTGTTTAAACATTTTTCCATGGGAGTTTACCCAAATTCCATTTTGCGGCAATATGAAGGTCTTCTCTCATAGCTTAATAAAATAATTAGGAAGAATTTAGTTTACACTAGCAATGAGACATATTTTTCCATAAAAAACCCTGAGCTTCAATGAGATTCCATTAAGTACTCAAATATCTGGGTTTTAGTAGATGAATGCGCTGACTTATCCATAGGAATACAGGTTAAAGCACCAGCTCTTGTGGAGAAATCTTATGGTGGTCAGGTGCAGGACAGAGTCAACACTGATAATTAACATACAGTGAATTGTCATGTTTAGATAACTGGATACTATGGATAGTAAAATATCCTTGTGATAAATTAACAGGTAATTATAACATGAGACATGTTTTAAGTTAATATATATTTTATAAATGGGTATAACATCATGTATTTAATATATAGAGACCTATATTTCAAAGAATTGGAATGCATTAAATTACATATCAGCCAGCATCATAAAGTCTGCAATTTACTTTCAAATGGTTAAACAACAACAAAAAAAATGGTTTGTGTATGCACAGGTTGGGGGAGAGAGGAAAATCAAATATGGCAAAACTAAACAATTATTGTAGTATATTATTATTCATTCTGGTATTTCAACATTTCAGATACGTGAGCTTTCTCATAATGAGAAGTCTGTGGAGAAACATAATTCAACATTGAGACCCTGTTCGCATAATTGAGCATTTCTTCTGGCTATTCAGAAAGCATTTCAAGATCTTGCACTCTCTAAATGTTATGACAAACATCAGTGACTCACTGTTATAAATGTATTGAAGTGCCAGAAAATAGAAAATGATAACTGAACCACTTTTTATTGTATTGAAAAAACCCTGGATATTTCCTGTAACAATATCCATTTGTCTCATTGTGCCATTAATGAGGATAAAGCTTTCATGGTGTTAACTGTAAACAAGAGAGGAAAATGGATTGAAGTGCCTTTTGGGTTGTTTGTTTCCTTTTTTTCCACTTAGTATTAGTGATTCTTGTACTGAAGAAGTCATCAATTCCCTAGACATGACATTCATCCTCTCCTCTTGTGTGGGGATGGCCTAAGTGCCATTTTTGTTCCCCATGCATGCTACATTATCTTGTATATATTGTCTAATTTGCTTGTGATTATCGGTGGAAATTTAACTTTGTAGTTTGTAAAGCATGAATCAAGGGTGAAGGAAACAAGGCTAACTTTTTTCTTTCATGCATAAGCCCTTCAGTATATCCACTGTATGTGATATTTGAAGTAGAGTAGAAAGATTTTATTAAGTTACTTTGGGTCTTTAAGGGATTTTGACAGACATGGCTAGTGGGGACAACCAGTGTTTTATAAGATGTAACCTTTTTATTGTTGTTAAATGATGAACTTAAAACTATATCAAAGGAAAAAAATAAATTCGAGAAAGTGTCAAAATTTGAACAAATTAAGCAGTTGGAAACTTCAAACTGGACTGAACTCTGCTGAGTTAAATAGAATGCCAGCTTTTGAAGAATGACATCATTATGATGATGGAGTCTCTATTTCAGGAGTAATTCACATGAATTATAGTTTATCTTTCTTCCTTAGGAGTATATACCTCAGAGTGTATCTAAATGACATGTCAGACTATAAATGTGACTTATTTTCAAGGAGAACTGATTGAGATTTAAGAAAATTATGCTCCACCAATAATTTATAGTATCTCTAGAATTTTGGAAACAGATATTTGAACTTCAGAATTCAGATGAAATTTCTAACTATGTAGCTCAACTCTTGGAAAAGCTTGTATTAATCTAACTATAAAATACATGCCTCTCATGAAATACCTAGTATTGAGTCTGAGATCTAATCTCCGTGTGTAAAATCATAATTTCTAGGTATTCTGACTCTCCTTAAAAATTGCTATGTAGTAGTGGGGTGATGTTGTGGTCTGTGGTGCCAGACAGACTGAGTTTAGGATTACTTCTGCTACTTACTGATTGTGTGACTTTAGAAGTTATAGAATATCTCTCAATCTGTTTTTTCATCTTTAAAATGGGTTTAAGAGTATCTAGGTCAGAGTGTTCTACTAAAGATTAAAATAAATATTTCCCACCACATAGGAAGCATGTAATATACATGATGAACATTATTCTTATTAATTGCAATGTGTTCACACAGATATTTCATAAGAGTACCAGTTCATTCTATATAATTTTAATGTTCTCATTAGCTTGATTTAAAGTCAAACAGTGAGTAGCACAGACGATTTTTACATACTTCTCTATGAACAAAATTAACTACATTGGTTTTGGAGTACTTTTGAAATTACTGCTGAAAATGGATACATATTCTCTTATTGCTATCAATAAAATGTAATGTGGCACACAATAAGGATTTCCCATCCTGTGACCTTCTACTTAGGTACATCTCGGATGCCTATAATACCTAGATTTAGAACACTTTCAACCCTAAGCTCTTTTCTGTGTGATTCTTACTTTGGAGCAGTGTGCCTAGATCTACAATAGAAAAACGGTTCCAGGTCTAATTTTTGTATATTTTAGTTATTATAATACCAGTAAAGTTCTGGAAAGGTTTTGCTTGAGTAATTTAATGAACATTCACCTAGCAAATGTCTCAAAATTCTACAAAATTTTCCATAAATGTTGGTTTGATTTTTTTATTCTCTTCTCAGTTAATCAAAGAAGCACACATTGTGATTTGTTAATCATTCTGTGAGTTGGTTTTTAACTTCCATTTATTTGTCCTTACATTCTTATGAGTTAGCATTTGAGTATATAACTATGATGTTGCAGGGCAATCTGAAGATTAAGTTACAGACTACATAGGCTTTGTTCCAATTTCTTGGTAGATGAATCTCCAGGATGTCTCCATTAGAGATTTTCAGATTTCTCAGTTTTAAAATGGGGATAACACCATTTATACCACTGGGTAAACTGAGGATTACTTGAAGTTTTATATATTTTTATATATGTGCATGTATATTGCCTGGCATATATTAGGCATTCTTCAAATGTGGGCTCTGTTCTCTGTTCTAGCCTTCTTTTTCTTTGTAACTTTTACATCTCATGTCAACTTCCCCAGAAGATTTCTTTAGGAAGAATATACTACATTTGTATAGAGAACTATGTTTGAATCTAGATGTACTGTATTAACTGGCCAAGTGATGAGCACTGGCCAATTGACAGACATTAGCTCCCACATCCACCAGTCTTTTTACACACAGGTACACATGTGTGCATATCTCTTTACAAGGAAACTGGCAACTTGGAATTTTCTTTTTCTTTTTCTTTTTTTTTTTTTGAGACAGAGTTTCGCTTTTGTTGTACATGCTGGAGTGTGATGGCGCCATCTTGGCTCACTGCAACCTCTGCCTCCCAGGTTCAAGCGATTCTCCTGCCTCAGCCTCCTTAGTAGCTGAGATTACAGGTGCATGCCACCACACCCGGCTAATTTTTGTATTTTTTTTTTTAGTAGAGATGGGGTTTCACCGTATTGGCCAGACTGGTCTCGAACTCCTGACCTCAGGTGATCCACCTGCCTCGGCCTCCCAAAGTGCTGGGATTATAGGCGTGAGCCACCACTCCTGGCCACAACTTGGAATTTTAAGTCACTTCATGATTTTAAAATGGTACTCATAAAAATAATATGTCATACTTTGTGAGGTAGGTGCTATCATTATTTTATAGATGCGTCTCCAAGAGATTGAATAACACGAACTTGGTGGCTTATACGATAGAAATTTATTTTTCACAGTTCTGGAGGCTGAGAAGTCCAAGGTCAAGGTGACAGCAGATTTGGTGTTTGATGAGGGCACTCTTTTTGGCTTACAGAAGACTATCTTCTCACTGTGAGTTCAAATTCAAAAGAGTAGAGAGGAAGTAAACTCTCTTTTGTCTCTTCATATAAGCGTGCTAATCCTATCATGAGGGCTCTACCCTCATTATCTAATTATCTCCCCAAGGCCCATCTCCAAATGCTATCATTGGGGATTTAGGCTTCAATGTGAATTTTCAGGGGACACAAATACTTAGTCCATAGCAATCACCAACTTGCCAAGTGTTGATAGCCTTAATGATATAAAAGTATGTAGAAATCAATTAAGAAAAGCACCAAAGCCCAAATAAAAAATGAAAATAGCTATTATTTATTGAATGTTTATAATGTGTCAGAGACTGGTGGATTCTCAATTTCAAGGTGAGAAAACTAAGGGTCAATATCTTGTTCAAACTCATGCTGTTCACAAATGGCAAAATATTTGGAAAGATACTTCTTAGAAAACATTAAAATGATATTTTATAGCCATTAACAATAAAAATAACCTTAAATTAATAAGACAATACTTTTTACTACTATGTTAGTTTGTTTTGTGCTGCTATAACATAACATCACAGACTGAATCATTTATAATGAGCACAAATTTACTGGTTCAGTTCTGGAGGAGGCTGAGAAGTCCAAAATCAAGGGGCCAGCATGTGGTGAGGGGCTTCTTCCTGTGTCAACTCATGGCAGAATAGCAGAGAGAGAGAGAGAGAGAGAGAGAGGGAGAGGGAGGGAGGGAAGGGGAGAGGGGGAAAGAGAGAGAAAGAAAGAGGGTACCAAACTCATGCTTTTATAAGGGAACTACTCTTGCAATAAGAGCATTAATCCATTCATGGGAATGGTGCACCATCATCCAAACACCTCCCTTTAGGCCCCACCTTTCAACACCACAGCATTGAGGATCAAATTTCCAATACATGAACTTTGGGGAACACAGACAAACCATACCACTACTAACTAAACAAAGAATAAAAATATCTAGCTTTGCCCAGGATTTGGGAAAAGGATTCCCTCACATTCTATGGATGGGAGTGCAAAATTGACACAGACTTTATGAAATTGTTCCCCATTCCTCATTTTGCATCACCTGCTATAGGAAACAGTTTCTCAGTGATAAGGGTAGGTGCGGTTGGAGGTAATGCACAGAGTATATGGTTTATAGAAAGCCAGGTACCTAAATACAGAATCTGAAATGGTAATAACTACAATATATTGAGCAATCACTGTGTGCCAGGAACTTTACATACACTATTGCAATAAAAATGTGTTGCATGCAAAAATAAATAATCTCATGTTTCCTCACATGGTCTTTGTAAGGTCAGTCTTGGTTTCTGAGGCTCAGAGAGGCTAGCTACCCACAACCACCGAGATAGTAAATACAGAGCGAGGTTCTGGAAATGGATTTGTCTGATTTCACTTTTTTTTTTCTGTCTCACCAAGTGAAAACTACATATATTAATATGTGACTGCTTGAGGTCCTTGCTATATGGATGTTATTATCATCCTCCAAGGAAAGTAGCTAGATGTGTCAACGAATAAAGGAGGAAAAATAACAGTAGGAAAAAATACCTGTAAATAGTTTGAGCAGCATTTAAATGAGAATTCTTGGTAGAAGTAAAATTGTCTCTGTAGATTATATGATTTTAAATATAGAAAACTCTAAAGACTCCACAAAAGAACTACATAAGAACTGATAAATCATTTCAGTAAAGTTTCAGAATATATAAATGAGGTACAAAAATAAGTTACATTTCTATACACTAACAACAAACTATCTGAAAAAGAAATTAAGAAAACAATCTCTTTTATGACAGCATCAAAAACTTAAAATGCTTAGGAATAAATTTAAGGAGGTGAAAGATCTGTACTCTGAAAACTGTAAAACATTGATGAAAGAAACTGAAAGCACACAAATAAATGGAAAGGTTAGTTCATGGAGTGAAAGAATTAATATTGCCAAAGTGTCAGTACTACCCAAAGTGATCTACAGATTCTGTGCAATCCCTATCAAAATTCCAGTGAATCCAAAGGAAATAAGGTCAATATATTAAAGAGGTAGTTGTACTGCTATTTCATTATAGCGTTATTCACAACAGCTAAGATGAGGAAACAGCTTCTGTCTGTCAAAAGATGAATGAGAAAATGTGGTATGGATAACCTTAAGAAGGAAAAAATAATCCTGCCAATTGCGACAACATGAATGATCTTGGAGGACACTATGCTAAGTGAAATATGCTGGACACAAAGTCAAATACTGGACACAAAGTCAAATTACAAATTACATGTGTAATTTAAAAAGTTGAACTCAGAGAGAGTAGAAGGATGATTATCAGGGATTGAGTGCAGGAGGAAATGGAGGTATGTAGGTCAAAGGGTACAAACTTTCAGTTGTGTAAAATGAATAATTTCCAAAGATCAAATGTATAGTATGGGAAGTATAATTAATAACACTGTGTTGGTATACTTGAAATTTTCTAGGAGTAAATGTTAAATATTCTCACCACAAAAAAAAAAAAACTACGTGAGGTGATGGATTTGTTAATTAGCTTGATTGTGGCAATCATTTTGCAATGCGTACATCAGAACGTCACATTGTACACTAAATGTGTGTAATTTTTATTTCTCAGTTTTACCACTATAAAGCTGAAAAATAGCTACTTGGGAGGCTGAGGCAGGAGAATCACTTGAACCCGGGAGATGGAGGTTGCAGTGAGCTGAGAACTCCAGCCTGGGCAACAGAGCGAGACTCTGTCTCAAAAATAAATAAGTAAATAAAAATTACAAAATAAATAAGACTCCTTTGGGCCAAGAGGAGGAAGCTTATGTAGCCTCTCACACCTTAGTGAGTAGGAACCACCAACCTCTCCAGGGAGATCCTCTACACTTTGCCACTGTGCCCTCAACCAGGCAGACTCAGGATGCAGAATGGAGATTCCCTGCTCTGTCTTTTTCTGCCTAAACTTTGGAAACATGGAAAACTGACAATGAGCCATGCATTTTCTAATTGCTATGATGTACATAAGAGGGATGGATGGTTCAATCTGGATGAAAGATATGCATCTATTGTATGCTGCTATTGGCCACTTTTAACTTCTTACTGATGTGCTCTGGAAGTACAGGCAGGGTCACCTTGGTCAGTGATGGATAAGAGAATAATAAATCACCAGCTCAAATAGACTTTTTGGGGCCAATTGAGATCTCAGAACACATTAAGGAAAGTAGCTTTCAGACAATGAGCCGTGTCAAGTGAAGTGAAACTTCTTCAAGGATTCTGTCAGTTGGAACCTATTGATTTTCATAGGGACTATCAAACCAGGTCTCCTGGAATAGGAACAGGAATATTTCTATCCAGTTTGTGACAAGAATATGTATATAAGAGAGCAAAGGTGACAGGGAGGAATGTTAAATCTTGGCCTGATTTGTATGCTTTACCATTCAAGAATATACTTGAAAGTCAGAACATTCTTCCAGAGCATTGTTATGATTTGATGCATTTTCTTTATTGACATAAACATTGGTGGAATTTATTACAATTCTGCATTCTTTTTATTTATTTATTTATTTATTTATTTTATTATACTTTAAGTTTTAGGGTACATGTGCACAATGTGCAGGTTAGTTACATATGTATACATGTGCCATGCTGGTGTGCTGCACCCATTAACTCGTCATTTAGCATTAGGTATATCTCCTAATGCTATCCCTCCCCCCTCCCCACACCCCACAACAGTCCCCAGAGTGTGATGTTCCCCTTCCTGTGTCCATGTGCTCTCATTGTTCAATTCCCATCTATGAGTGAGAACATGTGGTGTTTGGTTTTTTGTCCTTGCGATAGTTTACCGAGAATGATGATTTCCAATTTCATCCATGTCCCTACAAAGGACATGAACTCATCATTTTTTATGGCTGCATAGTATTCCATGGTGTATATGTGCCACATTTTCTTAATCCAGTCTATCATTGTTGGACATTTGGGTTGGTTCCAAGTCTTTGCTATTGTGAATAATGCCGCAATAAACATACGTGTGCATGTGTCTTTATAGCAGCATGATTTATAGGCCTTTGGGTATATACCCAGTAATGGGATGGCTGGGTCAAATGGTATTTCTAGTTCTAGATCCCTGAGGAATCACCACACTGACTTCCACAATGGTTGAACTAGTTTACAGTCCCACCAACAGTGTAAAAGTGTTCCTATTTCTCCACATCCTCTCCAGCACCTGTTGTTTCCTGACTTTTTAATGATTGCCATTCTAACTGGTGTGAGATGGTATCCCATTGTGGTTTTGATTTGCATTTCTCTGATGGCCAGTGATGATGAGCATTTTTTCATGTGTCTTTTGGCTGCATAAATGTCTTCTTTTGAGAAGTGTCTGTTCATATCCTTCGCCCACTTTTTGATGGGGTTGTTTGTTTTTTTCTTGTAAATTTGTTTGAGTTCATTGTAGATTCTGGATATTAGCCCTTTGTCAGATGAGTAGGTTGCGGAAATTTTCTCCCATTTTGTAGGTTGCCTGTTCACTTTGATGGTAGTTTCTTTTGCTGTGCAGAAGCTCTTTAGTTTAATTAGATCCCATTTGTCAATTTTGGCTTTTGTTACCATTGCTTTTGGTGTTTTAGACATGAAGTCCTTGCCCATGCCTGTGTCCTGAATGGTATTGCCTAGGTTTTCTTCTAGGGTTTTTATGGTTTTAGGTCTAACATGTAAGTCTTTTATCCATCTTGAATTAATTTTTGTATAAGGTGTAAGGAAGGGATCCAGTTTCAGCTTTCTACATATGGCTAGCCAGTTTTGCCAGCACCATTTATTAAATAGGGAATCCTTTCCCCATTTCTTGTTTTTGTCAGGTTTGTCAAAGATCAGATAGTTGTAGATATGCGGCGTTATTTCTGAGGCATTCTTGTTCATCTTCTCATTATATCAATCTCGTTTAGATATTTTGTTGCCTTTTAGAAAACAAACACTATAATTCAAAAGCAGGCTGATGAGAGAGACAGAAAGACAGAGAGAGAGAGACAGACAGACAGACAGACCATGAGCTAGAGCACCAACAGGCCTGAGTGCTGTTGCCCAAAAGATGAATTTACTTTGCTGGTATGCCATCCACTCAAATTATGACATTTAACCCCTTAGTACTTTTATAAGCATTGGGCAATTGGAACTAAAGTGATTTTCACTCTTTAAATGGAATCTATGGAGCAGAAAAAGGAGATATATAACCAACTAAAAACAGAGGAAACCTCAGAAGGAGAGCTTATGTTACTTCACTCTGGTAGAAGCAGGAGTTTAAGAACTTCTCAGAGAGCTCAGTGGTAAATGCCTTGTTACCAAAGGGGAGCTGCTGGGGCACTAGGAAAGTTGAGAGAAGCTCAGGGTCAGGAGATCAAAGCTGGAGAGTGCTGTCCAATGGACCACAACCAGGAGAGCTGAGAGAGCCAGAAGGACACAGGCTATCAGCCTCAAAGCAGACTTAGGATTCATACCTTAGTGAGAAGGGGAAAGCTATCATCTTAGAGTTAACAGGGAAAAATGTGTTAATAAATTTTAATTTGTATTTTTTTATGGTACAAAAAGTTGAATGGTGGCCAGAGTTGCATATATCCAGTCACTGTAAACAGGACGAAAAGAAAGCTAAAAAGATCAAGTCATGGAACTCCAAAACCATTTATTTTCTAGAAGAGGGGAAATGAACTATGTACAGAGGATACTAATTAAAAGAGATCCATATAGTTTTCAGTACTGAATTAGTTTTCAACGTTTTTTAAAATTAAGTACTCACAACTCACCATATGTCATGTCACTCACTTTAACGGTAAAGGAGCATAATGCTAATAAGAATGGAACCCACACTGAATTGTTAAACACTATGTAATGTAGTGCCGCTTTCACATGTTAACACAAAGCTCCCCAAGGAAGTATTTTTCTTATGAGAGTCTTAGAGAAGTGTCATGTTCAAAATACACAATAGCATGTATTCTAGAACTCAGGGCTTTTGAATTCCAAATCTGGGCATTTTTTATAGATGCCATGAAGGCCCTGATAGAGACAAAGGCAAAAAAGAATTCAATCAGGAATGATTTTGGTCCAGATTTGGGACTAAAACTAGATGTTTCTCCTTATTTACCTGATAAAGGATGATTAAGCCTTTATTGACACAGGCACAGAGAAGCGGAGTGCTGCTTGTAAGTTACACTGTGAAGAATGGGCAAATAATATTCGATGTGTGCAGAGAATGCAAGCAACATGTTATCTTTGCCAAATTCTGTTAAAACCTGAGTTTAGTGAGTCTCACATACAATATCCACTGGCAAATGAAGGAAAAACAACTGGGAACTGTGAGATATACAGACTACACACATGGCTTGATGTGATTCTTAACTCTTTGTCTTAGTGGTAGGTGGGATGCAGTATGAACACAGGTGTGGCTATATGGGTCAGATTCCAATTTCCTTCCTACTGTGAGAATATGTCACAGGATAAATTCAGTTAAAGTTACCTATACTTATCTCTACCCCAAAGTTGAAGAGTATCAGATGGATAGTTATATCTAAAAGAACACATTAGATGGATGTTTTTCCCCGACACAACCTACCAATCTGTCACTGGCAGGATTTTTCTTTTTTTTTTTTTAACTTTTATTTTAGGTTCAGGGGATACATATGCAGGTTTGTTATGTAGGTAAACTCGTGTCATGGGGATTTGTTGTACAGATTATTTCATCACCCAGGTACTAAGCCTAGTACTCAATAGTTATTTTTTCTGCTCCTCTCTCTCCTCCCACCCTTCACCTCCAGGTAGGCCCCAGTGGCAATATGTGTTGTTTGTGTCCATATGTTCCCATCATTTAGCTCCCACTTATAAGTGAGAACATGCGGTATTTAGTTTTCTGTTACTGTGTTAGTTTGGATAATGGCCTAGGGATAACAGCCTTCAGCTCCATCCATGTTCCTGCAAAGGACATTATCTCATTCTTTTTTATGGCTGCATAGTATTCTATGTATATATGTACCACATTTTCTTTATTCAGTTTACCATTGATGGACATTTAGGTTAATTCTATGTATTAGCTAGTGTGAACAGTGCTGCAGTGAACATATGTGTGCATGTATCTTTATAACAGAATGATTTATATTCCTTTGGACATATACCCAGTAATGGGATTGCTGAGTTGAATGGTAGTTCTGTTTTCAGCTTTTTGAAGAGTTCCTTTCTACAATGGTTGAACCAATTTACACTCCCACCAACAGTGTATGAGTGTTCCCTTTCCTCCACAACCTTACCAGCATCTGTGATTTTTTTGACTAATAGTAACCATTGTGACTGGTGTGAGATGGTATTTGATTGTGGTTTTGATTTTCGTTTCTCTGATAATCAGTGATGTTAAGCTTTTATTCATATGCTTGTTGGCCACAGGTATGTCTTCTTTTGAAAAGTGTCTGTTCATGTCCTTTGCCCACTTTTTAATGGGTTTTTTTGTTTTTTTCTTATAAATTTGATTACGTTTTTAAGTTCAGGATATTAGACCTTTGCCAGATGCGTACTTTGCAAAAATTTTCTTCCATTCTATAGGTTGTCTGTTTACTCTGTTGAGAGTTTCTTTTGCTGTGCAGAAGCACAGCAAAGAGCTTCTGCTCTTTAGTTTTATTAGATACATTTGTCAATTTTTTGCTTTTGTTGCAGTTGCTTTTGGCATCTTCATCATGAATTCCTTGCCAATTCCTATGTCCAGAATGGTATTGCCTAGGTTGTCTTCCAGAGTTTTTATAGTTTTGGGTTTTACATTTAAGGCTTTAATCCATCTTGAGTTTATTTTTGTATATGGTGTAAGGAAGGAGTCCAGTTTTAATCTTCACTCCCAGCATTTTTCTTTGAGATTTTAGGATCAGAACAATCTAGAACTGTTTTTACCATCAGGACATATGGAGTGTCCTGATCAGTTTCAAGGAGTGGCATATATAATAAAGTACTATAAACTGTATATGATACCTTTTATTGATAAATCAAAGCAGATCCAAGATTATCATCCTCATCTTTTAAATTTTGATGTATTTTTATGGAGGGGAATGTGGGTGAGTGTCAAATCAAAATTTACCCACCACACTTACATCTGCAAAAAAATGTATCAGTATCCTCTATTTTCTACAACAGCATTTACTCTGAACCTGAATTCCTCTTGCTATCACTGGATACCTGGGAGGAAAACATACTAAAAATTTCCAGTCAAAGATATCTTAGTTTATTCCTGTTTAAGAGTCTCTTTTAGTTTAAAAGTATTTCTTTAGGGTGAAGATTGAGTTCATCTGTCTCTCAGAGCAATGTTTTCCTTACCCTGTTATTTCCCACTGGCCTCTGGCTTAGATAACCCAGGGAAGCGTGGTGAGCATGAAGAGGCCACATACCAGGGCCACTGCCAGATGCTGTCTGCAGTAGAGACCTGGATAGGTCAGGAAATCTACAGCTACAGATGACTAGGGACAGATCATGTGCTCACTGGCTCTATGGGAGAGGCCAATAAATACTGAACACACACTCAGAGACCAAACCAGTCCAGGGGTCACAAGCCCCTTGGCCACCATATCCTTTGAAACCGGACAGTCTTGGAAAATATCAGAGATGGAGAAATAATAGGGCATAAACATGGAATGTGTGCATACTACCCAATTAACTCTTACAAGCTTTTAAACTGTGAGCAGTTTTACTCAGAAGAAGAGACTTAACAGACATGCTGATGAGAGAGTGCTTTGAGGATGTGCACACCACTGTATGGAGAAAGATGCTGGGAAGGACTGAGCTGACACACTTTTGTTTATCTGGTCTTTCAGAGAAAAGTGAAGCTCTGGGTTCAATTCATGTTAAAATGCTACCTCAGAAAATCTAGACTTCTACATCTAGAAAGAATATATTGCTATGGGGCAACACTGACAAAGAAATTTTTTTTATCAAACCTCAAATCATTAAGATCTCTAGAATCTCTGTCTTTCCCATTCTAAACCAAGAGTATGATTATATTATTTTTTGGTTCAACATTAATTTCTTCTGTACTTTTCTGGTCATGAATAACTCTAGAAGAACCATGTGAGAGCCTCTCTTTCCACCAAGTTTTTAGCATTCATGAACAACATTAGCCAGGTTCTTTGAAAAAGGTCTGAATTGTCCTTGAAAGAATAGGCAGTGAGCTAAGCTTTCTTCTAAGAGCATCCAGGTTTTTATTTTTTCCATTGAACCCTAAGATGTAATTGATGAAGCTTAAAATGTTAATACTTTCAGGAGTATTATTTTTATTTTTATTATTTAACAGTATACAAAATCATAAGCTTTTTTGGCTTTGTAACTAATAGAAAATCACTTAGTTTTAAGGATCAAGGAAAAGATCAAAGGAATATCTCAGGGTCTCTGAGTGTATATAATATTGTGCCCCTTTAATCACTCAAATTAAAGTTTGGGAATTGTGCACATAAATCATTGTTGTTTGATTGAAATAATATACAATGAAAACCTATATTTCATTATTTTCATGGCTTCTTGATAATTTAAAAATCTTGGTCATATGAAATGGTCATAAAAATTACCAAAATTACTGTCTTTACCATATAAAAATTACTAAAAGGCACTAAGAAGAAAGGACGGAGTATATTACACCTCTGTCAGACTTGAATATATAAAGGACATGGTTGATACCCAGGTTTATGGTCAACTTAGATGTGACCCTGGTGGTTGACAGTGATTAGTAAACATATGAAATTGTCTTAAAACCTCCCTAAAGTTTAAACAGGACAGTGCAGCTCTTAGTCTTCAGAAAAGGTGAGAGAAGGCATTTATTTAAGTGAAAATAGGCATTAGTTTTCTTTTTGATTAACCTCAGGCAGGAAGATTATATTAGGATACAGTTTAGGATTCTGATGAAGTTGTCATTCACTTTTAGAAAATTTTTTAGAATAACAATAAAAATAAAATTGTGTTTCATGTTTAGTAGATACTTTCTCTGACTGGGGTGGAACATTTTCATAAATCCCTATATTTCTAAATTTAGTATGCTGCAATTGTAGTGCCTTCTCTGTTAAGAATTAAAAAATTGGAAACAGAAGATTAGAAATGCTCACTTTGATTTGAAAAGTCATTCTAGGAAAGGCACTGACATTTAGTGAACGTTTCACAGGGACTAGGAAATTTCACACATACTCTTATTCAATCCTTAAAACAATAATATTCCAGAATAACAATTATCCCCATTTTACACATGATGAAATTGAAGCAGTCCTCATATAGATTAAGGGACTTGATTAAAGACTCTAAATGATCAAGCCAGGATTCAAATTGAATTCTTTAAAAAATGTACAGACAAGGATGCTGATTATAGAATATATTAGTAATAAATCTTAAGGAATCATTCATGTCTAACATTAGGGCTAGGCATTGATGACATTGGGCCTTAGGAAGGTGTTTTACATTCTGCTTATGGATATTAGATATTCATAAAATTTTTATTATGTTTTTGTGTAAAAGATAACAAAATTTCAAATATTTTTATATTTGAAAATGTAAAAAGAAGTATACATACATATCTGAAAACAAATAAACCAAAATGCTAATGATTAGTTGTGTTACAATGGTGGATATATTCCTCACTCTTTTTATATTTTCTATATTTTTAAATGTGACTATGATACTTCTAGAAAAATATATAATATGTGTTGATTTCCTTCTATCCCTGACAACATGAATCTTAAAAAATAATTTGGGAGGCTTAACATTAATTCTCTCTTTGTTAATCAGTTTCTTTTTCATAAGACCATGCTGATGCTGGCACCTTCTTGGGAAATATGAGGAGTAAAGACCCAGCCAGGCTCTGTGCCCATGGAGGGCACAGAGGCAAGTCAAAATATCCACAGCTACATCCATAGAATTCTTTTCTGCTTACCAAGGATATCATAGTTGCTTCTTTGAGAATGGATAGTACATTCCAATTCTCACCATTATCATTTTCTAATCTCTATCATTTCATTCTCTTTTAATCACTCTGGTTGTGTTTGATACAAATGATGGAACACTCAAATTAAACGCAAGGTGTGCTGTTGGAAGGAAAAGTACGGGATTTCTATCTGGCAGCTATAAAAGCTCTATAGCCTGAAATGGGGGAGAAGAGTGAGCAGGAGTATCAGTACTTGCTGCAGTGGATTTAGAAGGTCAGTAACTTCACCTGTGCATTAATAATTTATATTTTTCCAAGTGTTCTTCACTTACCTTGAAAGAGAATCTAGAGGCTCTTTGAAACAGACATTCTCCACTCCACTGGTGTCAATAACATGAAAAAATGTCATGTAGACTTAAGTGGCAGGATGAGAACTGACCAACCAATTCTAATCTCATCTAACTGAAGCTTAATGTTAAACCAGAATTTTTTTTCTTTGAGCTGCCAGCATTTTGTATTCAATCACCAGCCTCCATACCTCATTCATTCATTTAACAAGTTATTAAATGCCAGGTATTGGTAAATAACGCCAAAGATAGCATATGTAGAAAACAGACAAGATCCTTTCTGTCATAGAACTCATGCTCCGATGGAAGAAATAGATGATGAATTAGTAACTAAATGATAACATAGCTTTTTGTGACTGTTATAAAAAATTGAATGGTATGACTCACCGTGTGTGTATGTGTGTATGTTGTATGTGTGTTAGTGTGTAACTACTTTTGATGGAGTGGCCAGGAAAGGCCTCTAGGTGACTCTCAATGAACCAAGTGAAAAAAGAGGCCTGATGGAAGAGGGAACAGCAAATGCAAAGGCCTTGAAGCTTGGTCTAGTTGAATGGCCTGCATATGAAGGACAGTGACATCAGACCAATAGGGTGAGGCCAAGCCATCCTGTTTTAAGGTCTATGGCAAAGAGTTTATACTTACTCTAAGCACAGTGGGACTCCAACAAAGGCATTTAAGCTGAGAGTAACATGATCTGATTTACATTTTAAAGATATCATTCTGGATGTTGTGTGTAGAAGGACTGAATATAAAGGGTAAGGATCAAAGCAGTGAGGCAAGTTAGGAAATATTATAACATTGCTGTTGCCTTTAAAGTAGGAGAGAAATCAGACCAGAATGGTGACATGAAATAATCCATTTTATTTCCTCTACTCCCAGGTGAAGAAGTGAAGAAAGAGTGCAGAGGCAACAATAGAGAGGTTTTCTGTGAAGGGAAGCAGAGATATGCTTTGGAAGTGGGAGGGGATGGTAAGGGACTGAGAGACCTTTTTAAAGATGAGAGTTATTAATCAGGATCATGCTCGTGTGTTCTAGATCCCAGGGAGATACAGATAAAAGAAGCAAGAGAAAAAAGTGCTGGGTAAAGACATGAAGATTCTTCTTCTGCTCTATCTATCAGGTTCTTTTCCTCTTCTCCCTGCCTCTGCTAAGCCCAACCTCTTTCTGTTGAGAGTCGGGCATCAGCCAAATTCTTTGTATTAACTTTGTTTAGCTTGTTATATCTCCCAGGAATATTTTAAGCCTATTTCATTCATTGCAAAATAAAAAGACTGTTTCCTGTGAAAAGAATTTCTGGTATCTGCAAGCACATAGGTTTGTATTTAGAATCTAAGAATGAAGGGAGAGAGGTAACTCCCTTTGGAGATGCTGCTCTGTTCTGAATCTACGTGTCTTACAAAGGCTTCAAGTTCTGAAATAGAAGTGTCTTTCTGGGTTAAGCTTCCCAGAGGCACTCTTGTTTTGCCTAGACTCTTATTTCAATCCTGGGCTTCCTCCTCTATTGGAAATCCCTTCTTTTTTCTTTTTGTTCTTCCCAATGTCTTAGAGTCTGCAGGGAATAGGAAGTGGCTAGTAACAGAGCTATAAAATATTGGGTTTTACAATGCTCAAAGACAAGCTTATCTGATGATTACAGCCTGTCTTCCCATACTGATCAGAACAAGGTTGGCTTCATGTTAGTCAGTGTTAAATGTAATATGGAGTATTGGTTTTCCTTACAATATCAGTCTCCTTCTTGTTCCAGCACACCATATCCAATGCTTGCTGCTGCCCTCACCTCTAAACCGTCACCCACCCTGTGCAGTGATCCTTTCCATTCTCTTCTTTGTTGAGCCTAAACTCACACTGAAAAATCTGGGAAAAGAGCATCTGAGACAGAGTACTATCAAGTGCCAAGTGAAAGGACCCAACAGTGGAGACTATCCTGGCTTCCTGGAAGATGAGCAGTGAGCCGGTGTAAAAGAAGAGGAAGAATACTAGGAGAGTTCAGCACAATGGACAGGGCCAAGGCATTATTAGTATATACTAGTGGACCATAGAATCTAAGCCAAGTAGGAGCTTTAAAGATAGGTAGTAGAAATCAGAGAGTGTAATGTTTGAAATCAAGATTTGTGATGTGGTTCAGTTGATGGTAACAAGAAGGCCTGAGATGTTGTCATGGAAATGAGTTGCTAAGGAAGAATCGAGGAAGTGGTAAAAGAACTGAGAGGCAAGAATGTTGAATGAACCATCCATGTGAAAGTTGAAGTTGTTAAGAATGATTATGGAGAATAATGGTTGAGATGGAGACATACATGCTAAAATGTTCAGTATAGGAATGTGTAATAGTGAAAGGGAGGTGGGAAAATGACTACAATGAGGTAGAGTTGCAGGATGCATTTGCTGATGGAAGACATTTCAAAGGAGCTGGGATTTTGGAGGAAGAAGGGAGGAGAAATGATTTGGGCATAGCAATGAGGAGCAAGAAGGATGTCTATCCTGCTTCCAGGTCTTGGGGTACATTTCTTCATGGACCAAAAACAAGTCACTCCTTGAGAACGCTGAAAAATGTGAGACAGTCATAAGATGCCCAGGTTTCTGGTAGAACAAGAGGATAAAGATAAATAATCAGACTTGATTAAAATTCTGTACTTATTGGAGGTACCAGCCTCATGTAGGAAAACCTCGATATTTGTATGTGTCCTGCATTTGATTTTGGGGTGTTCAAACAGAAGTTCTTAGCTTTCAAATTCTTGTAGACTAAAACTGTCATTCTTGAATTTAACAAAACTCCAGTGGTCAAGATTTTTCACCAAGCATGTTAGTGCCAACATATACTTGTTGAATGTCAAAAAATAGGATGCTAAATTAAGCAGAAGTTATGCATAGGGAATCATTGGGAAAGCATAAAGATGTTTGGTTGCTTATTTATTTATGCATTAATGATTTATATTGTGCTTGTTTCCATAAAGGATTTGAAGAGCACAATTATGTACTTAGCATAATATCTCTGGACATCATTCATACCAAAAATAAGTCAAAGAAGCCAAAGACAGAATACAGAGACAAAACAAGATTTATAGTCTTAATCTCTGCAAGGAAAATAAGATAAGGCTGAGCATTTTCTGTGGAAATGCTGCTTTACTTGCCTGAATGATTAAAACAAAAAGAGCAGCAGTCTTTAGTTGCACAGGTCACCCCAGTTTTCCAAGAGTGTTTGAACTTCCAGAGTCTGGATATAGGCTACATCTAAGATAGCCAGGTTGTTCAAATCTAACAGAAGTCTGGTTATTGTCCTCTCTATTCTCCAGTTTATTCACCCCCTTTCTCCATTTGTAATTACCACAAAGCAGAAACTGGTTTTCCTTTAAGCCATCATTGCTTTTTTCTTCATATGTTTTTAATTATTTCTCTTTTCCTCATCAACAGTCTTGGTCCCAGCACAAGAGTGTTTATTTGCTGCATATCTTAGTGAAGGATCTGTGTTTCATCAATCCCATTCCAGTGATGGAGCCTTTTTCTCTGGTGTTACTCTAGAATTATACCTCTTATCTACTTCTTTCTCCCCTACCATGGGGACAGACAGGAAAATTGGGATTTCTTTCAGTTTTAAGAAATCTTGAGTGTCATGGAGTCTTGAAACTATAAAAACCTGTATAATTTCTTTTATTAAATTTTAAATTTTTTTCTGTGTATAAGCTTCAAAAAGTATATCAAAGACCATTAGAATATTTAGGGCCGTTTAAGTAAAGGAGCTAGGACAAGGCATTACAGAAAAACCCCAGGTGCCCAATCCATTTGATGGCTATCCACTTCATGTTAGTAACAAGAGCAATGACAAATAAATGGAGACAAGGTTCTTTCTGATGAGCAATAATACACCATAAATTAGAGAAGCAAGACTATGAGTCCACTGCTGTCAATTTAGTTTACCTGGTGTCTTAGTCCATTTTCTGTTGCTATAAACAGAATACCGCATTCTAGATAATAAACAGAAATGTATTTGACTCATAGTTCTGGAAGGGGGTCATCCCATGGCAGATGGGCAGGATCCTGAAGCAAGTGCTTGTGTCACAGAGAGAAACAGAACTGAACGTATCCTTTCATCAAGAGCCACTCCCATCATAACTATCTCACTCCCAGGATGACGGCAATAAATCACTCATGAGAGCACATACCTCATGACTTAATCATCTCCTAAAGGCCCTACCTCTTAATACTGATACAATGGCAATTAAGTTTCCAACACATGAACTTTTGGAGGATGCATTCAAATCATAGCACCTAGTAACAGATAAAAACTCTAGAATGCACTGTGATTGGACAAAACTCTGATGGGCCACCTTATATTTTTTTCTGCCTACTTGCTACCTAAGCCAAGGGAAGTGAATGCCCTTTAGCTATTTCATGCAGGTTAGGCCAAGCAAGCATATGCCTAAAATTTCTGGCTGTTATAGCTACTTTTGGGTTTAAATGAGATAGGACATCTCCTGTGGAGGAATATACCATCACAAATGACTGCCAATGAGACCCCATATACCTCCCAGAAAAATGGAAAAGTTAACCCATGGGCCAAATTTCAGCAATGGGAAACAAAGGAAATTACTGGGTAGGTGAATTCCCCCTTCTTCCTTCTTCCTATGGACTTCTTCAAGGAGTAGTAGCCTGGTACAATGTCTCTGGAGAAGTACCATGTGCCCATTGGATGCAGCTGCCCATATGACCTGCTGTATGTCTTTATAGCTCATTAGGATGTTTGGTGCTGAATGCATTGTGTCTCCGACCTTTCTGCATTTCCCTTTTTCCTCACTCTCACTGTGTTGGGTTTCCCAAGTAAAGCACGGAATGTTGATCCATGCCTCATGTGTTTTTTCTAGGGAACTTGGGCTAATTAGCCCAAGTTAAGATTTTAGTAAAATATATATTTATTGTAAATTGTTAGTAAGGAAAAACTGCTATTCTTCAAGGTATTTTGTAGATACTAAAGGTATGTCTTATGGGTTTCAGTGTTGTTGTCATGTTGGTTTCTTAAAGCCATCTGTTGATGCTTCTCAAGATGTTAATTATGGTCACACTTGGAAGCTAATTTCAAGTGGCAATAATGACTGCTCAGATAGCTGCCCATTGACTTTTGTGGTTTGCTTGACAGTTATTTTCTAGGAAAATATTATTCATTCTGAGTGGTAATGTGAGAGCTCCCCAGGAATTTGGAAAGGGAATTTAGAAGTGCGAGGAAAACACCAACTTCTGTAATGAGAAGAATATTGGAAAGGTTGAAAGGAGATGGCTATCAAGACCCACACTTGTGTGATCTCCAAGACATGATACCTTTAAAGAGAACTGCCCCTGAGAGTATGGCTATTTAAGAAGCTCTCAGACTTCTTTCCAAAAAGCAACAGGTGACCCTCAGCTTATCCTTCTGGGAAGGATTTCCTGGCTTCAGTATGGTCTTATCCTTGGCTTCTTAGCTATATAGCTGTCCATTTCCATTTTGTTCAAAATTACCCTCTGCTGGTTTCCTTGGTCATCATTACTTAGACTCGTAAATCAGGTTTTGTTGCTTAGTTTACTCTCTTTGGATTGACAGTGTTTTAGCCTTACTTTTCTCCATGTTCCTTCTTCGGAGATTCTTATTTGCTTCACCCTTCTCAGCCTCCACCAAACTATGCCCTGCACATTATTTATCCTGGGCCCCAGCATTCAGAGAAGCAGAAATGAGACTATATTGACATTTTTCTTTCATTTAAATTATTTTTACTAGAATTTTTTTCTTCTTTTTATTCTGTTTTCAAATGTATAATGTTAAATTTTTTGGAGTACTGACTCTCAAAGTTTTGGGCTTTAGGAGCCCTTTCTACTCACAAAATAATAATAATATAATAATAATAATTATTATTATTATTATTGAGACAGGGTCTCATTCTGTTGCCCAGGCTGGAGTGCAGTGGCACAAGCTCAGCTCACTGCAACCTCCACCTCCTGGGTTCAAGTGATCTTTCTGCCTCAGCCTCCTGAGTGGCTGGGATTACAGGCATGTGTTGCCATGCCCCGCTAATTTTGTATTTTTAATAAAGACAGGGTTTCACCATGTTGGCCAGGCTGGTCTCAAACTCCTGGCTCCAAGTGATCCACCCACCTTGGCCTCCCAAAGTGTTGGGATTACAGGCGTGAGCCACTACACCCAGCTGATACAAAATTATTGAGAATTCAAAATAGCTACGCATATTTGCTGTATGAGAGATTAAAATTGATATATTTTTAAATTTACTAATTTTTAAAATTACAATAAACCCATTATATTTTAACATAAATAACAATTAAATTAAAATGTCTATATTTTTCAAAATAAAAAATATTTAATGAGAAGAGTATCATTGTTTTGCAAATCTCTTTACTATCTGATCTAATCGAACACAGCTTGATTCTCACAAAGTTTTGCATTCAATTGTTGCCATTTGTTGTTTTGTTTGAAGTACGGTCATTCCTCAGTATCCATGGGAGATTGGTTCCAAGACCCCTGCAGATACCAAAATTCACAGCTGTTTAAGTCCCTTATACTATAAAATGGCATAGTATTTGCACATCATTTATGAACGTGCTCTAATATTCTTTAAATAATCTCTAGGTTATTTCTGACACCTAATATGTAAATGCTATGTAAACAGTTGTTATACTGTATTTTTATATGAATATTTTAATTGTTGTGTTATTTTTTATTGTTGTTGGGATTTACTTCCCAAATATTTTCCATCCATGGTTAGTTGAATAGAAGATGCCGAACCCACAGATATGGAGGGCTGACTGTATGTGGAAAAAGTCTCACTTTACTCAGATATGCAGCTGGAAAAGGGAGAACCCTACGTATACCCTGAAAGGGCCTCAAGAACCTGCAGTCACCCTGAGACCATATTTTAAATTGAGAAATGATGATGTGGAGTATCGTGGAAAAATAATTACCTTTTTAAGAAATGTTTTCATAGAAAAATTAATTCTGAATTAAAAGCAAATGATTTTACCAGAAGTTTGCTAGCCCAGACTTTTTGCAGTCTGGCCTGTTCTGAGTATTTTTTGAGTTTAGATCATTGAACTTTAGATCATTTAACTCTCAAAGAGCTAAAAAGAAATAGCATTTTAATATGTAATATGCCCTATACAACATGGTAATAGGTAAATTTGTTCAGAATGCATATTTGTGTTAGAAAATATTTGTTTAATATAAATATATAATGTGAAAAAATTAAAGGATTCTACTATCACACTTTACATTGATCAGAAATATCTGAAAAATGGCGGGTGTGGGAGTGGGAGAAACCTGTATTACAAAAACCCAAATATATAGTGAGAAAAATAAATTCTAGTATAACAATCTTAATTTAGGAACACCTATGTCCTTAAAATTTTCTTTAAAGCATTGTGCAGTAGTGACAAATACATTTATTTGATATTAGCAAGGAAATCCTTGTTGACCTGAAGAGAAGATGGTGATCCCAGCACTTTGGGAGGCCGACATGGGTGGATCACGAGGTCAAGAGACAGAGACCATCCTGGCCAACATGATGAAACCCCGTCTCTACCAGAAATACAAAAATTTGCTGGATGTGGTGGCGCACACCTGTAGTCCCAACTACTCAGGAGGCTGAGGCAGGAGAATCGCTTGAACTTGGGAGGCAGAGGTTGCAGTGAGCCGAGACTGCACCATTGCACTCCAGCCTGGTGACAAAGCGAGACTCCATCTCAAAAAACAAAAACAAAAACAACGTGTATCCTTATGTTTTAATAGCATCTGCAGAAACTGAAATAGAAGATGACAATGCCATTTGACTGTTCTAGTAACGCCTCTCTTTTTCAAAGATCTCTCATTTGTCATTTGGTATAAGTGTTTGTCTCTTGCTTGATAATTTTTACAAAATGTATGCTTTTTTCACTAAACGAAAGAACTTTTAGAGTCTTTTGCTGCCATTCTATTACCTCCTAGACCATGCTGTCTATACCCCATGATTGAGCTGCCTGACACCACTGACTGGCTACCAGCAACCCATATCTTACACTACTTCCATGTACCTGGTGCACACTCTAGCAAAACATTCTCCATTTTGTATTAGCAACAGTGTGATTTCTTAAAGAACTGGTAATGTCAAAAGTCTTTTAGAATAAGCCCACTGTTTTAATATTAGCAGCAGTTGACTCAGAAAAGCTATCTTCCACTGAACAATGGAAGTTTTAAAACAAAATTCATTTGTAACTTGCATTCTTCCATCTTTCACTATCTTCTGATAACATTATGTAGATGAGTTGCATCTCCCAAATTAGATTGTAATCTTACTTTAGGAAGGACCATATTTCGTTTGTTTTTTCCTGTGACCCAATTATTTAACATGGGGCTGAGTGCATAAAACCTATTTTAGACCCATCCTTACTGTGTACTGTGCATTCATTACATAGAAACTAAAGAAATTACTCAGACATTCTAAAATTTCCAGTTCAATA
Source organism: Homo sapiens (assembly GCF_000001405.40). Taxonomy (NCBI): domain Eukaryota; kingdom Metazoa; phylum Chordata; class Mammalia; order Primates; family Hominidae; genus Homo; species Homo sapiens. The sequence goes on from NC_000005.10 coordinate 111,371,665, forward strand.
AAACACATTTTTTGGTTTTTAAATTTTATCTATTTAATATTCTCCGATTTAGAAGTTTTGACAATATGATGGAGGTTATGATTCTCTTCTGCCTCACAAAGCACATAGATGTCAGTAAATTATTTATCCCAGTTTCTATTCCAACCATTCATATTGGCTACAGCCATCATTTTCTTAGGCTTCTTTACTTTCCTTCAAATTATATCACCAATGACATCAAAACAATTGACAAGGTTGCTGCCCAGAAGTAGAGAAAACAGCAGAATTGAGGTACAAAACTAGGTAGCCTGCTAGGTTCGTTCACCAGCTAAGTGATTGCTCCTACATCAGCTTTCAGTATGGATTCAAAAGAGTTTCTAGGCAAAATTCTAAATTGCTATTTGGTAGGGCCCATTTGGGTTACTAGTAAATGGTCAAAACTTTGAATATGAAATAAACTGATGGCAAGAGTTCTTATGAATGAATAATTATTAGTTACTGATCGATTAGTCTGGGACATGGAAGAAACTGAGAGAGTAATACTTCAGGATCTTAGGAAAATGTGAAATGAAGGGAACAAATACTAAAAGCAAACAATAACGGAGTCCTCAGTGTCTGACAACATTCACTATTTGAGGGAACCAAGCCTCCCATCTCCCTCAACCATGGTCAAAGGAGAGCGCTTATGACCCATTCTTGGCCTTGTCATGGTTATATTTCTCCTACATCCAGGAATAGGCACATAAATCAAGCAAGGCTAATGATAATACTATTTGAGATTAGATAGATGTTGAGAGAGAGCATCTCTCTTATCTTAGAAATACAGACTTGGAGCTTCTGTGGCCATGTTTCATGCCGTTTGGAAAGGAGAGACATAGACAAAGACACAAACGTGCACAGGGGAGAGAGAGATTATCTGAGTCTCAACCTCTCAATTTGGTTATGTCTGCAGATAGATCTACTCTGACTTCCCAGTTACATGTGCCAATAAATTACCATTTGGGACTTATTACGTGAGTTTGAGCTGCGTGTTTGTTACTTGAAACTGAAAGAGCTTTGATCAATACATGGTCTGAATCATGCAGAGTAGCTATGGTTTAGTGTCCGTGGAAGACTGCTGAAACAGCCTCCAAAGTTCCTGGGTTAGCACTGGATGTATCAAGATGTGCGTCTTCCTTTACTCCTTTGCTGCAAAAGCTCCAGAGCCTATCAATTTGATGTACAGTCACTAGAGTTAGGTTGCTTTTCTCTGCTCACAGTGAGTCTTCCCTGTTATATAATGGCCTCATATTAACTGTCAGGTATTAAAATGTACAGATCATATATTCATCCTCTCCTCTAAGAATTTATAGCTGATATTGCATTTTTATGTGGGATGTTTGTAAATATTTTAAGAAGTATGCTGGGTTGCACAGACTGGCATCCAAACAACAAAAGTAAAATACATTTTTGTTTTGTAATATTGCAAATTGATTTTAATAGCTTGACTTTCTTTAGCAAGAATATATTAAAACATCCCATGCCTCTTGATTGCCTGTATGAATAACCAAAACTTTTATTGCAGTTTACCATGACTTTATGGCAATTTAATGTTTTATTGCGTATACGGGTGAAATAAACTCTGGAGAAATCTCTCATTGGGCTGGGAACTCCTTAAGATCTCCTTGTAAACATTTTTCCATCTCATAAAAACTAAAGGCATTTAGAAATGGTGCGTGCTTTCTTTAAATGAGGTACTCTAGGGTCTGGCAAAATTATATTTTCCAGATAAAATAAATGTAAAATATATTTATATGTTGCAACCAAGAAAAAGAACATATAAAGTTGGAAAAATTTTTTTGAGTATTCATTCCTTTTTAAAGATTGCATCCTTTTTGGTTACTGTTTTCATTAAAGAATGAAAATTAAATGACTGGATGTTGTTCTCTGTCGTCTTGAAAGTTGTGATTGGTTATCACCATTGATATGCGCTTGGATTTCTCCTGAGGTCAACCTTTTCTTCCTCAGGAGAAGTAACTGAAAGGGGAGAACCCATTTCCCATTTGAAGCAGTCTCTTGGATATGCCTATAGAGTTTGGCTGTGAATTGCACATAAACTTCTTCACTTCTAAAACCATGTAAACTCTTGCTAGTTCAAAGGTTCGGGACAGCTCAAATGGCAGAAACCATAGTAAGAGTGCAGGTATCATATCTATCGATTGTTTTGATAAATTTTGTTGGAGAGGAAGACATTAAAACGTTTATGTCTACTATATAACTTTTAGATCTCTGAAATGCCAACTCATTGTGATTAAAGGGGTCAATCACTGGGCTAGAGAGAATATCCCTAATTTTGGAATATCCTGAACTAAATCGCCATTGTCCCAAACAAAGAGACCAAGTGGTGAACTAACTAGGATTCTTTCATGGCAAGCAACAGAAACTAACTCTGGATAACTTAAACAGAAAAAGGAAATGTAGTGGCTCATATAATTAGAAGTTCAAAAGGCAAACCAGCATAACTGAATCTAGGGGCTTAAATTGTATTAACAGTCCTCTTCATAACTCAGCAATATTTTTTCCTGTGTTGGCCTCATTTTAATAAAGTGGTCTCCATATGCTATCAAAACTGTTCACTATTAGAAGCAGACTGTATCCTCTTTTGCTCTCATAATTTCAGAGAAAGATGGAATACCTATTTCTTGATTGTTTGAGCAAAATTTTTGGAGAGGCTCCTGACTGGGATGACTTGGGTCTGGTGAATATTCCTAACCCTATCACAATGGCCAGGGAACAGGATACTCTTGTTGGGTAGGTTGGGTTTTGTGCTACATCCGTGTGAGAAGGACAAGTGAAGTGATTGACGGCTCCACTGGGGTTTAGACAGACTTCCATATAAGAAAGGAAGACAAAGAAGAAGGATAGGTTGAAATGAGCTTGGGCATTAGTTGTGACAGTGATGACTTTTGATAGGAAAGTGGGGAAGATGCCATGTTAGGAGTCTGACAAGTTGTGATGCATACTAGTTTCTGGCTGTATGTTACGTCAGAAGCAGAGAGAAAGGATGTGCAGCTGAAAAAGAAAGAGAGGAAGGAGACACACAAAAGCTAAGGAATTAGGCTCTGCGAATTGCCTGATTCACCCAGGTAGTTATTGCTGTTTCTATTTCTCTGCTACAATGAAGGGGGGAGTTTCTTTCAGTTTATCTCTTTTATTTTGCCTTTTAGGTGGACAAAAAAATCGTAAGAACTGAGATAGGAGTTCTTCTTCGCCTCTCACATCCAAACATTGTAAGTGGTTTTTAACCTACTATTTCAAATGATTGCCAGAGCTAGAGAAAGGGACCTTTGTCCTTCACTGTCAGTGCTGATAATGAGAAGGGATTCTCCCACCACTGATAGCTACTATGTGCTAGCTCTTGTCCTCATCTCATCACCTTTTCAATCCTTTGGCTGAATAAGTCTTACAAGTAATACCTCTGAAAAAGTTCCAAAATAGACAAATTAGCAATATACGCCATCTTTATTTTCATTCATAAAAGGATAAAAATCGAAGAGTTTTGTTTTTCTCCAACAAAACACTGGCTTTTTCCTTCTTTTGTGTGCCTATCTTATTAATTTTCCATTACTGAAAAAGCCTGTGAAGAAAATACATTGCTTTCCCAAGTAATTTCAGTCTGCTTTGAGAGAGGATCTGCTTCATGAACAATGTGAAGATGCAAATAAATGATGTACTTGAATGCAGAAAATAAAATGTCCTCAGAAGCTCTGCTTCAGGCTTTGTCCAGACAGCCTCTGAGGCAAAGATCTAGTAAAAAGCGTTCTTGAACTGATGAAGTGAAAAAGAATAAAATTATTTTCCAGGTTGCAAGTTATTTTTATGAATTAAGCCATCTACTTCAAGAAAGCATTTTTGCCCATTTCTCTGAGGAAGTTGTGATGTCCAGGGAGATGGCCTGCAACGCTTAGACTCCAGGCAAAGTGCTCAAAACTTAACATATGAGTTAGGGAAGCATTCAGCTGTAAATAGCAGAAAACTTGAATAGGATGATTTAAACAAATATTTTCCATATGTTGCAAGCAACAAAAATCAGGCAGTTTTCTGGCTCAGCTCGCCGGTGCTGCTGTTCCAGAACCCAAATACCATCCTTGGTTCTGCCATCCTCAGTGCATTGACTTTCATCCTCATGCTTTTCCCTCCTGGGCCTAACATGGCTGCTCCACAATTTTTGCAAGTCATCACATCTATATTCAAAATAGGAAGAAGATGGAAGGATCTCAGCTGCCAGTTCTCATAAGAAGAGTAAAAGCTTTCTCAGAAACTATGGCAGTGGAAGTCTCTTCAAATTTTATTGGCTGGAGCTAGTCACAAGATTACCCTTAACTGCATGGGGGCTGTGAAATTAGTGGCTAAGACCATTCATGATCCACAATTTGGGGCTAGATACCATCTCTGAACAAATCAGAGTTCTGTTTATATTAAAGTAGGGAGAAAAGGGCTTTGGGTAAGCAGTTAATAAAATCTCCCACACTCCATCACCACTTTTACATTATCCATCTCTTCTCTACAAAGATAAGTCAATGTAGAATTTTCCTCAAGTGTAGACTAGTCCTGGCTACTAGATTCTCGTATATATGGAGAAAAATATATAAAACTGCTTGGATTAGCTGAATGTGATGAAGACCATGGTATGCTCAATCAAGTCACTGTCACCACTGCTTTTCTGAGGATTCCTTCACCCACTGACAGCTTTTTAACTATTGATTGATATACCCTTTACATATAGGCCGACTTTAAGCTGGTCCTACCCTGCCGCAGACCCCTAATTTTAAGTTTTGTAATTCCCAGAAGAAATAGGCATTTTGTACCTCTAGCCACCTTGATGCCTCAAATGGTTTAGGAAGTTGTGTTGTTTTTGTTTTTGATTTTTGAACAATTCAGAAGTTGGGATGTTTTAGAAAAGTTAGAAAGTGTTTCCAAGGCAGACATCTTTCAACTGACAAAAGGAAAAATGTAAACATTTTATAGGAACTTTGAAAAAAATGAGGTAACTGATAAAATCAACAACCCAGAAAGAGAGTGAGAAATAGCTAGCTGATAAAAGAATGAGGAAACTTTATTAACAGTGATCCAACATATTACTACTGCAGAATGTTGTTTTAGCCATAGTATTAGCTATTTCCAAGAAAGATGGAATAAGAAATTTGTGATATTCTTTTTTTTATATCTTTCCCTAGATAAAACTTAAAGAGATATTTGAAACCCCTACAGAAATCAGTCTGGTCCTAGAACTCGTCACAGGAGGAGAACTGTTTGATAGGTGAGTTGGTTCTGGAAATATAACCACAGAAAGGTTTGCTTTTGGCCACCAAAAAATAATCTAAAGGACATTTCTCCTGAAACTTTTTATAATGACAGATTATACTTGTTGATAAATACTACTAAAAAAAGTCTTAAGAAGAATGTTGAAGGAAGGTGGGTAGTGGTAAGATGTAGGTACATGAAAACTTGAGATATTTAGTGAGTAAAAAGAGGAACACTATAATATCTATTTATCTTTGCAAATATTTGTCTCCTCAATAAAAAGATAGAATGTCTAAAATCAAATTAAATCTAAACTAAATAGTAAGATTTATGAGAATATCTTAAGAAAATATTTGAAATATTTGAAAATTATAAAAAATTAAACATGTACTCTGTCCTCTGTTATGATCCAAAAGCTCATAAAACTCAATAATCTTCAAATGATTATTTTTAAGCTTATTTTCTTTAGAAGTCTGTGTAAAGAGTTCCATGTTGCAAAGTAAACATGTTCTGTTATAGCCAATTATTGCCAACTTTGGTTTCCTGTTCATATGTTCATCTTTCAAAGCAGAGGAGTGAGAATGGAGGGGGGTGGGGGTGGGGGTTGGAGCCTGGAAATCTGGCAGAGCATAATATATGCAAACTATTTGTACAAGACACACAAACTTTATGTTTCTATAGTTGTTCCATCTTCCCCACCCTCTTAGGAGAATTCTGTATTTGTCCTGATGGGCTCTTGAGAGCCTTTTGCTGTGTTCATCAGGTAATCAAAAAAGAATGGACTTTAAAGAAGACAAAGAGACTAAGTAGGCATATATTAGAAATGGTAAGAAGCCATGCGTGAATGGAAAAGTTTTGGTTAAAAAATGGGGCAAGAGACAGGTAGACTGCAGTTTATGGGGAAGACAGAAGAGACTGAGGGAACCATTGATGTACCCTGAGTGCCTGGATCACAGCAAATGCTCCATAAATATTTGCTGAATGAATGAATGAACAACTGCTACAATGAATGGACTCTGAGGAGAAATATCTAAAGGGGATTAGTTTTGAATGCGTTGAGAGAGGAACACTCCTTCACTTTTGCCAGGGTCTGAATGTTTGTGTGCCCCCAAAATTCATTTGCCAAAATCTTGATCCCTAAGATAATGGTATTAGGAGATGGGATCTTTGGGAGGTCATTAGGTCATAAAGGTGGAGCCCTCCAGAATGAGATTAGTGCCGTTATAAAAGAGGCCCTAGAGAGCTGCCTTTCCCCTTTTACTATGTAAGGACACAGCAAGAAGGTGCCTTCTATGAGAAAGCGGGCCCTCACCAGACACAAAATCTTCTGGTGCCTTGATCTTGGACTTTCCAGCCTCCAGACCTGTGAGAAATAAATGTTTGATATGTATAAGACACACAGGTTATGCTATTTTTAAATAGCAGCTCAAATGGACTAAGACACCTTCCTTCACACCCATACTCTACCCAGTTAAATTTGCTGCCTCTTCAAGAGCTTTCAAAAGTATTCATATTGTTTTTCAAAGGTTCTGTCTCTTTTTAACATTACCCAGTGAAAATTTGGATCTTTAGGTGAGAAGGAGCAAAAGGTCTAGCTTCATTGCAACTACATATGTATGTGTAACAGATACACATCTGAATTTTGTTCATATATATGTTGACACTTCCTTAGAGCAGGTTCAACATATTATTAGACTTTAAACATTATAACATTTTGACTATTTTCACATTTTAAGAATAATAAGTCAGCTGAAGGAAGTAAGCATCAGTAGCTTAAAGCCATACAGTTCTGGCAGCAGTTGTTTTTTTGAAAGACTCACAGTTGTGAATCCTGACTCTACAACTGAAAGATAACTAACTAACCTAGAATAATTTACTTAACTTCTCTGAACCTTAGAACAAATTTGAAGTGGCTTTATGTTGCTAATAAAGCTTAGATGGCTCTAATCCACTATGAAGATACTCTTGTTCACATGTTCCCATGTCCTCAAGCAAGAGTCTCCTGGCCTAGCTAATTTGGGTATTGCCACAATATGCCTATAATGGCTCCTTTTTCAACACCTCTTTAGCTGACTTTTTTATGGATGTATTCCTTCTTTAGTTACATTAATAGAGCAGTTTATAGTCAGATGCTGCTGGTTTTGGAGCTATGAGCTCTCTCTAAGGAGACCTTGCATATTTCTCTGCTAATTATGGTCTATCAGTGAGAACTCTCATGTTTTTAAATTATAAATAATTGCAGGACAGGAATGCCACACTGAAGCAATCATCTACTAATAGTGTTTGCTGTTTACTTACCTACCTCTATTGGCTTGAGTTAATTGGGAATCATGGGTTTCTCCTTCTCTTCTTCCCAACCTTTCTTCCATGAAAGAATTTAGGATGAAATTTAATTCAGCTATAGCTAAAAATGGAAAAAGTAAATGCTATTGATAAATTTCATTTGGAGAGATAAGTGGATGAAATATTCATATTTAACAGAAAACCTCTGAAGAATGGCATACAGCCAGTAAAGCACTCAACTCTTAGTGGTTTTAAAAGATAGACTCTTTTCCTTTGCATGTTGTGGTCTACAACATTGACCTAGCTGATATGAACTTGGTCTCTCCATTAAGTTACTTAATTCTGCAGTTATCTTTAAATTTTATCAAGCTGAAAATACATTCTGCATTATTATCCAATGTATTGATTTCTTTCTTGAGAGTTAAAAGGTAACATGATCTCTTTTTTTGTACTTAGGTCAAAACAAATTTACTTAATTGTGATGATAAGAATTCATTCCTGGTCTAATGATGACTCTAATAGTACATAATGAATGAACTAGGGGAGTAATTGCTGAAGAGATAATCATATGAGTCAATTATACTCAAAAAGGTTGTATTTAATTAGCAAAAAATCTATTTATAATGCTTATAAAAATTAAACATAGTCAAAATCCAAGTAGAATCTGCTATTTTATGTAGAATTTAAATAGTAAATTACATAGGACAGTTTATTAGAAATTTTGGAATAAAATCCATGATTTGTTGTGCCCAGGAAAAATCTAAAACATAAATAAATTTGCACAATTATGACATCATGAGAAGAAGAAAGCTCCCATGAAGTTTCTGTTTAACCGTTCTCAGTTTGGTCTCAACTCTTAAAACCTCAACATCATTTTCATTGAATTATTGAAATGGACAAGGTGTGAGTTTTGCTTTAAGAGCAAGTTTCGAAGTTTTTTTCCCTCAAAAATGACTATATTTTAAGACAGCAAATTTAGCAATATCCTTACTGTCTTCTAATTAAATCAAAAGTATTTTTTCTTGATTTTTGTCAGATAACTCCAGTATCTAAGTATAGTTTTGAATTTTGTAAACATTGTCATGGGTTTTTTTTCTGTTTTCTTTTTCTTTTTTTGTTTTATCACTTTTTCCTAAAGAATTTTATTTTTATTTAACTTTTAAGTTCAGGGGTACATTTGCAGGTTTGTTACATAGGTAAATGTGTGTCATGGCGATTTGTTGTACAGATTGTTTCATCACCCAAATATTAAATCTAATATCCACTAATCCATTAGTTATTTTTCCTGATCCCCTCCATTCTCCCAATTTCCACCCTTCAAAAGGCCCCAATGTGTGTTTTTCCCCACTATGTGTCCATGTGTTCTCATCATTAAGCTCCCACTTATAATTGAGAACATGCGGTATTTGGTTTTCTGTTCTTGTGTTAGTTTGCTAAGGATAATGGCCTCCATTTCCTTCCATGTCCCTGCAAAGGATATGATCCATTTCTTTCTGTGTTTTTGCTTGCCTGTTTAGGCTTGTTCCAATGCCAAACATTATGTGTAAAAGGTTTTAGAATTTGAGACCTGGAATGCTGTTACCTTCCAAAAAAGGAGATTTTCTTTTGTTGTGGTGGGCATTTAAGGTTAACAAACAGATCATTTTAATGCAATCAGATATTAGGCTAATTCAAAGCTGGGCTTCCTAATGGCTGGTATACTTCTTGTCAAGTCTTATTCACAAGGCTTTGCTCTTTGAAGGTCTCAACTTTAAGCCAGGGCATTATACCAGGGCTATTCTTACTTGGCAGACCCTCAATGTCAACTTCTGTACCCTTAGCTCTGTGTAATTGCCAGAAACTTTATTCACCTTCTCCGCCTGTCAGCTGCTGTGTTGGAATAAGTAAATGACTTCAGAAGGAAATCAGAGGCATCAGATGGCAGGTTTGCTTTGCTGGGTTTTTCTTCTCTTCTGGATCTTGATTCCTAAATCCTTCCCTTCCTTAGTGTATTAGTTAAGGATCTGTAAAGGGACAGAACTAACAGGATAGATGTATATATGTAGGGGAGTTTATTAGGAGAATTGACTCACGCAGTCACAAGGTGAAGTTCCACAAAAGGCCACCTGCAAGCTGAGGAGCCAGGAAGCCAGTCTGAGTTCTCAAACCTCAAAAGTAGGGAAGCCGATAATGCAGCCTTCAGTCTGTGGCCAAAGACCCAAGAGCCCCTGGCAAATCACTAGTGTAAGTCCAAGAGTCGGAAAGCTGAAGAACTTGGAGTCTGATGTTCAAAGGCAGCACAGGAGAAAGATGGAGACCAGAAGACTTAGCCAGTCTAGTCTTTCCACGTTCTTCTGCCTGCTTTTATCCTAGCCATGCTGGCAGCTGATTGAGGGTGGGTCTGCATCTCCCAGTTCATCGTTAATCTCCTTTGGCAACGCCCTCACAGACACACCCAGGAACAATACTTTACATCCTTCAATCCAATCAAGTTGACACTCAATATTACCATCACACCTGATAACTCTCTGATTTGTTCAAATAGATTTTTTTTATTTTATTGAGTTTGTTTTTATTTTTCTTACCTGGAGGCTTGTCTGACCCACCATTGCTGAGAGCAAAAATTCACATACGGTTTTAAATTTTTTTCACAGACACTAATGTATTTTCCTGATTTAAAAAGTCAGCCTATTTGAGCAAGCAGGGTGAAAAGCAGTATACTCACTATGCAAATATGAAAACAGAATTAGTAATGATCTTCCCAGTCGAGGCAACCAGACTGTCTTCTGATCCAATCCTTTCCTTCTTTTAGGGCCTCACTTTCTTTCTTATTAAGTCCAGTTTGTCTCTTGCACATCATTTCCAAGAAAATAAATATCTGTTTATACATGGAAAATCCATGATGTATTGATTGGTCCTGTGCAAACCTATGTATCTATATAGCCCACTCAATAACTCTCTCTTCACCTTTTTTGAGGTATTATTATCCATATCTTTCCATAGCATACACTTAAAAAGTTATTAATAGGTCATAAGACCTCACCTCCAGTCCTACTATATGAGTCCTAATAGTAATCTGTACTTCAGCATTTCTAGATCTCTCATTCTTGGTGGAAACAAATTGAATTTTCAGGGCATTGCTATTAGAAAAAGGTTTGAGAAATGGAACTGAGGCTGTTTCTTGTCCCAGTCTTTCTGGAGTTGTAGTATGGTTGGTATTAGGATTTAACAAACTTAGAAAAAGTCTGCATTTGTGAAGACCTTTGTATCAGAAATTAGTCATCAATGTAATTATCTAATGAGTGATTCTGTAAAATGTGATTGTTCAGAAAGGATAATTAGTGAATATAATGAGGAACATTTTTGAGATCCTATTGGGTTGCTGGCAGAGTATGCAGGGCAATTTATTAACATGATACTATTTAATCATTAGAGCAACACATATATAAAGTAGGCTTTGATATATACATTTTATAGACAAGATAACTGAGGATCAGAGAGGTCTGTTAACTTCCGTTAGGTCATTCAGCTTATATATGATCTAATAATAATTAAATAAGATTGGACTCAAGTATGTCACATTCCAAAGTATATAATTTTGCTACCATGTCATGCTGCTGCAAATGCCAGAACTCTTATGCTTAAAAATAAAACTTGAGATTAGTAATCTAATGTTTGTCCTACTTGAGTGTTGGCTTAAGCTGACCTTTAATTTGTATATAGTTGCTTTTCAACCATGGATATTTTAAATACATCTCTTTATGTGGCTTTATCTGGCTATATGTAAAGAAAACTTATACTTTGATTTGGACTAGACTTATAGTTTACTTTTTCTAGAAGCTTGGCCATAAAATGAAAGATAGAGGTGAGGTAGTAGAACACACTGGATAAATGGAAGTTTATTATTTTAAGCTGTAGGTCTAGGAACACATTGATTTGCTGATGGGAAGGAGCTCATAAGAAAGAGAAGCAGGAGAGATTTGTATGAGAGGGACCTAAATTTGGAACAACATTCTAGAAAAGGCATGAAGGGAATGAGATCTAGAGTCAGATAAACGGATTTGGTTTTTAGAAAAAACTCTTCTTCCTCTGAAGCAGAAAGAAAGAGACAAAGGGTCAAAGGAGCTAGATTAATCAAAGCAATTTTGAAAAAGAAAGACTTTTGGAATAAGTTGGAAGACACTGTTGGGACTGAGATGTAATTGTACCTTGCTTATAAACTAATAAAAGAGCCTATTATTCTTTTGTGGATGCTGGAAAGCACACGATTACTGAATCAGAGACAAAGGGCCTTATTACTCATGGCACAGCAAACGTTATGGGCATTAGCAAGTCTGTCAGTTCCCCTTGCCCTTTGAGTTCCATGGAGGCAGTACAGTGGGGCCAGATAGATGCCTACACCTGGAATTAGATGTGTTACAAGAGGGGAGATAATTTTTTTTTTTTTTTTGTATTTTTAGTAGAGACAGGGTTTCACCATGTTCGCCAGGATGGTCTGGATCTCTTGACCTCGTGATCCACCCACCTCGGCCTCCCAAAGTGCTGGGATTACAAGCATGAGTCACCCCGCCCAGCCAAGGGGAGATAATTTAAATGTCATCAACTGGAGAATGCACAACCATTCAGCAATGAAAAGGAATGTTCCTTTGATACACACTACAACATGGATGAACTTTAAAAAGTTTATGCTAAGGGAATGAAGCCAGACATGGAAGACTATATATGCTATGACTCTATGACTTTATAAGGAATTTCCAGAAGGGGAAAATATATAGACAGAAGCAAAACAGTGGTTTCCTAGGTCTGGAAATTGAAGTGTGGTGGGTTAGAAGACGTTTGGGTAGTTCGGTCTTGATAGCCTCTAATTTTCCAGTATTGTTAAAGAAGGGAAATTGATCTCCTAATATTAACTGGTAAAGAATGGAATAGGGCACTTGAAGAAGGAACTGGTGAAGATTTTAAGTGAGATTGTGTGAACAGACAAGGGCAAGAAAAAGGGCTTTTGAGGAGCACTGAAGGTCTGCTAATGCTGAAGGCTATGCATATTTGGAGACTCTGGTCTCTGTAGCATTATATATTACTGGCTTACTCCTTCATATCATTCATGGAGTTTTGGACAGCGTCTCTTTTTCTCTTGGCTTTCGTCCAACTTTTCAGCCGTCTCCCTCTTGATCTCTTTCCTGAGTTCCTCTTCCCCTCCCCACCTCTTAAGTTCCCTTTAAACTTCTTCTACATTCTTGTTAGATGAATTTGACACTCACCTGTGGCTTGAGCCACACTGGTGGCTACAGTATCAGCTAAGATGAAAACTGTATTTTCAGCAGTCTACTAGGCTTCTCACCAAGTCCCATTAGCACCTCTAAATCAAATGAACTCAGCATCCCTCTCTCAATCTCACTCCCCTTCCCTGTGAACTGATTCACCAACTAAACTAATCAACATGAATTTCTCCCTTTTCCTTTAGATTCTCCTTCTCTATTCCCTATAATTCTTCCTCTGAGCAGCTTTGAAATCTGTTCCCTTTTCCCTTTCCCAGTGCTTCTGCCCTGTTGCACCTTTGCATTGTTTCCCATTGCAGTAGACTCCTGGAGAGTATTACTTTCACTCCTTTCCATCCATCTGTATTTAAGCATAGATTTGATCAGGTCAGCCCAGGAAGCTACTCACTACTTTCACTTAAAGTCAATACTTTTAAACATGACAAAAAAAAGCCCACTTACAATCTGGCCTCACCTTACCATGCTGGCTTTACCACCCACTTTGTTCTCTTCCCACCAATGTATTAACCACTGTATATTGTCTCCACCCTCAAGGAGCTCATAGTCTAAAGAGGGAAAGTAAAAATGTGACATAGACGCTAATATTTTTTAAGCATCACCTTCCAAGTAAAGCATATTAGGGATTATAATGACTACAATATCACAAATTTTTTTAATGAGGGCTAGGAAATAAAAAGAAATAAAAATAATAATCAGGACATAAAAGAGAGATCATCAGATGTTTTGTGTTTGTTAGAGATTGGCCCCATATTCAACTCTAAGTATTCATGTGGGGATGATAAGTGCTATAATTAGGGCATAAACACAGTGTGTAGAGTACAAAACAAGGGGGTTTTGTAAGTCAGAAATTGCTTCAGGAAGGAGTAAAATCTTTTGAGCTGACTCTTATGTGAGAAATTGGAAATTAGCAGGCAGAGGCCAGAAGGAAGGGCCTATTGTGGCAAAATGATGTTCAAAAGCACAATTGTACACTGTTGGGTAAAATATGAGCATCTTAGTCTCAATTTTAAAAGCTGGGCTAGGTAGAAAGCAAGCAGGGACTAGATATTTGTTAAGTGAATGATTGAATAGTGTGCTCCTGAGCAATATATATATATGTGTGTGTTTTGTTTGTGTTTGTTTTTGAGACAGAGTCTCCCTCTGTCGCCCAGGCTGGAGTGCAGTGGCGTGATCTTGGCTCACTGCAAACTCCACCTCCCGGGTTCACTCCATTTTCCTGCCTTAGCCTCCCCAGTAACTGGGACTACAGGCACACGCCACCAGGTCCAGCTAATTTTTTATATTTTCTTAGTAGAGATGGGGTTTCACTGTGTTAGCCAGGATACTCTCGATCTCCTGACCTCATGATCCACCTACCTTGCCCTCCCAAGGTGCTGGGATTACAGGTGTAAGCCACCACGCCCGGCTGCAATATATATATCTTTTGAGTCAGGCCTTTTATCTATAGTATGAGAGAAGTAGACTGGGAATCTTTTAGGCCCATTCCCAGATTTGCAATTTGATTTGACCTCCTCTTTCTCTTGTCAGCTCCCTGGCCAGCACCCACATTGATCCACAATTCCCTGACTTTCTTCTTAGTATTTGAATGTAACAGGTGCTAGTAGTATCTTTGAAACTACTTTTTTGAAAAGTATATGAACTTGACATTCTTTGGCAAGAAAGTTTTTACAGAAAGCACCAAAACAGACAATGATGTCATCAATAAAATGAGAAGCTGTGATTGAAACTTACAAAGAAGTGGTAGATTTACACAGAGTACAGCAGATTTCATTTTAATATAATTTTGTATGTAACAGCATAATGGTGTACTGGCAGCCCTTAAGACTTGGTTCCTGAAACTTTATATTATTTGGGGCTTTTACTCTCTGTCATTTGATCCTTCAGTACACATTCTCATCAGACCATTATCTTTCTCACATAAACCTAGTCATCTACAGTTATTATGCAGCCATTTGAGAAAAAGCTGCGAGTGGTGGGCAGAGCAGCAGGGCTCCCAATCTATGTGCCAGGAAGTCTGGGGCCTCAGGATATGATCAGATTAGAGCTCTTCAGCTGCTGTGCGCGTGTTAACTGCCTGGATGGAGATGAGCTCAATTCAATTTGTGGCAATTAGTGTTACAGAAGCAAATGCACCAGAGTCATATGTTACAGCAGCTCCATAGAGAGAAATAGGCATTGCCTGTATTTTTTCATCCTATAAATTTTAAATGATGGGAAGAAAAACACACCAACTGAGGAGAAGAGCACGGGCACCAGCACAGCGAGCAGTGGAAGTAAAAGGCACAGTTGTGGTGTAAGAGAGCCTGTTGAAGCCAGACGCTTTCAGTGGAGGAGCTTGGGGAAATGTACCACCTTCGTGCTTCCTTCCCAGATCTCCAGATGTCTGCTAGGCCCCCTGGCAGCTGAGGGACCTGTAGGAACTGGAGTCTCAGGGCAGCCTTTTGGGTCAGTGTTGTGATTAAAATCCTAGAAGACATTTTGTTTTGAGCTCTGAGCCCTCTGGCCTAGCCCACAATGGAAGTCTGGGAAACTGTGTGGCACAGAGGCAAACCACAGGGCCCTGGGCCTGTGACAATTATCTTAAAATGCTGGTAGCATCTTAACTGCTTCCTTATTATTTTTCAAATCACGAAACAGAAATTAGTTTACTAAATCTCAAGAGAAATACAGCAATAACTATGTTTAAATATGAAAAAACAAAAATACCAGCCAAAATTATCCCTCTATTTTTACAGCTTTAAAACCCCTACAATTATTAAATATTTCGTTGCTTCTAAAACTCAGAGTCATGAGTATATTTCGTATAAAGCTATAAAACCTTGAGTCTCTACCCATGGTTCAATTTCATTGGCAAATTTTTTGAGATGCCAGCTAAATTGTATAAAGAAATTACGTGTCACCTCATGAAACAAATACCCCATTTTAAGGAATTTAAATTACTTTGATTTTGTCTAAAATAAGTTTCTAAAAAGATTCATGTTATTCCAGCAATATCTAAAACTATGTAACTCTGAGTTTCTTCCTAAAGCCAGCAGTAATCTTTTCACTTATTGCATTGTCCTCTGGGAAGCATCCACACAGCTGTTCTTCCTCTGGAGTCATGGCCAATGTACTTGTGATGGGAATCACTTCTGAGTCCAGTGCTTTTGTTCCCCATGATAGTGAACATAGGCAAAAGTATTGTCCAAATGTCCTCAATCTGAAATTTTTCTGACGTCCATTCACTTGGCAATTGGTATTGATTCCATAAATATTTACTTACTATGGGCAAGTTTTGCAGCTAGGCTCTGTGGGTGATCCAAGCAACAATCTAATGAGAAGGCTAATAATTTTACCACAGTGCCCTGCAGAAGGTTCTGGACAAACACATCTACTGATGTCATACAACTGAAATTAAGAGAAATAAATTGCAAGATTTCATTTTCCTTTGCTTGGTCACTAGCATCTTCACTTGCAGTCATAGTTCTAAGTTGTAAACCTGCATTTATGACTTGAGTTCATTGCTATTGAACTTTTCAGTCAGCCATGGATAGCCTGAATGGCAGCTCAACTTATAAAATATTTAAAATGGGATGTCTGAGTTTCAGAAAACTAACCCTGTGACAATCTGTTTAAGGAATCATCTGGGAACAAAGCTCCTTTTAGCAGAAACTGCCTGGAATAGAAGTGGTCGAAGGGTGATGGTTGGCCAAGATGCAGTGTGCGGAGTTCACACTGAAATGAGGTGGGGAGGCACTTGAGTTTTGTGCCCTTGCCCCACATATCTACTCTATGGATGCTGTTCTCACTACAGAATTAATAAATCCCTTGGTTGTACAAACCTTACATAACATACATTACATCTATGATAATGTTTTTTGTTTGTAACTTTCTTTACTCCACCATCTGTGGTCTCATCTCAGGCAGAGCCCAAATCTTATTCTGTTTATATCCAGCAAGTACCTGGCTCACATTAGAAGTTATGAATGTGGATGAATATCACCACTTTCTTCTTCCATACCTATCCCGACCCCCAACTGCCACCCTCCTTGCATCTGAAAAATTTCTATACACCTTTCAGGTGTGAGCTGAGATATAGCTATTTCTGGAATCCTTTCCTCACCCTTCATGGCCTCCAGAATAGATTACCTGCATTTTCTCAGAGCTCTCAGGCCATTATTTAATAACTCTATCACATCATTTAGCACACTGTGTTGAATGTTGTCTGTCTACTTATACCAAGAGAAAGCCCATGAGTGCAGAGGCCATGTCCAGTTCACTACTGAGTGGCCAGCACATAACAGTCTCTCCGTAATATTTATTGAATAAATAAATTAGCAGATACATCTGTTGGAATGCATCCTCTGGTTAAGAGAATGAATTATTTCACTAACTTAACGTATGTTGGGGAAAATCAGTAAAGTTTCCATTAACTATTCTTCATATACCTACTACTCCTCTCTCCCTCCCACATGAACACAGCTCCCAAGAAAATTCACTCTTCCATCAAGCCAGGCCCTAGACATTCCCACAAGAACATATTCTGAAACACAGGCACTATCTTAGACCTTTCAGTCTGATGTAACAAAATTTCTTATACTGAGTGGCTTATAAACAACAGAAATTTATTTCTCATGGTTCTGGAGGCTGGAAAGTCCAAGATAAATGTGTCAGCAGATTCAATGCCTGCTGAGGGGCTGCTTTTTGATTCATGGATGGCACTTTCTAGCTGTGTCTGCACATGGTGGAAGGGACAAAGAAGCTTTCTAGGGTGTCTTTTATAAAGGCATGAATCCCATTCATGAAGGTTCATCCTTCATGACAGAATCACCTCCCAAAGGCCCCACCTCCTAATAACATCACATTGGTGATTAGGTTTCAACATATGAATTTGGGAGAGACATAAACATTTAGCTCACAGTAGGCACTTAACCCTAACTTAGAGCCAAATGAAAATACAGAAGATATTTAGGCTGAAGCTTGAGACTACATAATAAACCAAAATATAGAGAGGAGATTGTAGTGGGTGAAGCACCTACTTTATGAAGAGTGATGATGCCTCTAAGAACTGTGTCTTTAATAGACACCTAAGGGAGACAGCTCATGGTTGTGGAAGTTGGCTCTCTTCAACCACAAGGAGTGCCATTTGCATGAGTAGTGCCCTCTGGAAAAGTACTGCAAAGCAGCTGTGGTAAAGCTCTAGCCTGGGTGAGTGACTATGGGGAAAATCCACACTGTTTGTTGTAGGCCAGAAGGTAATTGATTTTATTCCCTTCTGGAGATAATATAAGGTTGCAAAGAAATTTAACAGCTATTCTTCTCCATCATCTTTGTAACAACTCCCCTCTTTTAACAAAACTGGAGAAAGCCAAGCTCCTGAGGCTATAGGTACAGAGCACAGAGGAGACACTAATTACATTTGTGCTGGATGATAGAGATACCACAAAATCCACGTTTAGAGTAAAATGCAGAGAATGATGTCATGGTAGCCAAAGTCCTGAACTTTCTCTGTCACAGTAGTACTTCTTTTCCCCTTCCCTCATACTTAAAATGTTCAGAAAGTATAGTCCCATGAAGCATGTCAATTAAATTTTTATAAGTAGACCATTTAACCTAATCATGAATTGGAAAATTTCATAGGTTTGTAAGTAAATATCATAAGAAAATGATATTCAAGAACAAATGAATAATCATTCCCTAGATATTGTAATCTATTTTCTCCTTTCATTTGACCCTAGTGCTGGTAAAGTATCCCAAAAATAAAAAGAGGATGAATTTGAATTGCTTGCCAGTGTTCTAAATAACTAAATAAGGAAAATGAGGTAATTGAAATTTTTGCCTCAATATATTGTTTCTGAATTTTAAAAACTATAATCATTGAGGTTTTTTGATATATTTTATACTTTTGACATATCTGTTTTGTTCTGCTGCTTCTCACCCCCGCCCCATCCCCTATTTTGGAAACATTTTACAGATTTTAAATTCAACTTTTAATACCAGCTACTTTGAGAACTTAAAACTTCTTGTCACAATATCTAAAGAAAACAGAAATCAAAGAAAAGTACTTTCTGAAAAATATGCTATTTGAGGTACCATCTAAGAAAAGTTTCTATTTAAAATGACAAACATTGTTGAAACTGTCCTTTATGTTTTGAATTGACCATTTTCAAACTTTGTGCCAGCTGAAGTCATCTTATGCAGTGCTATTAGAAATGTTTTTTCTCCTGAAATTATGGAAAGTTAGACATAGCAACAAAGTAGTTTTTCAGTCCTCCAAAAGCTCTTCATAAGACTAGACAGCAACTTGTTCTGAAAAATCAAAAACTCAATGACAATATCTACAGCAAAACCAGGTGGCCGGGTATCCCCATGAAGCCTAACATACAAGTGAGTGAGGACCAACTAATGACAACAGGAAGAGCCATGTGGAATGATCACCTGTACACGAAGAAGCAAGGGAAGCAAGAAGACAAATGAGAGACCCCAAAGCAGGCAAACACTCAAATCTCTCAAATCTTCAAGTTATTTGGAAGAAGGATAGGTCAATACAAAAAGAGAAGCTGAAATTGGGAGTGATTTTTACCATCCAAATTTCTGAAAAGTACAAGGGGTGCACCTGCAGTAAGGTCTAAAAAGCTAATTCATTGTCAAGGCCTTGTGAACTCCTGAAACAAAAATCTAAAGTCCCTTGGGGAAAAGGTTCTACACTTAGGAAAAACTGCTAGGAAGAGAATCCAAATTAATCAGTGTAGAGACGGTAAAGGCAAGGGAATGAAGTTCCAGGGGAGGGGAAGAGATCTCAGAAAGAATGAGGGCATATTTTTGAACGCTTCATGAACATAACCAGAAACTTAAGAGCCATGAAACTAGAAAAGATATCCTGAACTATCACTCTGTCAAAAGGTTAAGTAAACCAATTTGGCTTAAAAATGGACGGCAACAGAAAAGTATCTGATTTAGTTCCAATAGAGAATGATTATGGGACGTGGATGGAGCTGGAGGTCAATAGAGGACAGACAATAAGGAGCAGAATAAAGTTCCTTTAGGCAGTGAAAGCATGTCAGGAAGAACACCCATAAAAAAAAAACATGAAAATAAGACAGTGTTACAAAATAAGCTAAAATTAAGAAAACTGTAGGACAACAATATAAATCAAAGGTAGAAAAATTCTTACATATCTATAATTGCACACCCCAAAGAAGAAAACCAAGGCAATGGAAGAAAACAAACACAAAACATTCTACTTCAAGAAAATATTCCTGAGATTTAAAAAGAATAATGAAAGCACTCTAAATTGAAAGATTATGCCACAAATCTGAATAACTAAACCCAGAACAACTACCGTGTTTTTCATAAAACATGTCTTAAAAGACTTTAAATTAAAAGAAAAATTCTTTGCCCACATTCATGCAAAAAGAGCAAGTCAATTATTTGGAGAAAATCAGGTTGTCATCAGATTTTTTGAAAATCACATCATGTGTCAGAAGAAAATTGTCACCTACTTAAGATAATGAGGCTCTCTTTCCTCCTGCTACTTTGAAATAATATTCTTTTACTTGTTGCTAATTATACAGCAATCAAGAAGTTTATCTTTTTCAAGCTGTTCTTATTCTTCGTAATTTTTGACAGCTATATATTGTATCTGTATTGTAAGTTCATACTAGCTGGATTGCTAGTGTATTAGTCTGTTCTCATACACTATAAAGAACTACCTGAGACTGGGTGATTTATAAAGAAAAGAGGTTTAATTGACCCCCAGTTCTGCATGGCTGCAGAGGTCTCAAGAAACTTAACTATCATGACGGAAGGTGAAGGGGAAGCAAGTCACATCTTCCCATGGCAGAGCGGGAGAGAGAGAGAGCACAAAGGGGGAAGTGCCACACACTTCAACTATAAGATCTCATGACAACTCACTCACAGTCATGATAATGGCAAGGGAGAAATCCTCCCCCATGATCCAATCACCTCCCACTGGGCCCCTCCTCCAATTTGACATGAGATTTGGGTGGGAACACAAATCCAAAAAATCCAAACCATATCAGCTGGTTAATGTCAGTATTGCTGAGAGTACAGAACAAACCAAAAAAGAAGAAACTAATGTTAAAAACATGAAAACATAAATACAAACACTCCTAAATGGAAAAAAAATTAAAATTAAAGAGGAAAAGCACATAAAATGGACCACATAGTAAAAACATATATAAAACATTTTGTACATATTAACCTGATAATATTGTTTGTCTAGGAAATGGAATATGAACATATGTACATATATATTTATTTTTTAATTCAAGAATAACATGTAAAATTAGAAAAATACTACCTGCCACTAAAAGTGTACTTCTAGGAGACAATGACTTATTCTAGGTCTGAGGCAGCAAATGTACAAAATAAGTCTCAGGTATTATATTATACTGGATAGTAAAATAACCACCAAAGACTTCAAAAGCCAACTTGCATAGCCTATTACTGACCCAGGAAGAGCTAGAGCAGATTGAAACGTATCAAATATGGTTAAATCCATACTTCCAAAATGATACCAAAAAATGAACAAAAACACTAACTGGTCACTGAAAATGTTGGTGAATGAACTCATTATTTTGAAAACTGGTAAGTTGAAAAACTAATAATTTATCCCCTCTTTCCTATAAGAATTGTATTACTAGAAAATTTTTAGCTAACAAAGAAGCAGCAATGATAGATTTTACCAACTTGAAACTGCTAATGACTTGATGGATGTAGGCATTGATAATCAATTACTGTTATTGTCAACATGAAATGGAGCATAATTGAACATGCAACTTCTTGTGAAAATACACAATACTCCCTATAAAACGTATTTGCTAAAAATTCAACCTGAGTCTAATCAAGACCCTAATGCTATCCATTAATAAAAAGTAGAGAGGGCAGGAAATAGCTCCAAAGACATCAAGGTATAGAATGAAATGTAATCCTCTAGAATCAAATGTGATTCTATCCCCTTGATGTCTTTGGAGATATTTCTCTGCCCCTTTTTTTAATTAATAGGTAATGCTGGGGTCTTGATTAGGTTCAGATTAAATACAGAAAATGTACATATACACCATGCAATACTATGTAGCCATAAAAAGAAATGAGATCATGTCCTATGAAGGGACATGGATGGAGCTGTAGGCCATTTTCCTTAGCAAACTAACGCAGGAACAGAAAACCAAATACCACATGTTCTCACTAAGTGATGAGAATACATGGACACAGAGAGGAACAACACACACTGGGGCCTATAAGAGGGTGGAGGTTGGGAGGAAGGAGAGAGAAGATCAGGAAAAATAACTTATGGGTACTAGGCTTAATACCTGGGTGATGAAATAACCTGTACAACAAAGCCCCATCACAGAAGTTTGTGTAGCAAACTTGCCCATGTACCTCTGAACTTAAAAGTTTTGTGTTTTTTTTTTTTTTTTAAAGAATCACATTACCAAGCAGGGAAACTCTAAAGATCAAGTGACCAGCTTTCCAAAAAGAAACGCAGCAAAAGTGAAACAGAGATGGAGAAGGGATGAAAGGGAAGGATGGAAAAAGAGAAAGAGGGTTGGCGGGGGGAAGAGAGAGAGAGAGGGAGAAAATACTCGTTAAAAAATAATAAGAGATACGCTAACCATTCAAGTTTCATGGACCTTATTTGGATACTTATTCAAACAAGTAATTTAACATGTTTCAGACAATTAGAAATTTGAAACACTGCATATTTGATAATATTAAGAAATTAATTATAGGTATGATATTGGAATTATGACTGATTTTTAGAGGGTCCTTTATCTTTTAGAGATAACCTCCTCAAATATTTATAAATGAAATTATATAATGTCTGATGCGTGCTTCAAAATAATAAGGAAGGAGTAGAAGTAATTAAGCAGATAAAACAAAACTTCATGAATTTACAGATAAAGCTATGTGACAATTACATGGGGGTGTTTCATTGTATAATATCTACTGGCATATGTTTAAAATGATTCACAAAACAAAGCTTAAAACAGACAAAGTGTTTTCTCCTCAAATGCAATGGATAGTTCAAGCCAAGGAAAAATAAAAGTATTTCATTTTCCTAAGTAAACTCAAAGATTTTTAGAGTGTCAGTTTGTGGAAATCTTTCCCATGGTAGTATGGTAGCTTGTTTCAATTGTTTATGTGCACCATCTTTAACATTAATTTACTTAACTTCTTTTAATATCCATTCTTCTGAATGAATGTGCCTGAGAAGCATTTCCTTTCTTTTTGTTCCAGGATTGTGGAAAAGGGATATTACAGTGAGCGAGATGCTGCAGATGCCGTTAAACAAATCCTGGAGGCAGTTGCTGTAAGTATGAAGTAACAGCAATGGTGTAACTCTTAGTCATCTCTTCCTTTTACAGAATCATCATTTAAGAAATGCGCATCTGTGATAAGCCATACATTTTACAGCATAAAGTTGTGAAATATTTATTAGAAAATGTGTGGAATAAGGTGGGCATGGTGGCTCAAGCCTGTAATCTCAGCACTTTGGGAGGCTGAGGCAGGCAGGTCACTTAAGGTCAGGAGTTCCAGACCAGCCTTGCCAACATGGTGAAACGCCATATCTAATAAAAATAAAAAAATTAGCTGGGTATGGTGACGCACACCTGTAATTCCAACTACTTCAGGGGCTGAAGCACAAGAATTGCTTGAACTTGGGAGGTGGGGAGTTGCAGTGAGCCAAGGTCACGCCACTGTACTCAAGCCTGGACGAGAGAGAGAGAGACCCTGTCTCAAAAAAAAAAAAAAAAGAAAAAAAAAAAGAAAAAGAAAAAAGAAAAGAAAGAAAATGTATGGAATAAATTTGTATTTTCTATTGATGACTCAAAGTCTGAAAGATGCAATCCTCTATATAATGCCATAAGTGTGTTAAATTAATTTCCATTCTATTATTGTGAGACCAAATGAGATTTTGGTGCCTTTATTTGTTCTTTAACTCTTTCTTTCCCATTTCTTGAGTTTGTTTGTTCATTGCTTTTTTTTTTTTAATTTGGTAGAGATGTGGAAGAGGGTTGAATGTGATGTAAACCTTGGAGCATAGAGATTATTGACTTTTCTTTCCAGAAAAGAAATGAGTTAATTGGAAAGAAAGAATGTATCAGTTTTTTTAAGGAAGAAACATAAGTTAATATTTTAAATTGGAACACAAGTTTTGTAAGTTAATGGTGGAAATAAATACATACACATTTACAAAAATATATACTGTTGAGAAGCTTTTTTGGATTGCATTAAGCAGGTAATATTTGCCTGTATAAATCAGACTCAACTGACTAAAAGCTTCCCATGTATTTGATGTTGTCTAATATGTGCTGGAACACTTTGGTGATTCATTTATTGAATATGAAACCAGAACAAATTATTATTTGAACATTCAAGACAGGGCCCAGGGAGGGGTATTTATCAGGATCAGTTAAAGAGACAAATCTATAAAATATATCCAGAATTAAGATATACTCTATTATTCGGAGTTAGTTATTTAACTAAAATCATTATCCAATACCTTGAGAAGTCAGCCACAGTGACAGAAGCACAGGTCCTATGAGTTTTACCCACATCAAAAACAGGAAGGAGGGAAGAAAAGAGGAAGGGAGGGAGAGAGGAGGGAGGACTCTGATATCTAACTAGCCTCTGTACCAATGATGAAAAGGGAAAAAATAACCTTTGCATAAGGCTTCTAGAAATAGCCAATTGAACCAAATTTGTTATTGAGCTATTAATGCCAATTTTAATTGGCTTTATAGCCCAGTCCTTCCAAATTATTTATTCCCCATAAAAGTGTTTTGATCTTTTTGCTATGGTGAGGGATGAAAAGTTTGAAATGTGAGTGAATAAAACCTGGAGAGGATGCCAACACAGCTTCTGATTATATAAATACTGAATATCAAATTCATCTTCTCACTGTACCCAAATAGCCACCCCATTTCAGATTTTCATCACACATAACATATTTACCAATTCTGGTTTCCTAGGTTTGCACACTAGGTAATGGGTTTCAACTCTTCCATTTTCTTATCTTACATAGACCTTTCCAACTTCAGTTGAATCTTTCTTCAAATGTGCATAAACTTAATCCTGTTCTCCATCATTCTGTGACTGTTGCTGGCATGCTTTAAAAAAGAAAGAAGAAGCACTTTAATTGCCATTAACTCATATTCTTTTTTTTTTTTTTTTTTTTTTTTTTTGAGATGGAGTCTCGCTCTGTCACCCAGGCTGGAGTGCAATGACGTGATCTTGGCTCACTGCAACCTCTGCCTCCCAGGTTGAAGTGATTCTCCTGCCTCAGCCTCCCAAGTAGCTGGGACTATAGGTGTGTGCTACCACGCCTGGCTAATTTTTGTATTTTTAGTAGAGATGGGGTTTTACCACATTAGCCAGGCTGACCTCGAACTCCTGACCTCAGGAAATCCACCCACCTTGGCTTCCCAAAGTGCTGGAATTACAGGCGTGAGCCACCGCACCCAGCCACAATTCCTATTCCTAAATATATAAGTCTAGAATCATCTCTTGCAATCACTATTTTTATTTTGTTACTTCTCCATTTAATAATGGCAATTTTATACTTTTCTTAAATACCCATTTTAAAACCTCATTTCTTGTTATTATACATAATAAATTAATCAAGTAAACTTGCTGGCCATAGCCCACTATCACTTTACCTGAATCAGTCAGGCAGCTGATACAGCAGTTAAGAATACTTTGGCAGTGAGACAGAGCTAGGTTTGGTTTTTAGATGTGTGAACTTGGACATGTCACTAAATATCTTTGAGCCTCAATTTAGTCTTGTAAAATAGGCATAGCAATTAACCTAACAGGATTGTGGAAAAGATTAAATGAGATAACTTGCGGAAATCATAGCAATGTTCATAAAATAGGGAAAAGAGGGTAACCAACTTCATACTCAGCACATTCATTTAAAGATTTATTAGATGTTGTAGATGTATGCAGACACACTTACTCCCCAGCTAAGTACAAAAAACAAAAACAATTGTGTAATATTATACTCATTGATCTAGGTGCTGATTGCACAGAAAAGTTCAGTTTGTAAAAATTCAGTACACTTACATGTACTTTTCTATTCATATATTACACCAATAGAAAGTTTAAAAAGGAATTGTGCTGAAATTTTAGTATGTTTGTATGGTTATAACAGGTAATATCCTCAAGTCAGCATGCTGTGTGTGTGTGTGTGTGTGTGTGTGTGTGTGTGTGTGTGTGTTTGCAGTTTACCCACCTGGATTCATGTACTTTTTCATGTTTCTAGTTCTATCACATACTGTTGTCTAACAGATTTCTTTTTTCCTTTCTGGGACAGTAGCACATTATTCTCTGATATCACATGTGACAGTGGGTAGAGAATGTGACAATGAGGGGAGAGGGACATGTGCCCCTCAGTCTACCGCCCTCCTCTTTTTATGTTGTTCTACTGACAAAACGTTATATCAAAATGAAGTAATCTTCAAAATAATTGTTCTGAGTGATCTCTATTTGCTTATCTATATGCGAGTAACAGAATGCATATATCAGGAAGAGTGTACTGTAAGGCTACAGAGGTGTGTAAAGACAGCCAGCAGCCTGGACACTGGGCAGAACTCTTCCCCCACTGCTGCTTTTTTCTCATCACCTGCTTCCCTCTGCTCTCTTCCAACCAATAGTCTCTACTTCTTAGATCCACAAAGTGACATACGGTTAACTTAACCATCTTGCATTAGCATATTAAAGTAAAAACCTAAATCTGACTCAAAATGAACACAAATATCGTTTGATCTTAATTTCAAAATTCAGAACAGAAGCCACATGTGGCTCAACTTGACTCAGGCTTCCTTCCCTAGTCCAGTCAGCTGTGGATGGGGTGTGAATTGTGCAGTATAAATGTGGCTGGCCAGGACTGGGGATAAGGGGGGTTGTTCTAAGGGAAAGACAATAGTTTCTTTTGAACTAGGCTGCCACACCAAAAGGCATACCTTTTTCTACTATCTGTTCTGGTGGTTTTTTTGCTTTTACTGTTTCTTCATGTTTCTCTCAATTCCTAAAGTATCATTGCATCCTAGGTGCGGTTTTGAATGACAGTCTGTTGTTTGTCAGAAAACCATGATTTTACTTGGAATATGATTTCATTTCGGCGGAAGCCCTACTTGTTTATCATGTAGGAATTAACTTTTCTATTACCAAATTTAGTCACTCCTCACATTCCCACATTTCCGTCTTTGTAATTCAAGCTGTTTTCAGTAGGTGTATATTCCTGATTCTCTCATTCACTGATACCAGCAAAAAACTCTTATAAGGTTCCCTCCATCTTCTTCATCTTGGTAAATGGCACTACCATTCAGCAATTGTCTGCTAAAACCTAGAATTCACCTCACGTCCAAATAATCCCAAATAATAATCAACAGGTCCAGTCAGCCTATCTCCAAATTATAACCCAAATTTGACAATTTTTCTTCATCTGCACTAACCCATTGCCCTAGTTTCAGTCTGCATAATCTCTCACTCAGACTGCTATGAAACCTACTTCCACTCCATTCCCCTCACATTAGCCAGTTATTATTTAAATCATACATCAATTATATCATTTCCATGCTTATAGCAGCAGTGGCATCACATTGAAAGTAAAAAAAAAAATCAAAATGCCTTAACATATCGTAGGATGTCCTGCATATTCAGGTTCCTTCTCATCACCCCAACATCACTGACTACACTACACTTGAGCTACACTGGCCTTGTTTTCCGACCCTTAGAAAGGTCTCAGTTAATTCCCATCTCAGAGTAGTTGTCATTTCCTGCCTGGGGAGCTCTTCATGTCTTTCTATGGCTCATTTCTCTACTTCTTTCAGGTCTCTGCTGAAGTGTGACTTCTCCAGGGGGACCTTCCCTGACCACTCTACCTATAATAATAACCACCACTACCTCTCCAAGCCATCTTAGTTTCTATTACCATGTGGTATGTCTTTTTGCACTTATAATTATTTAAAATTGAACAGTATTTTGTCTGTTTTGTGTTTATTATCTCTCCATAAAAGTAGGAACTTTGTGCTGTTCACCTTTATATTCCCAGCGTCCAAAACAGTACATGACAAAGTAGGAGCTCAATAAACACTTACTGAATAAGTAAATGGAAATTGATGAAAACATGAAGAAAGAGCCATCATTCTGTATTTTTTCTTTCTGGATAACGAGCCATGTACTAAACATCTTTACTGTTATTTTTCTACTAATTTCATAGGAGACAAAGCTTTATAACTTACTTTTGTGAATGAGATTCTTTTTATTTCCTTACTACTGTTTCATTCTTTCCTGTCATTCAAAACTCACCTTCCTCGGTATGTTCTTTCTTTACCTCTGTCCGTTCAGATCAGCTCTTGATTCTTTAGGAGGCTTATTACAGTGGGTATGCCTCAATATAGTAATACCTCATGTAGCTGACTGGGAAACTCTCTTATTCAATTGGTGAAAAATGGATGTTCTCAGCATCAGAATTTTCCACCTGTTGGAGTTATACCAGTTAAGAAATAAAAGAGTCCAAGAAGGGATGTTCCAGATAGGGGTGCCCCACATAACACAGAAGGATAAGAGTTCCTAGAACTCTGACTCAAGTCTGCAAAGATAAATTAATTAACGTATAGCTAATCCTACATTTAAAAAGAAATTGTTGAGGGTTTGTTTTTTTTTGTCACTAAGTTCCAGTTTAGGAGCTAACACATTCAAATCAAATGTTCCTTAAAAGAAGCTTTATAAAAATCAGATTTTCTCTGATTATTGCAATTAAGGGTTAACTTAAAGAAAAAAAATTAATTTCCCTAAGAATTCCACAGGTAGAAAGCAAAGCAATTTAAAACTTGCCAGAAATGGCTGGCATTTATGAAATAGTTTATTGTCAATTACACAGCTATACATAGCTATAAAAATTGGGACAGGTGGGAACTCAGAGTAATCAGTGGTACATCTCACATTTCCTCTAGATAACTTATATCTAGGCTGGTTGTTGAAAGCATAGAAGCAGAAAACTTAAAGATTGAAAAGTTCTTGGGAAATATAATGAAAGTATAATTATACTCCTTACGTAACATATCTTGCAATCCCTCCCTCCCTCCCCATTCCATGCTAATTCTTGCCCCACATATTTTACAGTATTTCTCTGACTTTAACCTTGCTCCTTCTGCTTTTCTGGCTTTAAATAGCTTTTGTGAAAGCTTTTAAAGTGTGTTTGAAAGATGTTTCCCTCTTTGGATTTGAATTCATTCAGTCAGTCCTCGAGAGCAGACCCTTAAGTCCTCTTGAGTATTCTCTCTTCTTGAAATGAATTCCAGTGGTCCAAAGTTAAATGGTCTAGGTCAGTCTGGACATTCTGGAAGGGTCATCCTGTAGTAGCACAATACCAAACCCCTTTTCCATGGACTTGTAGGGATAATTAGGGAATATTCCCTCTCCTCTGATACTTAATTCTGCTGCCACCACCTTCAGTTCTTTCTTTGTCACCACTGACAGCTGAGTGTTTCTCTGTTTCCAAAACATCATCATCCCCTACATTATCCCCCACTGATACAGCCTTTCTTCCCTTTTTCTAGCTACAGTTCTCTTTTGTATGTCTTAATTTCAAAGTGTGACTTTGGAGCCTAGAGAAATTTGTACATATCGAACATAGTACTGCTCTGCTCTTCTCTCTTCTCTTCTCTTCCTTTTTTTGAGACAGAGTCTCGCTCTGTCGCCCAGGCTGGAGTGCAGTGGTGTGATCTTGGCCCACTGCAAGCTCTGCCTCCTGGGTTCAAGCAGTTCTCCTGCCTCAGCCTCCCAAGTAGCCGGGATTACAGGCATGCGACACCATGCCTGGCTAATTTTTGTATTTTTAGTAGAGACAGGATTTCACTATGTAGGCCAGGCTGTCAGTACTGCATTTCTTCAGGAACTACAAGGAAATGGGTGAGTAACTATTAAATCTATTTGCTGTTGTATAACATAGCTTTTTGGTTAGGTTTGTGTTAAAGACTGTGATGATGGTGGTGAAGAGTTACAACCAGAAGAATCTAACCCTTTAAAAGTCAATATGGTATCTGAGCATCAAAAAAAATAGAAAATGGACATTATTATAGAGAGGCAAGAAAAGATGAAATTGCAAAAGCTCCTTTTGATTAAAAAAATTAACCTGTAACTCACTCTCTAAAACAGAAACAGATTTAGCTTTTTACATAGGAAATCAATTGATAATGAATTGGTGACTAGATACTCAAAAACGGAAAAGGCAAAAGAGGAACACTAAGCTAAGTTATTGTGTGTGGAGGACGTGTGATAACTTCAGGAAACAGCTACCCCTAGGACTGGGGGAACAAAATGAAGAGGTTAAAATTATTAAAACATAGAGGATTGAAGGAGGTTCTCTATGGACTTGTGAAGAGGGCTCCCTGTTTGGCTGGTGTAGGTGGCTCGGACCTCAGAGGAATTTCCCATGAAGCTGGACCTCAGGTCTCTGAGGATGATGCTCCAGCCAGCCAGTGCTGGTGTTGCTGATAAGAGGCACTGAGACTGTTTCTGTTTGAGTTGCAAAAGCTGCAAACTGGATTCAACTGTTGTTCCTGGAACGACCTGCCACTGCAGGATGAAAGAGTGCTTCCAGAGAGACATAGGAATAACAAGCAGAAAATCAGAGTCAGAAAGCAAACAGGAAGGAGCAATCCCTTCTTTCTCTTCTAGCCTGCCACTCTCTCTCCCTCATGCCCTCTCGTGGCAGATCCAAATGGAGAGCCAACTGGAGAAGGAAAAATGTGGCTTGAAATTTCAATCTCAGCATCATAAAGTGGAAGAATGGGTTTTAGGTTTGGAGACAATAGCTTAATAAATTGTACAGGATGTTATTCAAAAACAAAAATAAATTATCAGTTTCTGCTTTTATTCAGAGTCTTCCAAAATGTTCATAGTCTACTAAAGTGCATGAAATGGTTCTAGAGTTCAGTGAAATCGAAATAAGAGAAGTAACACAAAAATAAATTACTGTCTGTATTTAGTACTGAGTGTTATGCTTAATGATGTTTATCCATTTAACAGGCATTATATTATTCAACCTTACATTATCTGACACATTAAAACAATCTTCCACTTTGACCTCTTATTCCTCATTGGCAGAAAGCCGATCTCCCTTGTAGGAAGATGGAAAGTACCAGAACTTATCCTCCTAGCCTCCCTTGCAGCTAGGGCAAGGTCATATTACCTGACTGTGCCCAGTGAGTTCCTTGGGACAGTTTGCTCATGAGTTTTGGGAAAAATTTTCCCTTAGTAAAGGAGACTCAAGGGAAGAAAAGCCATTTCTCCTTTTCACTGGCCTGGTTGGGTCTGCATATGATGCTGGGAACCGCTTTTGCTATCTTGTAATTATGAAGAGAAACATAAGTCATCCTGAGGAAGGCAGGGAAGAAAGATGACACCATTGGAATTCTCCAACTTCTTGATATCTCAGGGAGGATAAATACAGTTTCTCAATGTTTCGGTTTTAAATTATATGCCCTGTTACTTGAAGCAATAAGATACTGAACCGTTTTTTCAATAAACTTTTTGAGTATATGCTAACAACTTTTCTGTGGTCAGAGCAAGCTGTATAATTTTCCATCCATTTAAACATAACAGAAAGAGCATACTTCTAAATAAAAAGATTCTGGTCCCACAAATTTCTAAAAACTGATTTTCACTGAATATCAAACATACACCCACATATTGCTAAATCAGGATTAAGTATGATTTGAAGGGACAATGAAGTTTAAGGGTTTTGAAAATAAAATTGCTTTTGACACTTGTTTTTTGTTTCTATGAATGTCATTCCTGCTTGAATCCACTTCTTGTCAATTAATAGGTTCAGAGAGTTCAAGTACGTAATGAAAGGTTAAAACAGAAAATGCAAGTTTTTTTGTTGTTTGTTTGAAACCTATCAGTTCCTATGGTATTTTCATTTCTTTCTCTGGAGACTTTTGTTTCTTGCTGCTCAGGTTTGAGCACTGATCTTTGGAGGATAGATTTTAATTAATACAAAGTTTTAAGAGTTGAAGCACTAAAATGATAATTTTACCTGTAAAAAGTAAAAGTGGTTTAATTCATATTAAGAATTGAGAGATCACAGTTCCCAGAGAAGAAATAACAAGCTGTTCTCTTAATGTTATAATATTTTGATTTATAGACATAGAATAAAGTAGACTAGGGGCCCAATCAGAGCATAGACATTTTATCAGAAATTTTGGAACAGAATAATAATCAACATTCTGAAATTACAGTGCAATATTGGGACACAGAGGATCTAAAAACAATTCCTGGGCAAGGGAGGGGATTTCCTTCTCATTAAATGTTTCTGCACACCATTATCACTAATGATAATGATATCAAAATTTTACCGAATTCTGCCTACATGGACTTCCCTCTTTTGATTCTCAAGTGAGCCACAATAGATTCTGGAGCATGTGTCTAGGAATTTTCTGATCGTCTTCGTTAACTTAAAAATCACTCAATCTATAAATTTGGAAAGGAGCCTCTATTTCTTATAAAAGGTTACAGGCTGTAAGGTGACCCTTTGAAAGGTTGGGAAGTGCAGCCAGTGCAGCCTGCAGCAGAGCCTATTAGCAGGCATTTTGAAGGAGGAGGGGTCGGGGTAGGAATTTTATGTTGAATGGGTTGGCTAAGCATACATATTTAACATGGTACAGTAGGAGTTATGAATATTGATGAAGACAGTCTTAACATATGCATATTGAACAAACATGCATGTTACATGTGACCCATGTTCACTTTGGGATGGAGACTTAACAACTAAATGTATTATAATTGGGCCCTAAATGCCAATAGGCACTTGGGACACAAGGACACTCAAGTGTGCAGCCTCTGTAAACTGTCTAGAACCAGTCCATGGTCAGTTCTTATCTGGAGAAAGTTACTGAAATCAGTCTCTTGTAATTATAGCTGGTGAAACAGGGGCTGAGGGTCAGTTAATCAGTGCCTAGGGGAGCTGCAGTTGTTTGAACATTGCTTATCTCAAGGTCAATGCTTGTTTAGCTGCTAGAGAAAAAGAAAAACCTTGTGGCAGATAGAACATAGTTCATTATTTAAGTGTGGGGATACATGACTTAACTCTTGTCTGTCATGGCCTTAGGTCCTGTTTATAAGTTGGTATTTCATTGCCACAAAGAGTCTGTTTTTGTCAGTCTTAAGATCTCTATTTTAACACGAATGCTGGTCAGTTGTTGTGTCTAAACTGCAAAAGGGAGGAAGTATAATGAGTCATGTTTGACCTCCCGTCCCATCATAACCAAGAACTCCATTGTTAAGGTTTTTCTGGGGTCTCCTTGGCCAAAAGGAGGTTCGTTTAGTTGGTTGGGGACTTACTATGTTATTCTTAGCTTACACCATATATAAAATATTATTTTGATGATTATAGTCTAGATGACTTTTGTTGTTTGGGGGTTTTGTTAATGTTGGATAAGATCAACAATTCAATTCAACAATTACTGATTCCCTAGTTTATTCTAGACTTTGTTCTAGACTTTGAGATACAGAGGTCAAGAAATTCACCAATAAACTGGGTGGATAGACACATAAACACATGGCTACAAGATGGTAAAAGTGCACTTAGTGATTCAAAGTCATCAGAGAGGGAATACGCTATTTGATGTATCTAGAGAGAAACTGAGTCAGAAAATATCTTGCCAGAGAAAGTTGTATCTGAATTGGAGTTTAAAAGAAAATTTGGCTGGGTGTGGTGGCTCACGCCTGTAATCCCAGCACTTTGGGAGGCCAAGGCGGGCGGATCACAAGGTCAAGAAATTGAGACCATCCTGGCCAACGTGGTGAAACCCCATCTCTACTAAAAATACAAAAATTAGCTGGGCATGGTGGTGTGCGCCTATAGTCCCAGCTACTCAGGAGGCTGAGGCAGGAGAATCATTTGAACCCGGTAGGCAGAGGTTGCAGTGAGCTGAGATTGCACCACCGCACTCCAGTATGGCAACAGAGCAAGACTGCGTCTCAAAACAAAACAAAACAAAAAAAAAGACGAAGTTTATTGTTTAATTAACAGCCAATATGAAAGAAAAGGAATTTCCATAATACTCCTTTTTTCCCTTTTTAGGGAACATAATAAAGGTACAAAGGCACAAACTCTGGTCTTTAGTTATTTCTTGAAAGTAAGGTACATATTGTGAGAACCAAGGCTTAAAAAGACAGGGAGACTGGCCTGGAGGGGCTCAGGTGACTTACTAAAATGGTTCACATGATTCTGCAGATGAAGAGGTCCTGAGGGACTTTTGCTATAAGACCATCACCCTGATGGCAGCATGAAGTCCGAAAGCAGTGGAGAGGATATTAAAAATGGCCGGTCAAGAAATGAAAAGCACGACCTTCCCCTCAAAAAGAATAGTTTTTGAGTATGTGAATGAAATTTGCTAACCAACTAAGCTCAAAATTTCCCTTAGATCTTTACTGTCAAGATCTATGAGTGTTACATATATGAAGAGTTGGGTATAATGAAAAATAATTTAAAGTAGGAAACTGCAGATAGCAGGACTTAGAGGATCAATGAGAACTTTTCATCAAACTTTCTCACCTTTATTAACACTTAGCATTACATTCTTTTTTTTTTGTCACTTCTCTTCCTACTTCCTTTATAAGGTTTTATCTCATTCTCTTCTATCTGGTCTAGTAGTTCCTCTGATTACCTCTTTCTCTTCCACTCCTGTTTCCTTCTCCTAATTTATTTTCTCTCTCTCTCTCTCTCTCTCTCTCTCTCGTTTTTGGTTTTTTAGACAGAGTCTTGCTCTTGTCACCCAGGCTGGAGTGCAGTGGTGTGATATTTTGGCTCACTGCAACTTCCGCCTCCCTGGGTTCAAGCAATTCTCCTGCCTCAGCCTCCTGAGTAGCTGGGACTACAGGTGCCCGCCACCATGCCTGGCTAATTTTTGTATTTTTTGTAGAGACGAGGTTTCACCATGTTGGCCAGGCTGGTCTTGAACTCTTGACCTCTGATGATCCACCTGCCTCGGCCTCCCAAAGTGCTGGGATTACAGGTGTGAGCCTCCGTACCTGGCCAATTTTTTTCTTTTTACGCTCTTCTTTTTCCTTTGCTTTATTTGAGAACTAATGATTAATTAAAGAACAATAAAAATAACAAACTTTTTAAAGACCCACTAAAGCTTCTAGACCAGATGACTCTGGGCTCACTTTGCACACAACATGAATTCTAGGTCCCGAGGAGAGCTACTGAAAGTAAACGCAAGACACAGTCTCTTTCTGAAAGGTGATTAAGAAAAGAGGATAATAAAGCAACATCTAACTTATTTATCTTCCTTGGAAGAGAATACCTCAAGGAAATGCCTCAGGATTAAGATGAGTGTCTTCACTTTTGCAAAAACTCAATTAAAGTGCCATGAATATGAGGTTATTTAATAGATATGACCTGCCTCTTCTTTGATATCCTTGGATTATGATCTTTAGAAGTTAATTCAGCAGCTATTCTGTTAGGTTTCAGTTGATTTAATTCTCAGAATCATAGGCTTTTAAGTAGGAGAATTAGACAGCCTCAAATCAGGATGAGAAATATGTCTAGTTAATAGTGGCAGCATGAAAGAAAAACACAAGGCCGGGTGCGATGGCTCATGCCTGTAATCCCAGCACTTTGGGAGGTCAAAGCAGGTGGATCACGAGGTCAGGAGTTCGAAACCAGCCTGGCCAAGATGGTGAAACCCATTATCTACTAAAAATACAAAATTAGCTGGGCATGACGGCAGCCACCTCTAATCCCACCTACTCGAGAGGCTGAGGCAAGAGAATCGCTTGAACCTGGGAGGCGGAGGTTGCAGTAAGCTGAGATCGCGCCACTGCACTCTAGCCTGGGTGACAGAGAGAGACTCCTTAAAAAAAAAAAAAAGAAAAGAAAAACACAAAAACAACACCCCAAAGTATACTAATAGAGAAGTACTCACAGTGTCCTTTTGAGGTCCAGAAAGGCATGCACTGTTTCTGATTATCATGAATAAAGAGAAGGAAAAAAGTGAGGAATCAAGCTGTAAGGAAATAAGCTTTTAAGATTACACATTTTAATTACATTAAAAAATGCTCATTCCAAACAAGTATATGTAGACCATGACAGGAAGGATATTATCACAATATCTTAAACAAACAACAACAACAAAAACAACACTTTACCCTAATTGACAATTTGGCCTGTATGTATTCTGTTCTTATGATATTCAATGCTCTGAAAAGCTGAAATCATGAACAAGGAATTCTGCCACCCACAATGGCCTCCCTCAGAGGACAGTGTTTTCTTTAGATATATAGATATAGTTTATGTGCAATAGCCTCTACCTACTGCAGGCCACAAGAGAAGGGCTTAAGAAAGAATGACTAGGCTGGGCATGGTGGTTTATGCCTGTAATCTCAGCACCTTGGGAGGCTGAGGTGGGCAGATCACTTGAGGTCAGGAGTTTGAAACCAGCCTGGCCAACATGGTGAACCCTCATCTC
Source organism: Homo sapiens (assembly GCF_000001405.40). Taxonomy (NCBI): domain Eukaryota; kingdom Metazoa; phylum Chordata; class Mammalia; order Primates; family Hominidae; genus Homo; species Homo sapiens. The sequence goes on from NC_000005.10 coordinate 111,407,960, forward strand.
TGCTAAAAATACAAAATTAGCCGGGCATGGTCCCAGCTACTCAGGAGGCTGAGGCAGGAGAATCGCTTGAACCTGGGAGCCAGAGGTTGTAGTGAGCCAAGATCACGCCACTGCACTCCAGCCTTGGCAACAAAGTGAGACTCCATCAAAGAAAGAAAGAGAGAGAGAGAGAGAGAGAGAAAGACTCTGTGGGAAATATCAATGTCTCATGACTTAAAGGTGAACAGTGATCCTTTCTTTTTATAAGTGTTTCCCTCTAAGGATGGTGTATTAGTCTGTTCTCATGCTGCTAATAAAGATATAGCCCAGAGTGAGTAATTTATAAAGAAAAGAGGTTTAATGGATTCACAGTTCCACATGGCTGGGGAGGCCTCACCATCATGGCAGAAGGCAAAGGAGAAGCAAAGGCATGTCTTACATGGTGACAGGCAAGAGGGCTTTTGCATCGGATCTTGTGAGACTTATTCACTACCATGAGAATAGTATGGGAAAACCCCTCTGCATAATTCAATTATCTCTAGCTGGCCCCACCCTTGACACATGGGGATTGTTTCAATTCAAGGTGAGATTTGGGTGGGGACACAAAGCCTAACCATATCATTCTGCCCCTGACCCCTCCTAAATCTCATGTCCTCACATTTCAAAACCAATCATGCCTTCCCAAAAATTCCCAAAGTCTTAACTCATTTCAGCATTAACTCAGAAGTCCACAGTCCAAAGTCTCAGCTGAGACAAAGCAAGTCCCTTCTGCCTATGAGGCTATAAAATCAAAAGCAAGTTAGTTACTTCCTAGATACAGTGGGGGTATAGGCCTTGGGTAAATACAGCCATTCCAAATGGGAGAAATTGGCCAAAACATAGGTGCTACAGGCCCCATGCAAGTCTGAAATCCAATGGGGCAGAAAAATCTTAAAGCTCTGAAATGATCTCCTTTGACTCCTTGTCTCACCTCCAGATCATGCTGATGCAAGCAGTGGGCTCCCATGGGCATGGGAAGCTCTGCCTCTGTGGCTTTTCAGGGTACAGCTTCCCTCCCAACTGCTTTCATGGGCTGGTGTTGAGTGTCTGTGGCTTTTCCAGGTGCACAGTTCAGGTTGTTGGTGGATCTACCATTCTGGGTCTGGAGGATGGTGGCCCCTGCTCACAGCTCCACTAGGCAGTGCCCTGGTGAGGACTTTGTGTGGGGGCTACAACCCTATATTTCCCCTCTGCACTACCCTAGCAGACGTTCCCTGCAGCATACTTCTGCCTGGGCATCCAGGCATTTCCATACATCCTCTGAAATCTAGGTGGAGGTTCCCAACCTCAGTTCTTGACTTCTGTGCACCCACAGGCTCAACACCATGTGGAAGCCACCAAGGCTTGGGGCTTGCACCTTCTGAAGCAATGGCCTGAGTTGTACATTGCCTCATTTTAGCCATGGCTGGAGCTGAAGCAGCTGGGACACAAGGCACCATATACCCCAGACTGCACACAGCAGGGGAGCCCTGGGTCAGGCCTATGAAACCATTTTTCCCTCCAAGGCCTCCAGGCCTGTGATGGGAGGGGCTGCTGTGAAGGTCTCTGACTTGCCTTGGAGACATTTTCCACATTGTCTTGGTGATTAACATTTGGCTTCTCATTACTTATGCAAATTTCTACAGCAGGCTTGAATGTCTCCCCAGAAAATGGGGTTTTCTTTTCTATCATGTCAGCAGGCTGCAAATTTTCCAAAATTTTATGCTCTGCTTTCTCTTGAACACTTTGCTGCTTAGAAATTTCTTCTGCCAGATACCCTAAATCATCTCTCTCAAGTTCAAGGTTCCACATATCTCTAGGGCAGGGGCAAAATGCTGCCAGTCTCTTTGCATAACAAGAGTGACCTTTACTCCAGTTCCCAAGAAGTTCCTCATCTCCATTTGAGTCCACCTCAGCCTGGACTTTATTGTCCATATCACTATCAACATTTTAGTCAAAGCAATTCAACAAATTTCTAGGAAGCTCCAAACTTTCCCACATCTTCCTGTCTTCTTCTGAGCCCTCCAAGTCCCTAGGAAGTTCCAAACTTTCCCACATTTTCCAGTCTTCTTCTGAGCCCTCTAAACTCTTTCAACCTCTGACTGTTGCCCAGTTCCAAAGTCACTTCCACATTTTTGGGTATCTTTACAGAAGTGCCCTTCTACCTGGTACCAATTTACTGTATTAGTCTGTTCTCATGCTGCTGATAATGACATACCTGAAACTGGGTAATTTATAAAGGAAAGAGGTTTAATTGACCCACAGTTCCACATGGTTAGGGAGGCCTCACAATCATGGCAGAAGGGGAAGCAAGACATATCTCACATGGCGACAGTCAAGAGGGCTTGTGCAGGGGAACTCCCATTTATAAAACCATCAGTTCTCATGAGACTTATTCGCTACCACGAGAACAGTATGGGGAACTGCCCCCAAGATTCAATTATCTCCACCTAGTCCCACCCCTGACACAAGGGGATTATTACAGTTTAAGGTGAGATTTGGGTAGAGACACAGCCAAGCCATATCAGATAGTAAAGAGTGAATAACACTACTGTATGTCTGTGTTATTCTTTCATTGATTGTTTATTGGAGGATGGGTTGGGACCATAAAATTTTTTTCCTTACTCTGTGGTAGTAGTTGTTTGCCAAAAAGCTGAAGTATTCCCTTAGGGAATAAAGTTCTGTTTTGTATTATATGGGCGTGATGTGAATTTACTATTTATGATGTCTTTGACCCATAAAAAATAAATTTTTATTTGGTAATGGCTAATTCAGGAGGGGTGTTGATAAAATGAACAGTTCTCTGCGATAATCAGGTAGGATATATTTTATTTCTGGGTCAGAAGGAGAGCTTCAAGGCAATGCTATAATAATATTCTGTTAACTTCACTGCTTGACCGTGGAACTTTGATTTTATTATTATTAAACAGTAATAGCCACACACTTCCTAGGTGTTGGTAGAATCATGTAAAATGGTGGTGTTGAAATTTCCAGATTAAAAAAGAAGGTACCTCCTGGTGCTTCATTTTCTTTTCTCAGATTTTTTTTGTTGTGTTCAATGAAAACACACACACAAAAGTTTCAAAGTTTTAATGCTTCTAGGACCAAGAGGTATTTGTCAACAATCTTCCAAACTCTAAAAGGAATCAGCATTGGAAAAGGTAAAGATGGATCCTAAGGCAAGACAGAAGAACCAAGCAGGAGGAGACTTGTGTGTTCTCACTCACACCTACTGAGATCCTTTACCAAGACATGGGACACAGACAGAGTTAGCATCCAGCATCTTATTTTATGTGAGTGGCTTTCTCTGAGAGCCAAGTCTGTTTCAAATCCTTTTTCTTCCCACCATAGCAAAGCTTGGACTTTAAGTCTCATAATTGCAAAAGAGTCAGTAAAAGCCCCTGGAATGTGACAGCAGTTGTAGGTTGGGCTAAAGGCAGCAGGATCTATGGAAGTATTAGTTCTAAGAGTTGTCAATTCTTATGTAATGCTTTATGCAAGAGAAGGCAACAGATTGCTCCAAATTATTCAGAAATAAATTCCGCATAGTCAGGTGGAGGAACAGATGACTCTTCCACTGTGCATCCAAACCACAACCTGATAGGAAATTGCTGGAGGCTGGAAACATGACAAGAACTGCTTCACTGGAACTTCAGCATAGAAACAAGACAAGTGGATTCTCCTTTGTGATCATCACTATTTACAATTAAGGTAAATGATGATTTACAATTAAGATAAATGGTGATGATCACAAAGAAGAATCCACTTCTGTTTTCTATTGGCAAACATTAGACTTGCACTAATCCCTTTTTAATTAAGTTTGGTAAAGAGGAATAAAAAATATGAACTTTTCAAAATATCCTAAAATACAAAAACAGGAAGAAATTTGTCTTCAAGATATAGAGTAACAGCATACTTTTGGAAAAAGACATTAAAAGGGTATGGAAGATATCTTTTAAAAGCATCTGCTCTGTTTATTCAAAAAGATTCATGTGTTTTGACATTGAAACAAGCTTGATGTTTAAGAAGTTATTAATCACCAGCTTGAAATAAAAATAAAGCTCTGCTTAGGAGCATAAATGATAAGGAAGCATAATATAATAATAAAAGGTTACAGAAACCAAATTAAAAAATTAAAATCTGAACTAAAAATAGTAAAGTGCAGAATTGAAGTTGTAGGTAATTATTTATTCAGATGCAAAATGTAATAAGATTTACAAAAATGCAGGAAGAAAAGAGAAAAGATGCCACTAATAAGAAAGTCGATAGTAGATATGGCAACAGACATTCAGTCTAAAAAAACAGTTTTCCCAAAGAGGAGATGAGCACTCTATAAAACAGAGACAGTAGTCAAGGATATAATAAGAAACCACTTTTTCATGCAAAAATAAAAGACTCCATGTCTCATTTTAGTCAAAACTGAGTAAACTGATAAACATCCAGATTTACCCTGTTGTTTTTGAACATTTCAAAAATAATAGCAACATTTTAAACAGAATGCCAGAAGAAGATAAACAATATACTGGAAGGACAAAATCAAACCAGCCTCAGTCCTCAAACCAGTATTTAACACTAGAGGACAATAGAGCAAGTGTCTACAGGGAAGAATGCATTGTAATCCATGAATTCTACAACCACTAAATTGTCATTCATAGGTAAAGGCAGCAAATATTCTGAAACATCTGTAATATATAAGTAAGGTAGAAGGTGGGACTCAACTCTGGAGGCAGGGCTCGAACACTGGACCAAATTGAGGACTAGCTAGAACAGAGACTTGGTGGAAGCTGCTTTCCATAAGACACAGCTACCAGTGTGTCATCTTAGTTTATCACTGCCATGGCTACACCCAGAAGTTACCACCTCTTGCCATGATAATAACCGCATGACCCAGAAGTTACCACCCTTTTCCTAGAAATTTCTACATAATCCAACCCTTAATTTATATGTAATTAAAAGTGGGTAAAAGTATGACTGCAGAATTGCCTCTGAGCTGCTACTCTGGACACATTGACTATGGGGTAGCTCTGCTCTTCAAGAAGCAGTAATTCTTGTACTGCTGTACGCCGCTGCTTCAATAAAAGTTGCTGTCTAACATCATGGGCTCGCCCTTGAATTCTTTCCTCGGTAAAGCCAAGAACCCTCCCAAGCTAAGCCTCAGTTTGGGGGCTTGCCTGTCCTACATCATCAGTATTCAGAAAACCTGCCTAACATTAATTTTCTAATGGGAAATAAATATTTTAATGATATATTTCAGCCAACTAATAAATAAAAATAGGATTTTAAATGGGGAAATTGTCATATAAAAGGTTTGGAGGCAGTTATTAAAATTATTATGGAGCTGCCCGGGTGCAGTGGCTCACGCCTGTAATCCCAGCACTTTGGGAGGCTGAGGCAGGCAGATCTCGAGGTCAGGAGTTTGAGACCAGCCTGGCCAATATGGTGAAACCCTGTCTCTACTAAAAATACAAAAAATAGCCAGGGATGGTGATGTGCACCTGCAGTTCCAGCTACTAGAGAGGCTGAGGCAGAAGAATCACTTGAACCCAGGAGGTGGAGGTTGCAGTGAGCCAAGATCGTGCCACTGCACTGCAGCCTGGGTGACAGAGCAACACTCCATCTCAAAAAAAAAAAAAAATTATTATGGAGCTAAAGCTATGAATTGTTGTAAAACTGAATGCAGTTGTCAACGAATTTTGAAATAGAAAACATGTAATGTAAAAAAAAATGCTTAAGCCTAAAATAAATATAGCCATAAAAGCCAAGAGTCAGTAGATTTGGTTTCATTCTTGATGTAGGATAAACAGAAAATATAGGTTCAAATATTTTGTAAAATCACTACCAATACGCTTAAAAACTAGAGATATATTTTCTAAAGCACTAGAGAAAGCAAGGGCAAAATATAACCCAAAAAGTTCATAAAATGTTTTTAAAGTGGAAAAAGAATAAATGTATAAAAAGTGTCATAAACTGATAATAAATTAGAAATTTAAATATAAATCTATATATATAGATAACTATTATAATGGTCAACTAAAATTATCTTTAAAACTTATGATAGCGAGAACACTATATATCAAAACTTTTAGAATTCTGTTTCTGAAGCAAATTTGTAACTTTGAATAAAAACTGCTCCCAATTTTTACAACCCTTCACTTGCTGTGAGTCAGACTTTGGACTAAGTATTCAGGACCAGGGATAATTAAGTGACTGAGATGCTGCTAACTTCAGAATTGTCTCCCCTGAAAACCCTTTGTTACTCCCAAAGCACAGAGTATTGCCTGATGCTATCCTGAGAAAAAAATTTAGTTCTTTGTACCAGTAGATTCTGGCTGCCAAAGCTTTAAGCAAATATATCTAAACCTAGAAATGTATCACTTAGACTAAACTGCAGCATCCCCCTCTTCTTTCCCCACTTCTCCACCTCTCAGCAGCAGCAGCAGCAGCAGCAACAGCAGCAACAACACCATCCACAATACATTACCAGGTTAATGATTTAAATCAACACCAAACATCAGCATCTTCAGTAATATCAAAGATACGGCAAAAATGACTCCATTACCACTATTAGTTAACATAATTTTGCTAGCCTGATTCAGGGCAATAAGACATGACATAGAAATAGAATAAAATAGAAAAGGATAAAATGAAATAATTATTTGCATATATGATTGTGTTCTTGGAAAAACAAAATCTATTGGATTGTAGAAGCAGTGAAAAATATTGTGGTCAAATAAAAAGTATTTTAAAACCAATATTTAGCCTATATAACAGGAAAAATAAGTTAGAAAATGGAATAGAAAAAAGTCTGTTTATATTAGTACTAAAATTATTTAATAACTAGGAATAAATTATCCAAAAATGAATGAGACCTGTATAAATAAAATTACAGCATTTAAAGAAAGACACAATAGAAGACATATGTACCATATCCCCTAGGTTCAAATATTTTAGAGATATTATTTCCTCCCAAATTAATGCTGTTAGAATTTCAGCAAGGGTTTTGTTTTGGGATCCAATAAAGTAATTGTAAAATTCATCTGGAAGAATAGTCTTAGACAAAAAAAAGAATAAGGAAGAGGACATTTCTCTGCCAGATATAAAAATGTTGTACAGTGCCCCTGTCATCATAGGTTTCACTTTCCACTATTTCATTTATCTGTGGTCAGCTGCTGACTAAAATTACTAAATGAAAAGTTCTGGAAATAAACGATTCATAAGTTTAAGTTGTGATCTGTCCTGACCTGAGTAGCCCAATGAAATTTTGCGCCTCTGGCTCTGCCCCACCCAGGATGTGACTCCTCCCTCTGTCCAGCATATCCATGCTGTATACCCTCATGCTCTTTCATCACTTAGCAGCCATCTTGATTATCAGATCAACTGTGGCAGTATGGCAGTGCTTTTGCTCAGGGAACCCTTATTTTACTTAATAATGTCCCCAAAGTACAAGAGTAGTGATATTGCCAATTCAGAATGCCAGCGAGAGCTGTGAAGTGCTTCCTTTAAGTGAAAAGGTGATCATTATTGACTTAATAAGGAAAGAAATTATATGCTAAGGTTACTAAGGTCTACAGTAAAAATATGTTCTAGCCACAAAATTATAGATGGGAAAAGAAATTCGTGCATAGCATATATAGGTTTCAGTATTATCCATGGTTTCAGGCATCTACTGGAGGTCTTAGAATGTATTCCCCACAGATAAAGGGAACTAGTATGTTGCAAAGAATGATCAATGGAATACAGTAGACACTTGAGCAAGAAACTCTAGTTTTATACAGATTTGATACAGTGGGTCCTCTGTACCTGTATAAATCTCTAGGTTCCACATCCATGGATCCAGTCAACCTTGGCTCAAAAATATTTGGAAAAAAATAATAAAGAATAACAAAATAAATAAAAAACAATGCAGTATAACAACTATTTACATAGCATTTACATTGTACTAGTTATTATAAGTAATCTACAGATGATTTAAAGTATACAAGAAGATGTGTGTAGTTGTATGCAAACACTACACCATTTTATATAAGGGACCTAAGCATCACTGAATGTTGGTGTCTGTGTGGGCCTTGGAACCAATCCCTCAGGGATACTGAGAGAAGACTGCATAAAGGCATCTACATGAATAGAGAGAAAAGGATATTCCAGTAACTGCTGTTGGGGGAGTTAGTTAAATATTTGCTGGAATAAACGTTAAATTCTTATTATGATATACCAAAATAATTTCCAGAAAAATTAAATAGAAAAGTAACTATAAACTATGCATATATATGAACAAACTCCCATATACATGCACATATATAAACACACACACACACACACAAACAAGACTGGAAGCAAAACCATTAACAGTGGTTATTTCTTGCCAGAGGAATATTACATTATATTAATATTTTCTGCATTTTAGAATCTTCCACATCTCTATAATGAACACATATTGCTTTTAATAAATAATAAATATTGTTAAACAACAAAGATGAAATTATCCAGAGAAAGGATGTTAATTACAAATGAGTAAAATGTATGAATAAGAAAGAGTTGTATGCTTTAAGGTTACAGGAATATTCCAAGATACATAGAACCTCAAGATGTTGGATATACCATCAGACTCCCTGGATTCAAGATTTTGTTCCACCTTTGTTTCACCAGGTGCGAGAACCTTGGGACCTCTCATTTATAAAGTAGAAATAATAAGGATGCTGTGAAAGTCATTGAGTTTGCATGTGAACTATTTCCAATAATGTGAGACACATAGAAGGCATTCAAAAACCATTAACTACTGCTATATGCAAAAAACTTAGCTAAAAATTTCATTATAATTTGAAGGACTGATAAATTAGGAAGACACTACTATTAACATATTAATACCATAATACTAATGTTATAATTGTATTATAAATTGTTAATAAATTAATATTATTCAAATTTAGAGTAGAATTTTGACATCTTCCATATGTTATGAACATTCATAGTCAAAAGTAAGGACAACTGCTTAGGTGTTCAGCCAGTCTTCCAAAAGACTAGTCATGATGTTTTAAAGTGTGTAATTGGAACTATTTTGGTAAATAAATATTGGATTCAATTTATCAACTTAATTTTTTTATTTGTATGTATTTGTTTATTTTAGAGGCACAGTCTCACTCTGTCACCAAGGCTGGAGTGCAGTGGTGCAGTCAGAGCTTACTGCAGCCTCAATCTTCTGTGTTCAAGCAGTCTCCCACTTCTGCCTCCTGAGTGGCTGAGACTATAGGCATGTGCCATCACACCCAGCTAATTTTTTTTTTTTTTTGAGACAAAGTCTCAGTCTGTCACCCAGGCTGGAGTGCAGTGGCCCGATCTCAGTACCTCCGCCCCCCGGGTTCAAAGGATTCTAGTGCCTCAGCCTCCCAAGTAGCTAGGATTACAGGCGCCACCACCACGCCCAGCTAATTTTTGTATTTTTAGTAGAGATGGGGTTTCACCATGTTGTCCAGGCTGGTCTCAAACTCCTGACCTCAAGTGATCCACCCGTCTTGGCCTCCCAAAGTGCTGGGATTACAGGCATGAGTCACTGTGTCTGGCCCCAGCTAATTAAAAAAAAAAAATTGTAAAGAAGGGGTCTCATTCTGTTGCCCAGGGTGATCTCAAACTGGGCTCAAGTGATCCTCCTGCCTTGGATTCCCAAAATACTGGGATTACAGATGTCAGCCCCCATGCCTGACCAATTTATCAACTTTGAAATTAACAAGTTAGTATGCCTGTTCAACTCAAAATGATTATAGGAAATTTCCAGATATTTGACTTTGCAATAAGATCTCCGTGACAAATGCTTTTAAAAGCATGTGTGGTTGTACACTTGCTAAGCCTTGTATTATCTAATAATTCAAAACGTCCATTTATTACCTTAATTTGCTGACTTCTGATATCTTTTACCCTGGTGATATATTTTTGTATTTGCACTTTAACCTGTTTTGTCATTGGAGACTATTGTAATATTTTATTGTGATTTTTAAATGTTAATTTCCATCCATGCAGTTTTGTGATACTTACAACTGATATTTTGGAGGTTTTTTTTTTAGGAGAATATGAGTCCTGGGGATTTTCATTTGGGAAAGTCCTAAAAATATATCTGTTGGGGAATCTGCCCCCATATTCACGTAGGTTCTTTTCTGTTTTCCTTAAGCGTTGGCCAGCTTGAGAAATAAAGGGACAGAGTACAAAAGAGAGAAATTTTAAAGCTGGGCATCCAGGGGAGACATCACATGTCAGTAGGTTCCGTGATGCCCCACAAGCTGCAAAAACCAGCAAGTTCTTATTAGGGGTTTTCAAAAGGGGAGGGAGTGTGCAAATAGGTGTGGGTCACAGACATCAAGTACTTTACAAGGTAATAGAATATCACAAGGCAAGTGGAGGCAGGACAAGATCACAGGACCACAGGATGGGGTGAAATTAAAATTGCTAATGAAGTTTCAGTCACCATTGTCATTGATAACTTCTTATCAGGAGACAGGGATTTTTTTTTTATATACTTTAAGTTTTAGGGTACATGTGCACAATGTGCAGATTTGTTACATATGCATACATGTGCCATATTGGTGTGCTGAACCCATTAACTCGTCATTTAGCGTTAGGTATATCACCTAATGCTATCCCTCCCACCTCCCCCCACCCCACAACAGTCCCCAGAGTGTGATGTTCCCCTTCCTGTGTCCATGTGTTCTCATTGTTCAATTCCCACCTATGAGTGAGAACATGCGGTGTTTGGTTTTTTGTCCTTGTGATAGTTTACTGAGAATGATGGTTTCCAGTTTCATCCATGTCCCTACAAAGGACATGAAGTCTTCATTTTTTATGGCTGCATAGTATTCCATGGAGTATATGGGCCACATTTTCTTAATCCAGTCTATTGTTGTTGGACATTTTGGTTGGTTCCAAGTCTTTGCTATTGTGAATAGTGCCGCAATAAACATATGTGTGCATGTGTCTTTATAGCAGCATGATTTATAGGCCTTTGGGTATATACCCAGTAATGGGATGGCTGGGTCAAATGGTATTTCTAGTTCTAGATCCCTGAGGAATCGCCACACTGACTTCCACAATGGTTGAACTAGTTTACAGTCCCACCAACAGTGTAAAAATGTTCCTATTTCTCCACATCCTCTCCAGCACCTGTTGTTTCCTGAATTTTTAATGATCGCCATTCTAACTGGTGTGAGATGGTATCTCATTGTGGTTTTGATTTGCATTTCTCTGATGGCCAGTGATGATGAGCATTTTTTCATGTGTCTTTTGGCTGCATAAATATCTTCTTTTGAGAAGTGTCTGTTCAAATCCTTCGCCCACTTTTTGATGGGGTTGTTTGTTTTTTTCTTGTAAATTTGTTTGAGTTCATTGTAGATTCTGGATATTAGCCCTTTGTCAGATGAGTAGGTTGTGAAAATTTTCTCCCATTTCGTAGGTTGCCTGTTCACTCTGATGGTAGTTTCTTTTGCTGTGCAGAAACTCTTTAATTTAATTAGATCCCATTTGTCAATTTTGTCTTTTGTTGCCATTGCTTTTGGTGTTTTAGACATGAAGTCCTTGCCCGTGCCTATGTCCTGAATGGTATTGCCTAGGTTTTCTTCTAGGGTTTTTATGGTTTTAGGTCTAACATGTAAGTCTTTTATCCATCTTGAATTAATTTTTGTATAAGGTGTAAGGAAGGGATCCAGTTTCAGCTTTCTACATATGGCTAGCCAGTTTTGCCAGCACCATTTATTAAATAGGGAATCCTTTCCCCATTTCTTGTTTTTGTCAGGTTTGTCAAAGATCAGATGGTTGTAGATATGCGGCATTATTTCTGAGGGCTCTGTTCTGTTCCATTGATCTATATCTCTGTTTTGGTACCAGTACCATGCTGTTTTGGTTACTGTAGCCTTGTAGTATAGTTTGAAATCGGGTAGCGTGATGCCTACGGCTTTGTTCTTTTGGCTTAGGATTGACTTGGCGATGTGGGCTCTTTTTTGGTTCCATATGAACTTTAAAGTAGTTTTTTCCAATTCTGTGAAGAAAGTCATTGGTAGCTTGATGGGGTGGCATTGAATCTATAAATTACCTTGGGCAGTATGGCCATTTTCACGATATTGATTCTTCCTACCCATGAGCATGGAATGTTCTTCCATTTGTTTGTATCCTCTTTTATTTCATTGATCAGTGGTTTGTAGTTCTCCTTGAAGAGGTCCTTCACATCCCTTGTAAGTTGGATTCCTAGGTATTTTATTCTCTTTGAAGCAATTGTGAATGGGAGTTCACTCATAATTTGGCTCTCTGTCTGTTATTGGTGTATAAGAATGCTGGTGATTTTTGTACATTGATTTTGTATCCTGAGACTTTGCTGAAGTTGCTTATCAGCTTAAGGAGATTTTGGGGTGAGACAATGGGGTTTTCTAGATATACAATCATGTCATCTGCAAACAGGGACAATTTGACTTCCTCTTTTCCTAATTGAATACCCTTTATTTACTTCTCCTGCCTAATTGCCCTGGTCAGAACTTCCAACACTATATTGAATAGGAGTGGTGAGAGAGGGCATCCCTGGGAGACAGGGTTTTGAGAGCAACTGGTCTGACCAAAATTATTAGGTGGGAATTTCCTCTTCCTAATAAGCCTGGGAGCGCTATGGGAGACTGGGGTCTATTTCACCCCTGCAGTCTCGACCATAAAAGACAGGCACACCTGAGGGGGCCGTTTATAGGCCTATACCTCTAGGCGTGTATTCTCTTTCCCAGGGATGTTCCTTGCTGAGAAAAAGAATTCAGCGATATTTCTCCCATTTGCTTTTGAAAGAAGAGAAATATGGCTCTGTTCCGCCCAGCTCACCGGCGGTCAGAGTTTAAGGTTATCTCTCTTATTCCCTGAACAATTGCTGTTATCCTGTTCTTTTTTCAAGGTGCCCAGATTTCATATTGCTCAAACACACATGCTGTACAGTTTGTGCAGTTAATGCAATTATTACAGGGTCCTGAGGCAACATACATCCTCCTCAGCCGATGGGATTAAGAGATTAAAGTAAAGACAGGCATAGGAAATCACAAGGGTATTGATTGGGGAAGTGATAAGTGTCCATGAAATCTTTACAATTTACTTTTAGAGATTGCAGTAAAGACAGCCATAAGAAATTATAAAAGTATTAATTTGGGGAACTAATAAATGTCCATGAAAACTTCACAATCCACGTTCTTCTGCCATGGCTTCAGCCAGTCCCTCCATTTGGGGTCCCTGACTTCCCGCAACAATATCTGCATTCCTCAGCACAAACCCTATGTCATAGCCTATGTACACTGCGCCTGTCATGGAAACAGGTTAACCTGATTTTCTGGTTTTAGTTACTGTCTTCAATCCCATCCCAAGTATGTAGCTTCTGAATAAGGGATGCCCCCAAAAGTTTTGTTTTTTTACTTTGACTAAGATGCAGAATTTTTCAAAGGGAGCAATAAGAGTGCTAGTTTCATTTGGGCAGGGCAATTTCTTTATAGATGTTCAGCATCCCTGGCCCCAACACCGTGAATGCCAGTAGGAGGCTCAAAAACTCTAACTGCAAAAATGAAAAACATCTTCACACAATTCTAAATGCATCCAAGTGGAAAATTCCCCTTAACTTAATCTTTTTTCTCTCCATTTCTTAGTTAGCTGTATTTAGTCAAGTAGTTATTTCTGTTTTGCTTAGGTTTGTCTTGTTTTTTTGTTTGTTTGTTTGTTTCCAGAAGGACATATCAGCATTATATTCCCCAAGTTTTTTCATGATTTTTAATGATTATGTTGAAAGACATTGATGTGGTTTGGCTGTGTCTCCACCCAAATCACATCTTGAATTCTAGCTCTCATAATCCTCACGTGTCATGGGAGGGACCCTGTTGGAGGTAACTGAATCATGGGGTCAAGTTTTTCCCATGCTGTTCTCATGATAGTGAATAAGTCTCACGAAATTTGATGGTTTTATAAAGGACGGTTCGCTTGCACACACTCTCTTGCCTGCTGCCATGTAAGATGTGCCTTTGTTCTTCCTTCGCCTTCCTCCATGATTGTGAGGCCTCCTCAGCCATGTGGAACTGTGAGTCCATTAAACATCTTTTTCTTATAAATTACCCATGCTTGGGTATGTCTTTATTAGGAGTGTGAGAACGGACTAATACAGACATCTTAAAATATCTGTGAGACACTTGATTCTAACCTTAGCAGTCTATACACATTCCTCTATATTCTTCTAACACTGAAAGTTGCCTTGCAGAAATATGACACAAACTTGCTACTTCCCTTCATATAGATGATCTGCTTTCTTCTACCTAGAGGTCTAAGAATGCCTTCTTTATACTTGAAGTTCAGTAACGAGCAGGTGCTTGCCAGTTTTTCATGGCTCTTTTCCTATGAGGAAAGTAGAAATAGTATTTCCCCATGTCATTATTTATACAATTATGAACAAACTGAAACTCAGAGATGGGCCTTTGCATAGTTGCTCACCAGTGAAACCCCAGGCTGTTAAAACTCCTGTTCTAAGCTTAACCACAACAGGTAGGTATCTATAGAAGTCTTCTTAGCCTTTGGAGTTCTGAGTCTTTTAAGTCTCATTCTGTACAAACGTCCACTAATTTAAGCAGTCTTGTGGGATTTTGATAATTTTCCTAATTTGTCTGTTTAAATCAAAGCAGATGGAACATTTGGACTATTTTTGTTTCTATGGCTTCCTGGCCCATTTCTTAATGTCTGAAAGCAGCTATCTTTAATCAAAGGTCCTACCCTCTCTTTCCTTCACCTATAATAAATTCTAAAGCTGAATGTATGTATTTGTATTTGTTTTTATCTTTTTCTCTTCCTGGGAGTTAGAAATTAATCATTTCAACAAATTCACTTTCCTGAAATCCTGTGGCATTTTATGCTCAGTTTGTAGCACTTACCATGCTATATTATGATTATACACAGGCCTGTCTCCTGTGATAGGTTGGGTCATCTCCAGACTAGGAATGATGATTTATTCATCTCTATCTGTCATTCTTTTCCTCTACCATCCACCACCACCCCCATACACCCCACATACCCTTTTGTGTTCATACCACGGAACAGGCACAATAAATATTCATTGACTTGAATCTAATTATTTACAAAATCTTGTTTAGGATCCTAGCATTTTGAGTGCTGGGAATATTTTAGAACTGGCCTTATATCCATGGTTTCTAAAGGAAAACGAGGCTCCAAATGTTTAATTATTCAAGAAACTGTTAAATCACATTATTTTCAAAAATGATAGTACCAATCTAACTCTGCAGGAGAGCACTTTCCATGGAAAATAATGGCTTTTAAAATCTAAATAAAGATACATGGCACATTCCACTATATTTTGAAAAAGAAATCTAATTTTATAGAACTTGACATGATAGATACAGGGGAAAATCTAAGTTGAAAACATAATTTTTCACAAATACACTTTGCATTCCAGTCTTGGTTTCTACTTCTCACAATTTAACATTGAAACACATACATTTCTATGAATAACATGTTGAACGTGCTATAGGTTCTGACCATCTGTGCAATTTATCCTTTGAAATGTTCCCTTGAATGTTGGAACCATTCCAGAACCTTCTACCTCTTGCCTATAAAATTGCTGTTGCAGAAAATTAGCCACACTCAAGATTTAATGGCTCTCGATCCTGCAGATTTCCAGAAATACCATCTTATTTTAAGTTGAATATCACTGAGGGAGAGCCTTGTTACACACTGATTCACAACATTTATTATACCTTCAGTTCTTTGTATAAAATGGGCCAGTTAGGAAAGGGGCTAAATGCTTTTGCTCTATTCTTCTTGGAATATGTGTGACTCAAGACCTAACAATAACAATCTCGGTAATAGTCCCAGACAACACTCCCATGACTTATTAAGCACCTACTGTGGACCAAGCTTTAGCTAAAAGCCCTAAGTACATCATTTTACTGAATCTTTACACCAATAAGGCTATCAGGCTCATTATACAGATTCATTTTACATACGAGGAGACCAAGACTCAGAGAGGTTAAGTAACTTTTCCAAGATCACACAGCTGGTCCATGGACGAAGCAGGATTAGAACCCTAAATAAGTGACTCCAGAGTTTATATCCTTAATCCTTTTGCCATCTGTCACCCACTACTATGCCCTGCTATAGACTATATTGGGCCAAAATCTAGAGACACAAATGAGCAGGCAGAGACCTAACCATGGTAGGAATTCAGGAGGTAAGACTGAAATTAGACAAGTGAGATGCATCCATTTTAAAAGTCACATAGCAGGAAAAAAAGTCATACACCTTTAAAAGACACAGGTGCATTGCACCAGGTGTGCCTGTTTACAATTTCCTCCACTTGTTTTGACTCTTGAACTCAGTTCTTGAAAACTACTTATTTGCCTTAGTGAAAGAGAATCACATTACATGCTGTAATTTGTAAAATTAAATGTCTCCAATTAAGAATATATGCATATATGCATCTTCTATTCTTTTTTTTTTTTTTTTTTTTTTTTTTTTGAGACAGAGTCTCGCTCTGTCGCCCAGGCTGGAGTGCAGTGGTGTGATCTCGGCTCACTGCAAGCTCCGCCTCCTGAGTTCACGCCATTCTCCTGCCTCAGCCTCGCGAATAGCTGGGACTACAGGTGCCCACCACCACGCCCGGCTAATTTTTAAAAATATTTTTAGTAGAGATGGGGTTTCACCATGTTAGCCAGGATGGTCTCGATCTCCTGACCTTGCGATCCGCCCGCCTTGGCCTCCCAAAGTGCTGGGATTACAGGCGTGAGCCACCGCGTCCAGCCACATCTTCTATTCTTTTTAGTTCAGGAGTAGGTGGGAATAGTAATAGTTCCACAGGCACAACTCTTCCAGGTGTGATTAGCTGTGTAAATTGGTCAATATCTGGAATGATGAAAGAATCAAAAGTTGAACATCCCAGCTGGGTGTGGTGGCTCACACCTGTAATCCCAGCACTTTGGGAGGCAGAGGTGGGCAGATCACCTGAGGTCACGAGTTCAAGACCAGCCTGGCCAACATGGCAAAACCCTATCTCTACTGAAAATACAAAAATTAGCTGGGCATGGTGGCATGCACTTGTAGCCCAGCTACTTGGGAGACTGAGGTGGGAGGATGGCTTGAATTCAGGAGGTGGAGGTTTCGGTGAGCTGAGATCACTCGACTGCACTCCAGCCTGGGTGACAGACCAAGACGCTGTCTTAAAAAAAAAAAAAAAAAAAAGTTTAACATCCCTGACGTGAGTCAGTAGAGATTGGGTAGAAGATATATTTAAATCTTTGTAGCCAATTGCAACTTTCATTCAATTATTATATTTCTTCACATGTAGTTGCACATTTGTGCCAGTTTTGTGAGGTCGTAAAATATAGTGCAGCCCCCATGGGCTGATGAATCAGATTGGTCTCACCTGGCACAGGTGGTGCCAGAGCCTATGCATAACAAGGCTGACTTCCAGGCATAGCAGCTTCCTGTGCTTTCAAAATGCAAGCACCTGCCACCTCCTCCTTCAAGATTTTGTAGAACAGATCCTTTTTCCTTTGAATTAAGTCTAGCCACAAATAGAAAGACTAAGAGCACATAGTTTGGCAGGATTCATAACTTTCTTCATTCATTTGCCCAACTTTTTTAAGTACCAGGAATGATGAGAAAGAAAAGCTAAAAGGAATTAGCATGGTTTGTTATGACAAGTATAACCAATATTGTATTAAAATAATCATTTTGGCATTGAAGAATTTATTAACTTATTAGCTTTGCAAAATCTTATTCCCCATAAACACCAGAAAACACATGTATATTCACATGAAATTTTCATGTGATGAACAATGTATTAAGATGCATTTAATTTGGTTTTAATATTACATTTCTACCTTAATACCATATCACCTCAGGAATTTTATTAATAGCTTTGAAATGTATCACGAGTTCTAAAGGAATAGATACTTTTTTTAAACTATGTCATTTAACCTGAATTGGCAATATCAGACAATTTAAAGAATAGTGTGATACTGTATGGAGTTCAAGTTCATGACAGAACATTTTTGTATTTTTAATCCTTGAATCCTTGAAATCATTAATATATCTTATATTCATGTGTAAAGTACCTGAAAAGCCATAACAATTTTTTTAAGTATTCCAAATTAAAAAAAAATCTAAGTAGGTTATTTTCTCTGGTTTTGTATTTCATTGATCATATCAAATGATGCAGTATTGGAAAGGACTGACTTTGAGATCTCACATAAGCAATGTTAATAACAAACAATTCTGCAACATGTTTGTGGGCAAATGAAAAATTAAAATTTTATTGTGTAAATATTCATAAGGCAAGAGATGTTATGTTAAAGTGAATTTTTATATACCTCAACTAGAGAAAGTAGACTTCACAGATGGGTGATAACAATACAGTTATTCTTCATATATGCATTGCATTATCCAAAAATTACACTGTGAACATAATTTTAAATTACTTAGTAAAGAATATAAGATTTGGGGCAGAGAAAGATGGTGCACCGATCATCTCCTCTTTTGCAAAGACGCCAAGTCAACAGCTATCTACACAGAAAAAAGCACCTTCATAAGAACCCCAAATCAGGTGAGCTCTCATGGTACCTGGTTTTAACTCCATATCGCTGAAAGAGGCACTGAAGAGATTAAAAATCAGTCCTGAATCACTAACGCCACCCCTCCCCCACCCCCAATGGTACCAGCATGGTAAGGAGAGCATCTCTGGGTGCTGGGGGAGGGAGAACACAGCAATTGTGAGGCACTGAACTCAGTGCTGTCCTGTTAGAGCAGAAAGGAAACCCCAACCAAATTCAGCTGATGCCTGCCCACAGAGGGGACACTTAAACCAGTCCTAGTCAGAGGGAAATTGTGGATCCCAGTGGTCTGAACTTGAGTTTCCACAAACCTCATCACCCTGGGCTACAGCACTCTGAGCCTCCAGGTAAACTTGCAAGGCAGTCTAGGCCACAAGGACTGCAACTCTTACAAGAGTCCCAGTGCTGAATTAGGCCCAGAGACAGTGGACTGGGGAGGGCAGGTGACATATTGAGAGACCAGCTGAGGCAGCCAAAGGAGTGCTGGCATCACCCCTCCTCTAACCCCAGGCTTACAACTCCAAAAGACACCCCTTCCTTTTGCTTAAGGAGAGGAGAGGAAAGAGTTGGAAGGACTTTATCTTGCATCTAGGATACCAGCTCAGCCACAGCAGGATAGGGCAACAGTCAGAGTTGTGAGGTCCCCATTCCAGGCCCTAGCTCCCAGACAACATTTCTAAACACACTCTGGGCCAGAAGGGAACCTGATACTTTGAAAGAAAGGACCCAGTCCTGGCAGTATTCATCACCTGCTAACGGAAGGGAAGGGCCCTTGATCCCCGAAAAGCCACCAGCAATACATGGGTACTACGTCAAGGACCTTAGCCTGTGAAAGTTTCTGGCTTCAGATACCACCACCACCTCAGCGGGGGTAGAACACCAAGTGGGTTCTTGGCAGCTCTGATTCCAGAACTTGAATCTTGGGTGGCAATTTTGGACCCGCCCTACCCCAGAGGGGAGCCCACTGCCAT
The DNA here is from genome assembly GCF_000001405.40 of Homo sapiens. Taxonomy (NCBI): domain Eukaryota; kingdom Metazoa; phylum Chordata; class Mammalia; order Primates; family Hominidae; genus Homo; species Homo sapiens. Next base: position 111,427,527 of record NC_000005.10, read on the forward strand.
GAAGGGTGAGCACCAGGACAGGTAACATTCACGACAAGCTGACATAAGTTGGGCCTTAAGGGAACATTGGCAGTAGTTTGGCATTCCTCGTGGCCTGAGGTGGTAGTGGCTATGGGCTGCTCTGCTTTTCAAAAGGGATGGAAAGAGTGGGAAGGACTGTGTCTTGTGGTTTGAGTGCCAGCTCAGCTGCAATACAACAGAATACCAGGTAGACTTCTAAGGTTTTTGACTGTAGTTCCTGACTCCTGGACAGCACTTCTGGACCCAGCGGGGGCCTGGGGACCTCACTGCCCTGAAGGGAAGGTTACAAGCCTGGATGGCTTTGCCACATGCTGATTGTAGAGCCCCAGGGCCTTGAGTGAATGTAGGCGGTAGCCAGAGTGTAGTTATAGCAGGGTTTGGGCAAGACCCAGCGCTGTGCTGGCTTCAAGTCTGGCCCAGCACAGTCATACCAGTGGTGGCCACAGGGGTGCTTGTGTCACTCCATCCCCAGATGTAGGTGGCTCAGAACAAACGGAGACTCTGTTTAGGAGAAAGTAAGGGAAGGGAACAAGAGTCTCTGCCTGGTAATCCAGAGAATTCTCCCGTATTTTGTCCAAGACCATCAAGGAGGTACCTCTACAAGTCTGCAAAAACCACAGTGTTACTGGGCTTGGGGTGCCCCCTGAAGTAGATACAGCTTAGATCACTACACCACGTCCTTTCAAATATCTGAAAAGATTCCTCAAGAAGAACAGCTACAAATAAGTCCACACGGTGACAACTACAATAAATACCCAATCCTTCAATGCCCAGATACCAAAAAACATCTGCTAGCATCAGCACTCTCCAGGAAAACATGATCTTACCAAATGAACTAAATAAGGCACCAGGGACCAATCCTGGAGAAACAGAGATATGTAACCTTTCAGACAGAGAATTCAAAATAGATGTGTTGAGGAAACTTAAAGAAATTCAAGATAACACAGAGAAGGAAGTCAGAATTCTATCAGATAAATTTAACAAAGAAATTGAAATAATTAGAATCAGGCAGAAATTCTGGAGCAGAAAAATGCAATTGGCATGTTGAAGAATGCATCAGAATCCTTTAATAGCAGAATGAATCAATCAGAAGAAAGAATTAGTGAGCTTGAAGACAGGCTGATTGAAAATACACAGAGAAGACAAAAGAATAAAAAACAGTGAAGCACACCTATGGGATCTAGAAAATAGTCTTAAAAGAGCAAATCTAAAGAGAAGGTAGAGAAAGAGATATGGGTAGAAAGTTTAATAACAGAGAACTTCCCAAACCTAGAGAAAGATATCAATATCCAAGTACAAGGAGGTTATAGAATACCAAGAAGATGTAACTTCTTGAAGACTACTTCAAGGTATTTAATATTCAAACTCCGAAAGGTCAAGAAATATCTTGAAACAAATGATAATGGAAACATGACATATCAAAACCTATGCGATACAGCAAAACAGTATTCAGAGGGAAGTTTATAGCTATATGTACCTACATCAGAAAAGAGGAATAACTTCATATAAACAATTTGACAGTGCACCTTAAAGAATTAGAAAAGCAAGAGCAAACCAAACCTAAACTTAGTAGAAGAAAAGTAATAAATATCAGAGCAGAAACAAATGAAATTAAAGTGAAAAAAAAGTGCAAAAGATCAGTGAAACAAAACGTTTGTTTCTTTGAAAAAATAAACAGAATTAACAAATCTTTTGCCAGACTAAGAAAAAAAGAGAGAAGATCCAAATAAATAAAATCAGAGGTGTAAAAGGATTCATTACAGCTAATACTACAGAAATTCAAAGGTAATTAGTGCTACTGCGAGCAACTACATGCCAATAAATTGGAATCTAGAAGAAATGGACAAGTTCCTAGATACATGCAACCTACCAAGATTGAATCAGAAAGAAATCTAAAACCTGAACAGACCAATAAAAAGTAATGAAATCGAAGCCATGGCCAGGTGGAGTGGCTCACACTTGTAATCCCAGTACTTTGAGAGGCCCAGGTGCTCTCTATTTGTTTGCTTGAGTTTAGGAGTTCCAGATCAGCATGGGCAACATGGCGAAACCCGATCTCTACCAAAAATACAAAAAAAATCAGCCAGGCATGGTGGTGTGCACTTATAGTCCCAGCTACTCAGGAGGCTGAGGTGGGAGGATTGCTTGAAACCAGGAGGCTGATTCATTGAGTCTAGATCACACCACTGCACTGCACTCCAGGCTGGGTGACAGAGTGAGACCTCATCTCAAAAAAAAAAAAAAAAAAAAAAAAAAAAAAAGCCGTAATAAAAAACCTCCTAGTAAAGAAAAGCCCAGGACCTAATGGCTTCACTGCCAATTTCTACCAAACATTTAAAGAATTAATATCAATCCTTCTCAAACTATTCCAAAAAAAAAAAAAAAATAGAAGAGGAGGGAATACCTCCAAACTCATTCTATGAGGCCATTATTTCCCTGATACCAAAACCAGACAATGATATATCAAAAAAGAAAACTACAGGCCAGTATCTGTGATGAACATTGATGCAAAAATCTTCAACAAAATATTAGCAAGCCAATTTCAACAATACATTAGGAAGGTAATCCATCATGACCAACTGGAATTTATCCCTGGGATACAAGGATGGTTCAACATATGCAAATCAATCAATGTGACATGTCATATCAACAGAATGAGGGAAAAAAACCATGTGATCATTTCAATTGATGCTGAAAAGGCATTTGATAAAATTCAACCTCCTTTCATGATAAAATACCTCAAAAACACTGGATATAGAAGGAACATACCTCAACATAACCATATATGACTGACCCACAGCTAGTATTATACTGAGTGGGGAAAAACTGACAGCCTTTTCTCTAAGATCTGTAACTCAACAAGGATGCCCGCTGTCACCACTGTTATTTAACATAGTACTGGCAGCCCTAGCTAAAGCAATGAGACAAGAGAAAGATATAAAGCGTATCCAGTGTGCAAGTTAAATTACCCTTGTTTGCTGATTATATGATCTTATATTTGGAGAAAACCTTAAGACTCCACAAGAAAACCATTCGAACTGATAAACAGATTTGGTAAAGTCACAGGATACAAAATCAACATACAAAAATCAGTAGCATTTCTATATGCCAACAGTGAACAATGTGAAAAAGAAATTTAAAAAGTAATCCCACCTAAAATAGCCACAAATAAAATGACATAGCTGGAAACTTACCCAAGGAAGTGAAAGATCTCTATAATTACAACCATAAAATACTGATGAAGGAAATTGAAGAAGACACCAAGAAATGGAAAAGTATTTCAAGTTCATGGGTTCGAAGAATCGGTATTATTAAAATGCCCTTACTACCCAAGGCAATCTACAGATTCAGTGCAATCACTATCAAAATACAAATGACATTCTGTACAAAAATAGAAAAAAACACTCCTAAATTTTATATGGAACCACAAAAGACCTAGAATGGCCAAAGCACTATTCTAAGCAAGCAAGCAAACAAACAAAAACAAAAAACAAAAAAACCACCTGGAGGAATCACATTACCTGACTTCAAATTATACTACAGAGCTATAATGACCAAACCAGCTATAGTGACCAAACCAAATTATACTACAGAGCTATAGTGACCAAAACAGACACATAGACAGGTGGAACAGAGCAGAGAACCCAGAAACAAATCTATACACCTACAGTGAACTCATCTCTGACAAAGGTGCCAAGAACATACACTGGGAAAAAGACAGTCTCTTCAATAAATTGTTCTGGGAAAACTGGATATCCATATGCAAAAGAATGAAACTAGACCCCTATGTCTTGCTGTATACAAAAATTAAATCAAAAAGGATTAAAGACTTAAACCTACAACCTCAAACTATGAAACTACTACAAGAAAACATGGGGAAAATCTCCAGGATATTGGTCTGGGCAAAGACTTTTTGAACAATACCCCACAAGCACAGGTAACCAAAGCAAACATGGACATGCAGGATTACATCAAGTTAAAAAGCTTCTGCACGGAAAAGGATACAGTCAAGAAAGTGAAGAGACAACCCACAGAATGGGAGAAAATATTTGCAAACTATTCCTATGACAAGGAATTAATAACCAGATTATAAAAGGAACTCAAACAACTCTATAGGAAAAAAATCTAATAATCTGATGAAAAATAGGCAAAAGATTTGAATAGACATTTCTCAAAAGAAGACATACAAATGGCAAACAGGCATATGAAAAAGTACTCAACATCATTGATCATCAGAGAAATGCAAATCAAAACTACAATGAGATATCATCTCACCCAGTTAAAGTGGCTTATACCCAGAAGACAGGAAATAACAAATGCTGGTGAGGATGTAGAGAAAAGGGAACCCTTGTACAACGTTGTTGAGAAGGTAAATTAGTACAATCACCATAAAGAACAGGTTCCTCAAAAAACTAAAAATTGAGCTACCATACGATCCAGCAATCCCATTGTTGGGTATGTACCCTAAAGAAAGGAAATGAGTATATTGAAGAGATATCTGCACTCCCATGTTTGTTTCAGCACTGTTTACAATAGCTAAGATTTGGAAGCAACCTAAGTGTCTATCAACAGATGACTGGATAAAGAAAATGTGGTACATATACACAATGGAGTACTACTCAGTCATAAAAAGAATGAGATCCTATTATTTGCAACAAGATGGATAGAACTGGAGATTATTTTGTTAATGAAATAAGTCAGGCACAGAAAAACAAACGTTGCATGTTTTCACTTATTTGTAAGTTCTAAAAATCAAATCAATTGAACTCATGGACATAGAGAGTAGAAGGATGGTTACCAGAGGCTGGGAAGTGTAGTAGGGGGTTCGGGGAAGGTAGGGATGGTTAATGGGTACCAAGAAAAATTAAAAAGAATGAATAAGGCCTACTATTTGATAGCACAATATGGTGATTATAGGCAATAATAATTGTGTGTTTAAAAATAACTAATTCAGTTATTTGTAACTCAAAGGATAAATGCTTGAGGGGATAGATACCCCCATTCTCCATGGTGTATTTACTTCACATTGCATGCTTGTATCAAAACATCTCATGTACCTCATATATATGTGTGTGTATATATATATATACATATATATATGTATATATGTGTGTGTATATATATATATATATATACATTTATGTATTTAAGAAACATTTATTAAGCACAAATATGTGCTAGACTTCAGAGCAAATTCTAGCCATTCCTTGGTATTTTGTGTCTATTTGTTGATATATACCAGAGATACTCATTTAGCTCATAATTCCAGTCATTCATTCACTCCTTTCATATATTATTTTTATAAACATTTGTCAAAAACCTACTAAATACCATGTCCTGTGCCTAGATTCTAAGAGTACAGAGATGAATAAGACAAATCCTGCTTTCAAGGAGTGTATTTTTACTTTGATAGGCAAGCACACAAATATGATGACAGCATTAAAATATTTGACTATGGATAAAAAGAATGTCATGGGAGGCAGAGAAAATGATTCATTTTGCTTATGAGACTAGAGGAAGATTTCACAGAGAAGATGGTATTAATCTGGGTTATAAAGTGTTCCAGTCACTGCTGATATGTTCACAGATTATCCTGTTTCCCATGTTAAAACAACCACTGTCTTATATTCATATATTCTTTGGGTCAGGACTGCTCCATAACATCTAGAGTCTAAGCCAACAAGACTCAAAGGTTTAAAAGGGCTTGATGACTGAGGAAGGAGTAATCTAGAGTTGTATTCATTCACACATCTGGAAGTTGATAATGTCTGTCACATGGAATCTCAGCAGGGACTGCTGATTGGAGCACAAGCACTACACTTGATGAAACTATGTTGCCCAGTTTTCTTGCAGCATGATAGTCTTAGGATAGTCATGCATTTTACAGGACAGCTCAGGGACCCAGAAATGAATATCTAGCAAACAAGATAGAAGCTGTATTGACTATCAAGACCTAACCTTGGAAATCACACATCATTATTTCCCCTGCATTCTGTTGGCCACTAACAAGTTACAATCCTACCCAGAACGAAAGGAAGGAAAATTAGACTCCACCTCTGGATGGGGAAGTGGTAAGATTCTGGAGGAGCATGTGGGATGAGTAATCCTCTTTCAAGAATCTCTATAAAATACATTTTTAAAAAATCATTATTAAGTACATGAAAGATTTACCCTCTGGAAACCAAGTAGAAATGTGTACAGCATGGCTTAGGAATAGTAAGTAAGGCTGTGTGGCTAGGGCATGGCAAGAATTGTCCCAGGATGACGCACAGCCACAAATTGGGGACAAATTTTGAAGGGCCTTTAATTCTTATAATGGAGAAATTAGACTTAAGCTTATAGCTAGTGATTTCAAGTGACTTGTTTTGTTTTTAAATCAATGATTGACATGAGTTAATTTGTGATTTAGAAAGATGACCTGGTGTTTGGATATATGGGGGTGCTTAAAAGACAAATGTAATAGTGCTGGCCTTGCGCGGTGGCTCATGCCTGTAATTCCAGCACTTTGGGAGGCCGAGCAGGCGGATCACAAGATCAAGAGATTTAGACCATTCTGGCCAACATGGTGAAACCCCGTCTCTACTAAAAATACAAAAATAGCTGGACATGGTGGCGTGCTCCTGTAGTCCCAACTACTCGGAAGGCTGAGGCAGGAGAATCGCTTGAATCTGGGAGGCGGAGGTTGCAGTGAGCCAAGATCGCGCCACTGCACTGTAGCCTGGCTACATAACGAGACTCTGTCTCAAAAAAAAAAAAAAAAATAGAGCCACTAGAGAATATGAAGGGCCTTACTAAGTAGTGACAATGTAAATGGGAAGAACAAATAGATATGAGACATATTTTGGAGGTAGGATTATGACTGATTGGCCAAGGCCGGTGAGGAAAAAGGAGGCATTAAGGATGACTCCAAAACAAGTAAGAATGTCTCAGGGGCCCCGAAGCTTGGCTACTTTGCCCGAAATAGATTCTTCTGGTCCTGGGATGCTCCATGGATCATGGCTTAGCACAGATTTCACAGCCAGACAGTCCTAACCAGGCCTGTTGAGCTGGTCATGGGAGATAGTAGTTCCTTATTGCTTTCTCGTATATTCTGTTGATGATTCTTAAGGCATCACAGAGTAGAGGTCAATGATAAAGACGATGGTAGTACCTACTAGGTCTCCAAAGCAGACATGACACCAAAATAGGGTATTCACTTTGAAGTTCCTACTTAAATTTATGTGTACTCACTCTAATTTTTTTGAGTAGAAAAGAGTAAATTCATGTAGTTTAATTTTTCTTTCCATCAAGAAAACTGTGGTCAGAATACTGTTTTCTTTCTGTAATGACTGTTTCTTCTTTGTCCTGTTAGATTTTTAAAGAGATTCAAACTTCCTCCTACCAACTCCTGAGACATTATCAATTAACCACACACAGCCCATTGAACACAGCATAGCTGTAATTAAACTAAATTACTATGCAGTAGCTTTCATTACACAATGAAACAGTTTTTGTTAGACCGTAGAGAGAGTTTAATTACATGTCTAGACACCCCCTGAATTCAGAGCAGCAGTCTTTGTCTCTTTTAAAAGGGAATTTGAGATTTTGGTTATTGCATTTTTTTAAAGACTAAATGGTAAGGTAAGATTGGAGCTTTTATATTTTTTAATTCCTCATTCTACTTTAATGCATATTTGCTTTAGGAATCATTTATACATTGGTGAATGTAAATTTTTCCAAGGAAAAACTACAAATTTTCACTCTTTGTCATGTTTGACATACCTTTTACTTGCATCCCAAAACTCTTTTCTTTCTCCAGTACATTCCAAATATCTACTCTTATTTTTTAATATTATTTAATATATAAAGTATATACTGTCATCTAAAGCACAGCCATCTTTCATAATGATATTTTCAGCTTCCTCATCCTAGTGAAAGAGCTCACCTCTTTGCCTGAGGATGGAGTAATTTCTTCATTCATCCTCAGTCCTGCCCAATCAGCTTCTCTGGACAATGCAAACAGTTCAGCCTGTCTGTAGGGCCAAGGTCAAGATCCCCAGGTTCTGCTTGGCCAGAGTGTGCAGACTCAGGAGCTTCCCTTTTTACTTTTGTGCTCCAATCTAATCTCTTCTTTCCCATTACAAAAATTTGCTTGCTGCTTCTTTCTCCTTAATTGTAGATCATTTTTGAACCTTTTCCCAAGCTTTGAAGTTTTTCCTGAATACCACCTTTATTTCATTAGCCAAACCTTTCCATAGCCTCCATTCCTAAATTCTCACCTTTTCTGAAACATGGGCACATACAGTGGAAATTAGAGAATGTCATAATCATGTTTATCCTCTTAATCTCAACATCTTCTCAGTTGCCTCACAACATATACTTGTTCTAACCTTATATACAAATAAATATTATATGCTGATTTGTAGATTGCACATAAATTGTTCCAGTTTTCTTTATATACTTTTATCCTGTCAGCATGAAATTTGTCTGTTTATATCTAGACACCTAGCTTTTTCTGTTCATTTTTTTGCATAATATCTAATTAAAAATAATAACCATTCACTTAATAAGGATTGCTACTGAAAACAAAGATAAGTGTTTCATTAAAATCTTAATTGAGTAAGGATTTCAGGTTTTGAATTGAATCTAAGAAAAGTAATGTAGGCAAAATGACATTTTCCACCAGTGCCATATAGTTTATCTTAGAAATACGTACTTAATATAGTTCTATGGCATGCATATGTATAAATAGACAGGAAAATAAATTTCTAATCCAATGAAAATATCCATGTTTCTCCACTCTGACTTAGTATGTAGAGGAGACTCATGCCACTGTCAGTGTGTTCTTTGTGACCTCTTCTCTTGTCTACTACTCTAACCTGACACCCCTGGATTCCCTACCCAGAGGCTTTCATCATTATCTTTCTACCAGCATCCTGTTCTTTTCCCCTATGACATTGCCATCCCAGCAAGTATTTTCCAGCAAAATGATGCTTCATTCTGAGACTTCTGGGCCATACCCAAATCCTAAAGCAACAAAGCACACACATAAACCTCAACTGCAGGGCCAGCAGCAACCTTGGCCATCTTCATTCTCACTACTGGAGTCTAACAGGATGCCTTCATTTATTAACAGATGCCTTTGAACTTGCCCACTTCTCCCTAGTGTATTATTACAGCTAGGTACATCACTACTTCTTTAGCCACTTGATTTTTAAGTCAACACATCAGTTTCGCTTTAATACACTGACCAGTACAATTTATGAAAAGTTTCAGACACAAAGGGTACTGAAGAGAAAACTAACAGCTGAATTTTCAACAGTCTTTCCCCAAACTCCCCTGAGGCAACGCTGTATTGAATATTCAGATCAACTTCAAAGCATGTGAAGAAATTAATTCAGCTATAACTACCAACATAATGCTACTATAGAACAAAAATGAATTAGGTAATGGTTTAAAATGTCATTTGGAAGATGAAATTCTTTCTTCTGATCTCGCAGTTAAAATATTCTTATCGGTTTTTGGCCTTTCTCAAAGTGACAAGGTAAATCTCATTTATCTCACTAATACTCAATAAGCACCACTGAGGTGACTAAGTATTATTATCTACCAAGAATAGTATATGTTTAATAAGTGCAAAGATGCTAAGAGCCATGCTTCTGCTAAAGATGATGAAGTGGCATTGCTGTGGACATAGATTGCCACGATGTAAGCACAGCATTTTCTATTTTAATATTTTAACTTCTATTACAAATGAATAACAACAAATGAATAAAAGGTCTAGATTACTATCACCTTTTGACTATAAGTTTGTGATTTAAAAAGTAGAACAATATGTGCATCTATAGGAAAATTGAGTTATTTATTAATCATTCAAAAGCGTTTACTGAATGCATAGTTAGTGTTAGGCTCTGTGAAGGAAATGTAGTATCTGGGGATTCTTTGTCTCTATGGAGTTCTCAGTCCAGTGGAGGAGGCATCCTGAATGGAAAGCCTGCAAAGAAACATACATGCTGTAAAGAAAAATAGGCAGCATCAATGAGAGGATATAAGAGCTGACACATATGTTACTTTGGAAGGATAGGTACAGTTTCCCTGAGGAAGTGACATTATAGCTAAGTCCTGAGGATGAGGAGAGCTGGCCAGATGAAGAAGTGTGAAAGGGCTCAGGCAGGGAACAGCCAGAGGTGAGAAAGAGATGAAGGATTTTGAAAAACTGAGAGAAAATCTGTATCAGAGAACAGAACAAGAGAGGGGAGAGTGACAGAATATGAGGCTGGAGAGGAGCATAGGAACCAGATCACCAAGACCTTGAAGGCCAGGATAAAGTCGTGGAAAACCATTGAAGACTTTCACAAGGAGAAGAAATGGCCTGATTCCCTGTGCTTTATGTAAAGAGTAGTGTGTAAAGTGGCATGCTGAAAATCAAAGCAAGTATTAAAGGGGCTGCTATGGCCATCCAGCTGGAGTACTGCTCATGAAAGAGACAGGGCCATTCTGGAGACATTTTGGAATTAAAGTTGAAAGAACTTAATTGTGAATTGGATGTAGATGGCGAGGGAGAGAAAGTCAATTTTTGACTTGAACACTTAAGTTGATGGAGAGATTACGTTTTCAGGTGGAAGAAATTGGAAGAGGGCAGGGAGGTCGAGAGTGCTGCTATGGACATGATAAAGTTAACGTGCCCACAAGATATCCAACTGAAAATGAGACAAGGCAGTTGGATAAATGATCTTGGAGCTTAAGAAACAACATTGAATTGGAAATCCTTTTAAGATACTGTCATGGAATGACCTTTAATTCTCAAACCGCTAGCAATGTAATTACGTAGTATGTTTAGTTAATGTGAGAATAGATATAGTTGCCAGCTAAATGTACCCTGTATCTGTCATATTCAAATCACATCATTTGTAGCAAACATGTGGTATTCAGGATTAACAAATATATGAAATGCCTGCCACTTAGAGAAAATTTATTGTAAAAAATTATCCAAGTAATCCGTAAGTGTTATAGTTAAATTTTATATAAAAAATTTAAGATTAATCATAATTTTTTACATTCATGTATACTCCTTTATGCTATAAAAAGTAGCAGAAGGAAAGAGTAGACAAATGTGCTCAAAGAGTTTACAGCAAAAAAGAAGACTAGGAGAACAAACACTGTAAATGTTCAATTTAGGAAGTGGAGTCAGAAAAATAATCATTTATTTATTCATACACTTAACAAATGTTTATTGGGCATCTACTGAGTGCCCAGCTCCCTTTTAAACTTTAAAGCAAAATTACAGACTGCAGTATTTTGTTTGGCCTGTGCAGGATTTAACATTTTTCAACTTAGTTGCCAACATTTAAAATTTGGAATATTTTACATCAAAAGAATCTTAATTTCTGCCTCGCCTTGAAAAATCAGAAGAGCTAACAACCTGGGGTCTGCATCCCACCTGACCACAGTTGGCTGAACCGGAGTAGCCTTTGCCTCTTAAAGGGTCATGCTCTCTCCACAAACAGGCACAGTCCCTACAACTTTCCAATGTCTCCCTTTTATTTTACTCCATGCCTACCTCCTTCATTCTTTTAGGGTATCTTCCTCGCCCCTCGAGAGTTTGTGATCCCTACTCAAGAGCTACACAATCAAACACAACATTGCTGCTGCCCTGCATGCTGGAAACTTTGGAAAGATGCTGAAGGTTATAAGCAGGGGAGTGCCATATCTAGATCTTTCTACTCTTGTGGCAGTGCGAAGCAGGGACTGGAGGAGGTTAATGCTGGAAATTGGGAAGCTGACAGCTAAGCTGGTTATTAGAGTAATTAAGAGGGAAAGCATGCTAGTGGCCTGGCTGGAGGCAAGGGCAGTAAGCAGGGAAAGGAGGTGGGGATACACAAGCCACTAAGGAGGGAGAGCCTACACATCAACACAGATTGGGTGTGTCAAATAAAGGAGATGAAGGAATAGGATAAATTCAGGTTTCTGGCTTGGTCAATTGGATCGTATCATTTGTAGGGATTGGGAATACAGGTACAGAAGAAGCAGACTTAGGGTAAACTATGAGTTTAGTTTTAGAAATGTTGAGACTGGAGCACCAATGAAACATTCCAATGGAATGTAAAGTAGAAAGTTGAATGGAGTCCAGAGCTACAGGGAAGTATAGGCAGGCAATAGAGATTTGGGACACAGTGGAATAAGGGGTAACTCAATTTGTGGTTTGGATGAGCTCACCCTGGAAACACAGAAAAAGCAGAGGGTCCTAAGCAAGTGGAAGACCTGGAGCCAGGGAAGGAGGCTGAAAGAACAGAGGAGTCAGGAAAGCCAGGCTGCTGATGCCAGGAACACTGGCCTATGAGAGTCTGAAGGAGAGACTAGCCAATGTAGTCAGATGTCTTTGGGTTGAGAAAAATGAGTCAGAACAGGGTATTGGGTTTGATAGGACAAAAATAAGATTATAGTGTGTTAAAGAAACAAAAATGAAGGGAGACTACATTTTCAGGAAATTGGCTGACTAGAATAGGAAATAATTGAGTATAGCCAGAGAAAGCTGGGAATATGTGGGTTTGAGAGAATATGGAGGTAGTGGTTGCTTTCTTTTTCTTATTTCTCTTTGAGGACCATAGCTCCTAGTCTAGAGCATACTAATGTGATGCAAGGGAACAAAGAGGAAATGGAGAGGAAGAGGTAAAGAGAAGGCAGGAGACATGGACCTTGACTCAGGAGTCAGGAGGGCATGGGATGAGATCCAAGCAGCACTAAGGGATGGCTCTGGAAGAACTACAGAAAATCCCAGGAGAACTGAGCATAAACAAAGTAACAGGACTGGAAGTGCAACTGTTTATCAATGACAAATATTATTTATTTTAGAAATTTTTTGTTACGTAGTTGACAAAACTATAGTAAGAATGTTTCAAATCCTAGTCACCACAAACTGTTTCTTTTCTAACACCTAAACTTTCTTACTGTAAACTATAAACACATACAGAGAAAATTCAGTACACATTTCACTGAGACCTTTTTCAAGAGTGAAGAAAGACATAAATATGACATATTCTATTTATAAGTTATATTGCATCATCTTGGGTAGAAGATTTGTGGCAAATTAAATGAAAAATGCATACAAAATTTCTATTAAATTAGAAAAAGGAATCAAAAGCCAGGTAGAGGAAGGAAGAGGTAAACATATCCAAACTCAGCTATTTACTGTAATTGAAACCTCTTTTTCACTGAGATTTTTGGCAGCAAAACAGAAGGAAAAAATATGAATTATAAAGCAAGTATTTTCTGATCAAAGTATCCTTTGAAACTTTAGAAAAGAGCAAGTTTTCCAAGTCTCAAAGGATTGCTCAATGTGATGTATTTTACAAAGGATGTGAAATAGCAAGGATAGAGTCCGAATAGCTACCATTTACACATAGAATATCTACTACATGCTCATAACATACTAAGTAATTACACACCTCATTTCTAATTCCCACTACAATCTGCAAAGTGGGCGTTGCAGATGAGAAAACCGAGGCTTAGAGGACAGATAAATTGCTTAAGGTCACATAGCTAACAAATGATATACTTTGGGCATATTACCCCAAAGCACCACTCATGAAGTCTTTCTTTAATAATTGTTTCAGAAACAATGCAAAAAAAATCTCAATATACGTATTTCTGTCAACCCATGATCAAGACTGAGGGCAAGATATTTAAACAGAACTTAGCAGAGATATGCCTTTGGCAGCAAATATTGCATTTATTTTATAATATATATTAAAAATATGTTAGTCTCTCTCAACTACTCTGCAGATAAAATTATATTTCTGTCTTATGCTTTTTAAAAATATAACACACTTAAAATATGAGCCAATAAATTAATTGTGCATCCCTGACTCCTACTATTTCTTTTCCTCCTCTTCCTTATTTTTATTCCTTAAAGTTTTCATTAACTTGTATACCCCTGGTTATTTGCTTTTGTAATTTCTTTATTAAAGGTTAGCATTTGTCAAGATAACCTTTAGAAGTAGGGTGCTACAATTGTCAGATTTGTTGTTTCTGTCTCCATTAAATTGTTAGACTGACATAGCAGATTTTAAAAATCTTCTCCCCAGTTCTTCTCCCCAGTTTATGGTTTGTTTTTTTCTGTTTTCTTGCATGTCTTTGCTTTACTTTAATTATGATTACATTGAACACATGGTTTATTCTAGAATACCCAGTTACCATGTTTTTATTCTTTCTAGTGCATTTATCTATTTATGTTAATCCCCATGATTTACATAATCTGTAGCTAAAATCAACAATATCTTGGTAAGATATGTTTCTCCATGATTAGGTATTTCTTTGTCAGCTCTATAGATAGCATTAATATGATATCATAAAATATCTTTGCACATTTTCCCATGACCACACAATCTTTAGCAGCATGTTTTATTCTTTATTTTCTTTTCCTCGTCTCTATGTACGGTGATTGTGAAGTAATGAGATTAGTGTTGATGATATTAGAAGTGTGTATTTCATTTAAAAATCAGTTTTAAAATAAAGGGAAGCCTGCCTATTATTCAGCTCTTTAAATTGATCTTTTTATGTCTTCAGATGCTCCAAGATAGCAGTTTTCAAAGTCTAGTCTAGGCTAGGCATCCCTGGAGGATCCTGATATCCTGTTAGGGGGTTCTGTGATGTCAAAATCATTTTATCATAATATGAAGGCATCTCAGTCAGGTGCTGTGGCTCATGCCTATAATCCCAGCACTTGGGGAGGCCGAGGCAGGTGGATCACCCGAGATCAGGGGTTAGAGACCAAGCTGGCCAACATGGTGAAACCCTGTCTCTACTAAAAATACAAAGAAAATTAGCTGGGCATGGTGGCGCGTGCCTGTTGTCCCAGGCACTCGGAAGGCTGAGGCAGAAGAATCGCTTGAACCAGGGAGGTGGAAATTGCAGTAAGCCAAGATCGCACCACTGCACTCCAGCCTGGGCGACAGACTGCGTCTCAAAAACAAACAAACAAAAAACCAAAACATATATATATATATATATATATATATACACACACACACATACATACAGTGGAATTTTCCAGAGGCTACATGGTGTGTGATTTTATACCAGACAATGCAGAAGCAAATATGAAAGTCTAGCTGTTTTCTGTTAAGCCAGAAATTAATGAAATTTACAAAACTGAAAGACTAGCACTCTACTAATTTTTTGTTTTAGAAAATACAGTTATTTTTATTTTAGAATGTAGTATATTTTAACAAATTTTAAAATATAAATATTATATATCTTATTAACATAATATTAATATATTTAATATTTTCAGTTATATTTTTAAATATTTTAATAAGCAATGTCATGAGCTTATTGCTTTTTCAAAATTAATAGGCATTTTAATTTATTAATTTAATTTTCATTTTAACTAGTAATACAGTAAGTCTTGCTTGATGTAACTCACATAAACAAAAACTCTTTGGGGTTTCCAACATTTTTTTTGAATATAAAGGGTTACTGAGACCAAAAAGTTTGAGAACATGTGCTCTAAAAGAGTGTTGATCTTTCTAATGTTTGTATCTTTTTGGGAAAAGAAAAATCATACTTCACATTTTCCTTCTACCTGTCTTCCTGACTTGAGATAATGTAAAGGTTAGAAATTCTATTGGTCAAAGTTTATCAGGGGATGTAAACAAAAATGAAATAGTGACTCCTGACATTTTATCAGTCAGATATATTTAAATGCCTCCCCCTACCATATATATATATATATATATATATATATATATATATACACACACACACACACACACACACACACACACACACTATATATATATACTATATATACTATATATATACTATATATATAGTATATATATATGAATATATCATGACTTTTGATAATCTTTCTACACCAAGTAATGTTTAGCAAATCATCTCTGCATGTCTTTTTAAAAGCCAAGATCATGACCTTTAGCATTTAATTGCTTTGTTTTGTTTTAAAGCTTGTTCCTTTGGTAGTGTATAGCTCCTCGTTCTAGTATTTTTCTCTAAACTTTCCTTCCTTTATCTAGTCTAGTTCTCCTTTATGGAGTGCCAAATGATGTTTTCTTTTTTGTTGTTTTTGTTGCTGTTGTTTAACTTGCACTTAGAACGCAACCACCTTTTCGTTTCAAGAAAGCCAGAACAACATTTAGTGAGGATCTTCATATAATTAGTTCTTTGCTAAACAAAACTTACCAGGTCATTTCATTTGTCTTTGTTACTGTGTTCCTATGTTTAGCGTCATTTTCTTCTCAACACAATGGAGTTTCTAAATTGGGTAAGATTAGGGGGAAAAATCAATATGTTCCGTTAGTCCCAAACTATGCAATTCTTAGATATGTTCCAAAGGTACTATATGAGATATTCTATCTATCTTCCCCTTCAAACTCAGCTTATATCAAGATACAGTATCTTCCTTCTTGGGGACACCGCATGTTTTCCCTGGGTATCATTCGTGGTCGAGCATGCTCCTCTGTCATTCTCTCATTTCTCTTCCTACCT
Source organism: Homo sapiens (assembly GCF_000001405.40). NCBI lineage: Eukaryota > Metazoa > Chordata > Mammalia > Primates > Hominidae > Homo > Homo sapiens. The sequence continues at coordinate 111,444,036 of NC_000005.10, forward strand.
TCATTACCTTCCTTTCCAGTATCCTCCCCTCTTTTCCTTCGTTGTTATTTTTCTTTTGTTCCCTCACCTTAATCAATCAAGTAACAAATGTTCATTGAGCATCTCCTTGGGAATTATGTAATAGGCAAGACGTATGTGCTCTACAGCCAGATGCCTGAGTCTGAATCCCAACTCTAGTGTGTAGTTGTGATACTGTACAGATTTCGTAGCCTCTTTGTGCCTCAGTTTCTTCATTTGGAAAACAAATATTAGACGACTTACTGGTTAGAGCTGTTGTGAAGATTAAATGAGTCAACAGGTATAAGGTATTTAAAATAGAGCTTAAAATACAGTAAGTGTTTAAAACATGTAAGAGCCTCAGGTGCCACTGTCACAACCCTCACACTCTGCTTTCTGTGATGCTAAGGTGGTATCCCCTGGCAGGAAACACTCCCATGAAGAGTTTCTTCATGGAGACTCATGTCTAATTCCTTCCTGCAGAATCCACACTGGGCCCATGAGAAATGTACATCCAGCTATTATTTGAGAGTAGCTGAATCTCCCTGAGGCCCTCTCTGCATTCTCTTGCTGCAACTATCCACTCTTCTTTCCATTTTCATGCATGAGCCAGTTATCTGTTTCCCCAAATCACGAAGCCATCTTGAAACTGTACCTCCCCAACCCCCCTTACTTGGCTTAAGTATAAAAGACTCCTTGCCTTCCCACATGAGGTAGGAAACGAGAGAGAGTATAGCACACTGGAAACTTTTTCTCTTAAACCAACAGAAACATGGGCAAATGTTATGAACAGGAAATTCATGGAAGAGGAAAACTGATTGACCGAGAAGCTCAACTATGCTAGTGAACAGAGAAAGGCAAATTAAACCAAACTTAAGACACAATCTTTGCACTCCAGCTCAGCAAAAGTTAAAACTACAGATTTAGCAAAGATATTAACATATATGCATACATTGTTTGTGTGAGTGAAAATTGATGGAGGCTTTTAGGAAAGTGATTTTGAAGTGTGTATTAAAATAAAAATGCTGTATGCCTTGACTCCACAACTGCACCTGCTTCCAGGTATCTGTCCTAGAAAAATACCAGCAGAAACACTCAAATATTCAAGTGCTGGAATGTTTATATTGTATTACTTGTAACTTTTTAAAAATTGAAAACAACTTGAATGTCCATTAAAAATGAATAAGTAAATTAATTATAATAAAAGATGCAAGAATTCAATAGAATACACTAAACTGATACGAAGGTAAGCCTTCAAAGATATTTTGTTAAGCAGAAAAAAAGCCACCTAAAAATTGTATTAATGATATATATAAGTAGGAAAATGGAGGAAACCAGGGATATTACCTTGTGTATATACATATGTAGTCTTTTTTTTTGGTTTGGTTTTTTGTTTTTGTTTTTGTTTTCTTTTGAGACAGGGTCTTGCTCTATCACCCAGGCTGGAGTGCAGTGGCATGATCATGGCTCACTGAAGTCTTAACCTCCTGGGCTCAAGTGATCCTCCCACCTCAGCCTCCAGAGTAGCTAGAACTACAAGGCATGCACCACCATCCCTGGCTTTTTAAAATTTTTCATAGAGATGGGCTCTTGTTATGTTGCCCACACTGGTCTCGAACTCCTGGACTCAAACGATCCTTCCACCTCGGCCCACCGAATTGCTGGTATTACGGTCATGAGCCAGTGTAATATACAGATGTCCTGAATATTTGATATATGTAAAGAAATCTGTTCATATAAACAAGTGACTCAGAACCTAGATTCACTAATGCCTAGAATGCTTTTTCTATGCATTAGTGAATCTAGCCCAGTGTATATAGACTCGTTTGTAAATGCATAGAAAAAATGTTCAAACAAACTTTTTGGGAAAAAACGTTTCAAACTGATGAGGGATTACTTTTGAAGAGGGGACTGGAACTGGATCTGGGGGAAGGGAAATCAGGTAGGACTTCAGCATTTACAATGAGAATATGTTGCATGTATGCTTATACGTGATTTTACAAAATAATTTAAAGTACAATAAAATGAGCAGAGTTGCTAGATGTGATCTTTGAGATTCATCTCAAATACAGCTTTCAACATCTATATTGACAGTTAGATTTACTAATTCTCAGAAGAGCCTATGAGTGCATCCATCATTATCAAACAGTATTTGTCTTGTTAAGGATAGTTCTCTATAATAACTCACATCTATATGTCTAAAATACTCACATCTATATGTCTGCTCAGACAATAATTATGAAGTCTTTGCTATACAGGTTTATAAGATCACACATCCAATTACGCTTTTTAGATAATAAGCCAGACAAATTTCAGTACACAGCACCTTGACATCATTATAGTAATTAGCTAATTCCAGTTGATATAGTAATATGCATAAAGAGAATTGTAACTAATATTAGCTGAGGAGTAAATATTTCATTCTGGGAATAGATTCTATACAATTTAAATTGCATCACATTTAGGTAACTATTTATAAAGTATTATTTAATGTATACAGTTTAAAACAGATTTTCCTTTATGGTACTTATTGTTAAGTCATACTATGTGTGTTCTTGAATCACATAACTTATAGTTCTTAAAAGATTAAGTATAGACATTCGAACCATAAATAGCATTACACAAATGTTATTTCATTATTTTCCCTCTTTAGTATCTACATGAAAATGGGATTGTCCATCGTGATCTCAAACCAGAGAATCTTCTTTATGCAACTCCAGCCCCAGATGCACCACTCAAAATCGGTGAGAACATTTCTTCTTGTTTTGTGACCCCTTTTTTCAGAGCAGAAAAAATTTTACTGTGTGGAATTTTTAAATATTGCTCCATCCAGTTTTACATCCATTCAGTTTTCCTGAATAATTGACATCTGTAAAGGAAATAATATGTTGTTTTGGAAGTTTTTGCTCTTTCCTGGAATGTTTATTTGGAAAATATTGCTTAGAAGTTAGTATTCTGTTGCTGGGCACACAAAGGAATCACAGCTTAGAAATGGCAAGGACCACAGGAGATGACCTTGTATTTTGTAAATAAGTTTATAGTGAACAAAATGATAGAAAAAGTAACACATCTTTTGGAGATATTAACTTTTATTCCACAGATTGCTTGGAGCTTAATTTTAGGTAATAAAGAACTTTGACATAAAATATTTAGCACATATTAGTGAGTCTAGGCTTTGAGTCGCTTGTTTATATGAACAGAGATAAATTAAGATCTGCCTTTCCCAAAATGCACTCCATAGAACACTGGTTTCTCAGCAGGGTAGATGAGGATGGGAGTGATTCACAGAAATGCTATGGCTGATCAACTAAGTTAGGAAATGCCAACTTTAAAAAAGTTAAACAAGATTTGTATTTCTGTAGGACTTTCCAGAACCTTTAACCTGTTAACATATAAATTTACATATTATATCATATTCTATGAGACTTTTTTAAAATTTTTACCAATAAGCATTTTGAAAAACTATAAAGGTGAACTTTGGGAAATTCTGATCTACCCAAAGAAACCTTTAATTAGCACTTTAGAAAAAAATAAATGTTACTTTCCAAGTATCTTCCAAAGCAAATCTTCATTTCAAAAAATATTGTAAACTTTATTTTCGATGAATTCTCACTAGTGGAATCTTCATTAAATCCTCTGAAGGGCATTGCTCTTCTGGTGCCTTCCTTATCGTGCTAATCTGCGAAGTTCACTGCATTTACAGATGTTAACACCTTTAACAATTAAGTTGTTCATATCAGGGAAGAGCTCAGATAACATAATGTGCTTTATGAATGCAAGAACCTAAGGAAAAAATCCTGAAAGTCCTGCTGGGCAGCCAGCTTGTTCTCATAATCACTCCTGTAAGGCAGGGGACAGCAGGCAGTTTCCATTTCCTTTCACATCACTTTCAAAGATTTAATCCTTAAAGCAATTTCTTTAAATGGATGGATAGATACTAATTTAGGCAGGAGAGGTTTTCTTTCTGAAGGGCTTCCTGCTGCTTCCACTGATAAGGATCAGGCACCTGCCAGGAAATGTGGGTTTATCTTTGAAGTCTAAAATGGAATTCATTCTGCACCTGCCTCTCTTGAAGAATGCCCTTGAATGGTTTCCTGATGTTTCCTGAGTGCAAGCGATATAGCTCAGCAAATAGTTCATAATGGTAGCAACTTTCGATAATCTTTTACCTAGGTAATATTCTGAGAAATAAATAAAAAGGATTCTTACCAAAAAAATCTTATAGTCTTCTTATGAGAGTAAATTCTTATAAGTGAAATACATTGGAGACTGAATGTATTTTCAAGCTGAACAAACCTTTTGATGTTTCTGTTAATTCTCGTGTCACTGATGAAAGTCTATTTTTTTTCTCCTCTCTGTCAATAAATTGAAGATTCTGGATTATATCATTAATTCTGTATTGTCCCTTAGAGTTACTGTTACATAAATTTCAGAAGTAACAACATTAGACAAAATATAACTATTGCAACTATTACTTTAAGAAAAAATAGCTTGGCTGGGCGCGGGGGCTCACACCTGTAATCCCAGCACTTTGGGACTGAGGTGGGTGGATCACGAGGTCAGGAGATCGAGACCATCCTGGCTAACACGGTGAAACTCCGTCTCTACTAAAAATACAAAAAAATTAGCCGGGTGTGGTGGCACGTGCCTGTAATCCCAGCTACTTGGGAGGCTGAGTCAGAGAATTGCTTGAACCCGGGAGGCAGAGGTTACAGTAAGCCGAGATCACGCCACTGCACTCCAGCCTAGGCAACAGAGCAAGATTCTATCTAAACAAACAAACAAACAAAAACAAGAAAGAAAGAAAAAAATTGCTTATTTGCTGAAAGCGGGGAATTGTACAGAAGAACAAAGATTAAATATAGATTTATTTGTAAATGTATTTGGAAGTCATATTTTTCTCCAATTTAAAGAAACACATGGATTGTTTTCTTTAGCTTCCTGTTGGGTGACTTGTTCCCACCCACCTTCACCCCATCATCAAATACAAAAGAAAGCAAATAGATAAATAAGTTAGTTTTATTTTTGAATAACAAATATTTTGTCATAAAAGCTGAGAAGACGTGCTTCATTAAATTTTTTTCTTGTGTTATTAGCTGATTTTGGACTCTCTAAAATTGTGGAACATCAAGTGCTCATGAAGACAGTATGTGGAACCCCAGGGTACTGCGGTATGCTCTTTAATAATTATATTTTACTTTTATTGTTATTTGAAATGTATTTTTGTTTAGCAATCTCATTTTTAAAAATTCCTAATATTTCTATTTATAAATGCTTAAAATTTGTTGCAAATCTCTATGAGGAAGGCATACATAAATAATACTCAGATCACTTCTTGTTTTCTATGAGAGGTTCAAGGATGTTGGTTTTAGGGCACTGCTGTTAGAATGCCTTTGAGCCAGTGGCTACTCTTAGACCCACTGGGCAGCAGAAAGACCATCACCACAGAGGGCAAGGAAACACCATCGTTTATAGTTGGAATTAAATCCATGGGCCCTTTGTCACTTTTCTTTGCTTTTCCTTGGATGGAGAGTGTGTGTTTAATTCAGATGGCATATAGGACGATGGTGAGAATGGGGTGGTCCCTAGTTCTTTCCATGGCCTGGCCTAGCCTCACTAAGACAAGGACTTCAGGTGAGATTTTCCTAGAAGAGTTCTCCAGTCCCTGCAGATGGACCACAACTACGTTGAGCTCTTCACATCTTCCCGCCTCATCGCCCAGAGTGGGCTGAAGGCATTGCAATCAGAAAGAACAAAAGCTTTTGACCCATACTAGCATAAAACCTGCTCTGTTTTTCTTGATGGTCAAATTAATTTGGCAACAACTTGAAAGCCAATAAAGTTTGTAAAAATTATCAAGAATTCCTAAAATTGTTGTGATTATTGAATATGTCACAGATCAATTAAAATTCTAATCTAAATTATAAAGAAAAAAGACAAGATTTCAAGTTATCAATCACAAGATTAGTGATCCTTTTCTCTTAGATCAGAATATTTTTACACAGGCCAGGTGTGGTGGCTCATGCCTATAATCCCAGCACTTTGGGAGGCCAAGGTAGACGGGTCACTTGAGGTCAGGAGTTCAAAGCTAGCCTGGCTAACATGGTAAAACCCTATCTCTACTAAAAAAAAATAAATAAAATAAAAATTAGCCAGGTATGATGGTGCACACCATAATCCCCAGCTAGCTCCTCAGGAAGCTGAGACAGGAGAATCCCTAGAACCCAGGAGGCGGAGGTTGCAGTGAGCCAAGATCGCACCACTGCACTACAGCCTGGGCGACAGAGACTCCATCTCTAAAAACAAAAACAAAGAGAATATTTTTACACAAATGTCCTTTATTTCAATTCATCTCTTCAGTGAACTGTTAATCACCTACTGTGTAGTCAAGCCAGTGTGTGGCACCAGGGAGATGCTTTTCCTGCCCTTACACCCACACTGGGGGCTCACAATCTACAAGAAAACAGACATGTGGCCAGATGCGGTGGCTCATGCCTATAATCCCAGCACTTTCGGAGGCCGAGGTGGGTGGATCACCTGGGGTCAGGAGTTTGGGACCAGCCTGGCCAACATGGTGAAACCCCGTCTCTACTAAAAATGCAAAAAATAACCCGGCATGGTGGCAGGTGCCTGTAATCCCAGCGACTCAGGAGGCTGAGGCAGTAGAATCCCTTGCACCTGGGAGGTAGAGGTTACAGTGAAGCAAGATTGCACCATTGCACTCCAGTCTGGGTGACAAGAGTGAAACTCCATCTCAAAAATAAAAGGAAAAATCCAGAAATGCAAACCAAGAAATTATAGCGTCTTAAGAAATATTGTGTTGTATGTATCGAAAGCCACCATGGAAACATAGAAGAAGGGTGATATTTTGAATTATCTGTCTTGTTTTCTATAGCGCTTATATTTGAGGTCACCCCTGCCCCAGAAATAGACAAAGAAGTACTACAAAACTAACTCCTTTTAACAACTTTTGAAATCATAAAAATCAGATAGGCGAAGTGCGATAATATATTCATTGAAGCATATATGTGATTAAATCCATAGAATTTTAGTGCTGGAAGGAACTTTAAAGTTCATTTATTAACATTCTAATCTTATTAAGTTCAGAGACTTTGACTTCACCAAGATTCCACATCTAGTTGTTAGTGGCTCAGGAATAAGAATCCAGGTATCCAAGGGCCTAAAAATCATAGAATTTCCCTGTACTATAGGGAAATTTATATATTTATAAAACTATAAATCAATATAGTTTTATTCATAGAAGTATTTATCAATTATTGCTTTTATTTTAAAATCTTCATTTTAATATATATATATTTTTTGAGACAGATCTCGGCTTATAGTAACCTTTGCCTCCCGGGTTCAATTGATTCTCATTCCTCAGCCTCCCAAGTAGCTGGGATTCCACCACACCCAGCTAATTTGTTGTATTTTTAGTACAGATGGGGTTTCGCTATGTTGGCCAGGCTGGTCTCGAACTCCAGGCCTGAAGTGATCCTCCAGCCTCGGCCTCCCAAAGTGCTGGGATTACAGGCATGAGCCACCATGTCCAGCTCATTTTAATTTTTTATACCTCAAAAGTATTACTTGGCCAGGTGCAGTGGCTCATGCCTATAATCTCAGCACTTCGGGAGGCTGAAATGAGAGGATTGCTTGAGGGTCAGAATTCAAGACGAGCCTGGCCAACATGGTGAAAAAAAAAACAACAACAAAATAATTAGCTGGGCATGTTGGCATGTACCTGTTGTCCTAGTTACTCAGGAGGCTGAGGCAGGAGGATTGTTTGAGCCCAGGAGTTAGAGGCTGCAGTGAGCTATGATTTTACTACTGCATTCCAGCCTGGGCAATAAAAGGAAACCTGGTCTCAGGGAAAAGAAAAAGTATTCCTTGGTCATTGGCAGAAATAAAAATCCAAATAACTATACTCAATATTAACAGCCTCCTGTGCATTCTCTTGTACTCTTCTATGTCTCCTTGTCCATCTAAGCATTTTATAATATTGTTTTAATGAGTTAGTATTAATTCTGGATGGAGAGTTCTTAGAAGGAACATTTTAGGTAGACATGAAGGATGAGTAAGAGTTCAACAAGTGAAGAAGTGGCCACAGGGCATTCTTTGTCAGTGGGTACAGGGAGAGCAAAGTCATGGAGGATTGGCAGCATCTGGTGAGTTTAGGTGCTGTTTGTCACTTTGTCAACTTTGTATGACTAGAACATAGAGTTTTTGGTACAGAGGGCACAAATGGACTTAGAAAGGTCGGATGGACCATGTGTTTAAAGAATCTATACATCAGGCTAAGGGATTCAGATTTGACTTGGTAGGTAATGGTGATCCAGCAAAGGTTTTTAATCAAGGCAATATTTTTAAATCAGGTCTGTATTTTGTAAATATCTTGATGATAACATTATGACATATTATGACATGAATTTAAGGGGGAAAGGGATAGAAAGAAAACAGACAAATTAGCTATTGTAAATGCTCTTTTCTACCACTCTCATGTCAGAAATCTACACACATGCTCATGTCCTTCCTTAGCTTCTCAGCAGATGACATGTTCAATCTATTCTTAAATCTATCTACTTTTTTAAAATATTTAAAAATTGTAAAAATACTGTTTTAATATATTGTCCTTTCCATAAACAGGCCCTTCATACAAATAATGCCATCTTATAATGGAGGCTTATTTTCTATTATTATTTTCTCTTGCAAATATCCGTTTCAGCCTAGATGGTAAATAATGAGGAAACAGAAATAAGAGGTTGAAAGTGACCAGGATAATTCTACTATAGGTAGTGGCTTATCAGGAAAAAGTAGTTTGCCATATTATAAGAAAAGGAAGTGAAAGCAGCAAGGAAGCTTGGCATGGGGGTTGGAAGGTAGACTCTACTTACCTTAGTGAACTATTTTGGGGATTGAGATGGAAAATAAAAGTGTTTTTTTGGCTCTAAAGTGCTAAACATAGAAATGTAATTACTATTATATAGGCGGGGGCAGTCTTGGAAGTCAAAAACAAGTAAGTTTAACATATTTCTTTAGCAGACAAAGGTTCCATTTCTATGTAAGTAAATACATATGTGTTCATACATACTCTTGACCCAAAGGAAATACACTAAAATATTACCTCACAATGGGAGCCAAAGAGGGGGTAGGATTTTAAGGATACACCTGTGTGTGGTAACATAGGAAACATTGGAAAACACTTGGGAAAAACAGAAGTCACAGTAATACTAGGGCCCAGGAGTAGATAACCTAGAGCAGAGGCAATATCTAGGGTTTTGAATTAAATACAAATTTTAATCTAGTTATGAATATTTGTTTCATCTATCTTATAAAAAATTAAATTGTTAACAGGTAAAGCTAAAACCCTCTCTGAAGATCAGTTCTAGCCCTTTCTTCCCTCACCACAGATAGATACTCTCATCAGTCTGGCATGTATCTTTCTGAGAATAAGTTGGTGGGGAGGAAACTGTCCATTTATAGAAGGAGTTGGAAATGAGAGCCAAGCTCAAGACTGGTGAGAATCATTATGATTCTATAGAAAGCAAAGAATTTACGCAGAGACTGTTTTATATTCTTTTATGGCCACAAGAGGAGACAGAGGAGAGCCTCAGGAAAAAAAAAGAAAAGTGTATTAAACTTACATATCCTAGAGACAGGAGGCACAGCAAGCCACCCAGGGCCACGCAGGAAAGAAGACACCAGGGTGGTCAGGAGGCAGAAGACAGGAGAAAGGGAAAGTTTAGACTACTGCCTTTTGGGGTATTTTCTTGGGAAAGGCAAGGCAAGGCAGGGTGAACAGTTTAGGATTGCCTAGTTTGAATAATTTGTGTGGGTTGCCTGGCTCCTGGCTCTTGGCCCTGGGATGACTAAGGCAGAGGAATATCCCCTCCTGGGGTGTGTAGGTCAGATGGATGAGGTATGGCACTGGACTGGTTAATCGGTATGTGAAAGGCATGCTCCAGGCTGGACGCTTTCTTATCTTTCAGAATTAACAAGCCACAGGAGAGACAGGCTCTCTGCAACCAGAAAAGCTTTTTAAGATGTCAAAAACATCATAATATATATAAAGAAAAATTTAAAATATTTACAATACAGAGACTTTACTTTGAACTTGAAAAAGTGTCTGACACCCATATAATTGACAGAGATGAGATGCGAGCTTGTTTCGTTGCTTGTTAGGATGATTATATCCAAGGTCGATTATCCTTAAGTGCACTGTGTCTAGTTTCTACTTTTAATGGAAGGCTTTTCAAATTACATCTTGTGAGAGACTGGGTGTTTATGTTATACCATCTGTCATTTCTCAGGAAGTAAAAAAGGAAAAGCCATCCATTCTGTCTCTTTCATAGAACCCTTGCCCCAGGCTATTAATAAACAGGGCTCTCCTATAAGTGAATCGCAAAAGAAAAATCACAGATGCTTCATGTTTAAGCAAATACTCATTATTTCCTTGGAAATGTGCCCAGTCAAAACCAAACTCCAGGCCAGAAAATTAAAATTTATGGTCCAGATAAGTGAAATCAATGATTAGTGTTCAAAAATAACCCATGAAGAGTTCAGTGTTGAAGGGATTCTCAACATCTTGTGGATGAGAAAATAAGTAGGTCACACAGACAAAAAAAAAAAAAAAAGAAAAAATCGATCAGGCCATAGCTCCTAATAAATGTGCTACAATATAACTATACAATATTAACTGCCAAAATGTTTTAACTGGTCTAGATATTTAAGGCTTGAAGTTTGTGGATGTTTCAAACCCACCCACGCCAATCCTAGAAAAGAAAATCAAGTTGTTAGAGTAGAAAAGAAACCACTATGTTAAGGGCTTAGGTAAAAAAAAATTATATCTAATACGAATTATCTAATTTATTCATAAGCTTAAGTATGTTCATATTTCATATTTGTACTTGTCTTTATTCAAATTCTATTTTCAGAGTCTACAAGCTGTTAGGAGTTTGTTTTCTTTTGGCATTTGCCAAGGTCTCATTAGTTCTGAGACAGTCCTACTGGCATAACTCAGAGGAAGTATTAATACATAAAAATGTCCCATGTGCTAAGCCTCTAAGCATAACAGTGTTTTGCTATTTTCAGGCTTTAGTAATGGCAAATATATATTGTGCTTCTATTTAAGCCAAAATGAAGGCTAATTATTAACAATTGAAGAATGAGTTCCTACGATATGCAGAAATCCCTGTACTTAGAGTCTGCAGGTGCCTAATTCTACAAATAATATTGTAGAATAATAATATTCTACAATAATATTCTGAGTTTCCATAAAGAAGGAATACATATATTTCATATATACTATGACTGATTCAGTCTTAAAAACTCTCATTGCTTGGTAACCAATTAATTCTGTCATAATTATCAATAATTATAAATGGAGGTGGTATAATAAAGAGATGATTAAATGTGGCACTTCAGCTATTGAATGTGAAGGCATGATGAAAGTGTAGAATGACAGGTAAAAGAGAGAGTCCCTCACCTTCCAGCTCTTAAAACTATCCTTGAATGATACCTCCCAAAGGATCAGCAAATAGTGATGGGCTAACAAAAGTCAGTGTCACCAACCTGATGTTCAGTATTAAAACCACACATATATTGCTCATCTACCCTAAGGCGTGGTAGGTCTCCACAGATATATGGGTGACTACAGGGATGGGCTGGCCATATTTGGCCCTGTTTACCTGATGCTCACAGGCATAGATTGCTGGTTGTTGTTGCTGTTGTGGTATTGTTGTTGTTCATGTTTTCATGCTTTACTAGGCTTGGAAGTCAGATGGCTGTTCCTACTTCAGGCTTGACCTTGAATATGTTAGTGAAACCCTCTAAATCTCAGTCTCCTCAACTATACAATGGGAATAATAAGAACACTTATTTCACAGGGCTATTATAAAGAATAAATAAGATAATGTATGTGAAGTTCTTGCACAGTACCTGGTAACTAAAACATGTAATGAATGTTAGGCATTACTAAAGTCATTATAATGAATATCATCATCCTCATCTTTTCTTATTACTGTTAAAAATGTATCAATTCCTTTTATTATGCAGTATGATTTTTCCATTTTGTCCTCACAAGAGTAAGTCCTAATATTCGGGGAGTTGGTTTGAGGTCTTTGAAATTACTACATCTCTGCCACAGTTCTTTAGTTTAGAAATAAAAACACTCATTAAAAAAAAATTTCTCGGCCGGGCGCGGTGGCTCACGACTGTAATCCCAGCACTTTGGGAGGCCGAGGCGGGTGGATCATGAGGTCAGGAGATCGAGACCCTCCTGGCTAACCCCGTCTCTTCTAAAAATACAAAAAATTAGCCGGGCATGATGGCGAGCACCTGTAGTCCCAGCTACTCGGGAGGCTGAGGCAGGAGAATGGCGTGAACCCAGGAGGCGGGGCTTGCAGTGAGCCGAGATAGCGCCACTGCACTCCAGCCTCGGCGACAGAGCGAGACTCCATCTCAAAAAATAAAAATAAAAATAAAAATAAAAATTTCCCCCTAAGATTTAAATGACATTGATGGTTCTAAACTTTATTGTTTATGGCCATTTTTAAATAGTTTTTTAGATTTTTAAACTTACTAAATATGAATGTGATAGTTCCTGAGAATGGAGAGTGGTTTTAATAGGGTAAACCATTAAAAAAAAGGTAGAGAAAAGAAATGGAATCTTTTTAAAGACTACTGGTTTTCCAAATAGTAGTTTTAGAAATTTTGGTATTTTTACTAGGTAAATATGACACTTCCTACTGGGTAAGTATGAAGTTACACTGAAAAATGTATCCTTCTGTGTAACTTAATATATACCTACTTAAAATTATTATTCCAAAATTGGAAATGATTGGACAAAAGATGGGATTTGTTCCTTAGTTTTGATGACTACAGGAAGACAAAGTCTCCTCAGTGATCAGACACTGAATGAAACAGGAGATATGCTGAAGTTCACTGAGTCAGTTCCAGCATCTGATCTGTCAGTGCCACTTTTGTGCTGGGAGTTCACTGCATTGTATTTATTTATGGAGGTCAATGAGCTGCTCAGAGATGACACTGTGCTCTGACAGCCTTTATCAGGGGAATTCAAGTTTCTTTGGATAGCTATGGGACTATGAGTTTCTGAAATTTTTACAACCACAGAAAAAATGAAGGATATTTTAACTTAATATTTTAATAGGTTAAAAGGATAAATTTAAGAGTACTTTATTAAAAATAAACAATAATCTTCTCTTCCTCACACACACACATTATGCAGAGCCATTTTCAAGAATCCAGGAACTAAAAAGCTTTTAAATAGGAATAATTTCTAGGGAGCTTATTGGAACATATCAAGCAGACCTTACATTTGAACATGTCCTATGAATATTACCATTGAAAGTATTTCTTAAAATGCTATTAACAGAACAGTTTCTAAGATGACACAGCACAATTAAGCAAGTCTTGTCTTCCATTAGTGCCCATTCATGATTTCAAGGATGATTCCACACACTTGCCACATTGCTACTTTGAAAAGAAATAACCCATTAGATTCACTATGCCAAAATTTAAGACAAATTTTCAACAGCTTATAGTTGAACAGAAGAGATCTCTGCTTAACTCTTAACAAAACAGAAAGTTGGGTTAGCCAATAAGCTACATTTTCTCTAACATGAACACATATGAAAAATGTAGGAAAATTTAAATAAAAGAAATACATCTCATAATCTAAAATAGAAACTTTTAGTATAGTTTCACAAAAGGCATAGTGTTTGTGTTCATTTCCAGAAGAATAAATAGCTTAAGTGAAATAATAAGAGTCTTAAATTATACTGCAATCCAATCAAGTAAAGGACGATCTCACCCAAGAATGAATTAAATACCCAAAGTGGCAACTTCATTTTTACAATGAACTTTTAAAAAATCTAGTTAATTAAATGCATGGTAAAATTCCAGTTGCACTGACTGTAACTTTCTACTTGACCGGCTCGTGTGCTGCACACTAGGGTTCCTGTGTGGCTTTTGGACAATGGGAAAACGACCATCAGGGAAGGGGAGAGGAAGTGAGGCAGAGAATGCTAACCAGGTGTGGAGGGTACCCCATATCCATCTCCCCTCCTGACCATAGCCCTACTTTCTCCCTAAGGAGATTGTGTCCCCAAGCCGTCATATAACTGCCACAGGCATGCTTGCAGCATCTGAGTCAGTTGAGTAGTGCCAGGTAAAGGAAAAGTAGGGACAGATACAGGGTGGCGAGGAAGGGTCATCCAGAGCTCATCTTGTTCTTGATCATGGAGAGGAAAGGGACTCTGCAGGTTGGGCATGAGCTTAGTTTAAGCTGTGTTAGAAGTTTGAAATCTGAAGAAAACTGCGTCTTTGGAGTCTTTATATTGGTTTCGTACTGCCCTGAACAAAGCGGTTTCTCTGGAACTTTAGTTGTGTAAAACAATCAGGTTTTTTGTCATTTATTAAATATTTGTTGTGCTTCTATGCACTAGGCACTGTTGTATGTTGTAAAGACATAGCAGTAAAAACCAGACCAAAAGAACTCTTCCTTAAGTATACTGTAATACATTTTAGTGGGAGAAACAACAATACACATGTAAAATATACAGAAAGAGGTGATAATTTCCCATAGAAATTATAATATAAAGTTGGAAAAGGAGCCTGGGTTACAGTTTAAACAAGGTAATTAAGGAAGGCTTTGTGTTAGAATGGAATATATAAGCAAAAATTTGAGAGAGGAGAGAGCAAACCACATACATACCTAGTGAAAGAATGTTCTAGGTGAAGGGGATGGGGCACACTAATCCTGAGGCAAGAACACACCAGGTGTCTTTAAAGTCCACCAAGAAGGTTAGTTGGTTGATTGGAATGCAGTGACAAGGGCAGAAAATAGTAGATAGGAGAGGGGATAACTAACAACTGAGGGAATGGAGTTAACATTTCCTGAGATGGGAAGACATCGGAGCATCAGGCTTGGGACTTGTTAATTTCTACATGTCTGTTAGATATCCAAGTGGAAGTGACATGTGGGCAGAAGGGAATATATGGTCCACATGTCAACTTGGCTACTGGTATCAATGTGGGTGTTACCAGCATATAGACGGTATTTCAAGTCATGAGACTATCAGGCATCCCCAAGGCAGAAAAGGAGACAACCCAGACTAATGCTTCAGCAACACCATCATTAGTAGGCCAGAGAGAAGAGAAGGAACATTTATTATTTACAGAAATTCAAATAGTAGAGGAAGCTCCACAAGGCAGAAGTAGGAATTGTGATGGATGTTGCAAGGCACAGATTTCTGGCTCAATATACAAGACAACATTCTAACAACTAAAGCTGTCGGCAATAGTAAGGGCTATCTCCTTGGTTTGGGAGTGTTCACAAAAGCTGATTGACTCATCACTCAGGATCCAAGGCTATCAGCAAGGAAAGAGAAGGAAGACTCCTGTTAAGTTTTATATCACCCATTAGGTACATAGTGTGTGGTAATAAATAATATCACCAAAAACTGCCTATATACTCTATACATGTAAACTAAGTTGAGGATTTTGGCAACCACTTACTTAAATCAAAGTTAACCAAATATATTTTGGATTGAGATGGTTGATAAAATCGAATCTCAAGAGATTGTCCCCAGTGTCCTCTCCTGACTTCTCATGTTCTCTTTGAGTTTAGAGACAGTCTTTTTTTTTTTTTTTTTTTTTTTTTTGAGACGGAGCCTCGCTGTGTCACCCAGGCTGGAGTGCAGTGGCTTGATCTCCGCTCACTGCATCACTGCAAGCTCCGCCTCTCGGGTTCACGCCATTCTCCTGCCTCAGCCTCCCAAGTAGCTGGGACTACAGGTGCCCGAGACAGTCTTTTAATGTAATGGTAATCCTTAACTTCTGGGTCTCCAGACCATAAATCATTTTTGATGCCCACTTCAGAAGACACTACTTCGAGAACAGAACCAACTGTGCCAGAGAATTCACAGTTCTGTGAGGATTCAACTCTATTATTATATATGTGGGGGTGGGATGATGGGAGGAAAAGAGGTCAAAAGGAAGAGGTGATTGATAGCAAGTGGGTAGAAGATTTGCTTAAAATGTCTTATTTTGGACCAGAACACCCACAAAATGTTCCACTTTAAAATGTTATTACAGAAAGGATATGCATAAAATAAAAATAAAAAGTTTTGCAAGAATTATTATTGATTATCATCAGTGAGAAGGTTTATATCTCCGTTAGAGAAAAACATAATGTTTTTCTTTTCTTTTCTTTTCTTTTTCTTTTTTTTTTTTTTGAGGCAGAGTCTCACTCATTCCCCCATGCTGGAGTGCAGTGGTGCAATCGATCTTGGCTCACTGCAACCTCCACCTCCCAGGTTCAAGCAATTCTCCTGCCTCAGCCTCCTGAGTAGCTGGGACCACAAGCGCACACTGCCACACCGGGCTAATTTTTTGTATTTTAGTAGAGACGGGGTTTCACCGTGTTGCCCAGGCTGGTCTTGAACTCCTGAGCTCAGACAATCCACCCACCTTGTAATATTTTTCACACTTAACACGAGACACTTTAAATTCTAAGTCCATTACTTTATCTTTGCACCTCCATCTACTGAAGATATTTTTATGTAATTTTAATATTAGGATGAGATAGGTTTATTTATTTTATCCTACTTCATCCCACGAAAATTGAAAGGTAGCTTTTCAACAGTTAATACCACTTTGCTGGCATCCATCACAACTCTGAAGTGACCTGGAGACTCAGTCTGATTCAGAGTTGGAGAAAATGGCAATGACTTCAAGATAGGAAGGCTCAATGGAATTTCACAGAAAAGCAAATTTCACAGGGCAATAAAAATAAGTTGTATTTTTTTTTCCTTTTTTGAAAGCACTAGGTATTCTCAAATATTTGATTTTCTCTTCAGGATATTATTTAAAAATAAAAAATAAGATGAGGGAAATAAACAGACTATTTTCACTCATTTATTAGATTTATACAAAGAGAAAATCATATAATTCTTGCGGTAAGGAAGACTTTTTTAACAGCTTAAATGAAAAACATGAAGTGGGAGTTGGATTGACTGATAATTGCAGTGCAAAAAATCAAGAGCCCTGGAGGAAGGAAAGAGTGAGTTAGAACATAAAGTATATCACTTGTGTTTCAAAACACCTAACTTTTTCTTTTCTCACTCCACTCAAGTCACAGAAAACTAAAATGACAAAAGCCCCAAATACGTTCTCAGTCCTTCTCAACCTTTCAGAGCATGGCACGCATAGAATTGAGAATATTCTGAGATTCACTGTAGTAAGCTGACAAGGCAGCTTCTAGCCAGAGGCAACCCCCTCTGGAAGTCTCAGGTGTGATTCAGTCTCATCTGCACCTTTGTCACTGCACTTAATCTCCTGAACTGGGGCATTATCTTTTTATCAAATCAAAAATTGCACCAAGTTTTAAACAGGTTGTGCTCCTTTCTTAGCAAATGTAGATGACAGCTAAACAAAGGACCGCACAAAGTACAGATGCTGAGAAAATCACCCAGTGTGGAGTCTGCCCAACTGTGGGCACTGCTGCCGCCCATAGGCAGCTGCCTCAAGTGCATTCTTCTCCTCTGGGTTCCTAGGCCAAGCTAGGAAAAGGATAGAGGCAGAGAATTTCCTAACACTGCTTTTCAGCCTCCCTAGATAAATCCCCTCCACCCTTCACTCTTCTCCCTCCTCCCTCCTCCTTCCCAGAGGCACAGTTTAGAGAGACTCTAGATGCTGGGCTCAAGATACAGTGGATTTTTGTGGCTCGCAGAAAACACTGAATTCAAAACAAGCCTCTATAGTAAAAAAAAAAAAAAAAAAAAAAATCCCAGCATTTGCCCCTAGCTCTAATAGGGACAATAATTCTGGAAAGTCAGGTTCAGGCTTTTAGATGCAAATAGATCTTTTCCCATATGTTTTGAATTGCTAAAACAGAAAGAGTGGAAAGAATTTTGAAACAAACAAGACCCCTGACCTACTGGATCTTCAGTCTGGCCTCTACCTGCCTCACAGGCACTGCTCATCCCACCTAGGCATGGCTGGATACTTGAGCCATGCTCCAGCCATGTTGGCTTCTTTCAGTTCCTCCAGTGCCCCTTGCTTCTTCCTGCCACAGGGTCTTTGCATAACTTTTTCCACTTGCAAGTCTATTCTCTTTTCCTTCAACCTCTTCCCCATTTGCCTAATTAACTTCTCTAGATCCTCTACATCTCAGTTCAAACTTTCTTTGCACCAGTCACATTCGCTGACCTCTGTGACCAGGCCAACCCCGTACTAAAAATATTCTTCCTCCAAGCATTTCCAGTTATCACTTTGCATTTCTTCCTTTGATGTTTTTGATTTATGTCTACATCCCCCACCCAGCTGTAAGCTCCTAGATGAAAAAGACTTGTTCTCTTTAACCTGCTCATTATTCCCCTAGCACCTCCAAGTATAGTTGGCCCATCACACAGCAGGTGCTTAATAAATATTTGATGATTTCTTTAATGAGTGAGTGAATGAACCTGTTGATTTCATTCACCTTAGTCTCCCTCAAATTTTTTCCAAAAGAGTTACTAATAGTGTGAAAGCTCTTCTGATGAAGAATGCCACTCTGTAGTTTTAACTCAGTAAGTAAGAAAGAATCATAAAACTCAACTAGGGCATTGACAAAATGAAAGTACAGTCAATGACCAAAATCGTCCCTTTTAATTTTTCTTCTAGGAATTTAAGAAAAGAAGGCAAATTTAGCACCAGTGGTCCCTGTAAGTGAGCCCTAGGCCATATCTGATGCTTTTTATTTTAGGATCATTTCCAAAACTAGTTACAATGATTTTATTTGATAAAGTGAAATTCATCCCAATCTCTAGAGGGATACTCAGTCTCTAAATGTTTCAATGGTGCCATCATCTTATTTTTAAAAAGAGTCACACTTAGACCTAGATGGTATGTTAATGAATATATAATATAAGGTTTGAATTTTTGTGTAATTTTTATATTTAGTTAAACTTTCTGTTTTAAAAAGGAAGTCTGGCATCTTGAGAATTCTAAGACCGTTTACCAAACTTATTCTGCATTGAAGATTGGAGTATGAGGTTTTGTGGGAGCTTGGTATCATTTAGTGTTTTATGAGCAATAACATGAATGGTAAGATAATTTTAGGAAGTGGTAGACAGATTGGATTCACTTGGAACACAGCCAGAAAAATCAATAAATGATTATTTACTAATTCAGAAAAGATGATGATTCTAAGTCTTTTAAAATGCATTTTTAAAAACTGTTTTACAAATCAGCAAGAAAAAAAAGGGCGCAAAGGGCATGAATAGACAATGCTCAAAAGAAGATATACAAATGGGAGAGAATCCACAGACCCTGTGTATAGGAAGCAGATTGTTCCTGCAGGCCCCAGGAGACAACCTAAAAACTCTGAAGACAAAGGACATAACCTCTTGGGAGCTCTAGGCTCTACCTACCACCTGATCCTCCCTGTACTACCACAGCTGATGCTCTCTTGAAAGTGCCACCTCCTGGCAGGAGGCCAACCAACACAAAACACTGCAATAAACAAATCTACAACTAAGGACCCTCACAGAGTCCATTTCACTTTCCTGCCACCTCCACTGGAGCAGGTGCTGCTATACATGGCTGAGAGACCTGAAGATGGTTTACACCACAAGACTCTGTGTAGACACCCCCCACTACCAGCCCAGACCCCAGCAGCTCCACTGGGTGGCTAGATCCAGAAGATTAATAACAAGCACTGCAGTTTGCCTTTCGGGAAGCCACATCCCTAGAGGAAGGGGGAGAGCACAGCATCAAGGGAGTATAGTGTGGGACAAAAGAATCAGAATAGCAGCCTTTTAGCCCCACATCTTCCCTCTGACATAGTCCACCCAAATGAGAAGGAACCAGAAAAACAATTCTGGTAATATGACAAAAAAAGGTTCTTTCACACTCTCAAAAGATCCCCCTAGCTTACCGGCAATGGATCCAAACCAAAAAGAAATCCCTGAATTGGCAGAAAAAAAATTCAGCAGGTCGGTCATTAAGCTAATCAAGGAGACACCAGAGAAAGGTGAAGTCCAATT
This sequence comes from Homo sapiens, assembly GCF_000001405.40. Taxonomy (NCBI): domain Eukaryota; kingdom Metazoa; phylum Chordata; class Mammalia; order Primates; family Hominidae; genus Homo; species Homo sapiens. Next base: position 111,464,078 of record NC_000005.10, read on the forward strand.
AAATGAAATAAAAAAAATGAGATATGAAGGGAAAAATCTTCAGGGAAATAGCATAAATAAAAAAACAATCACAACTTCTGGAAATGACGGACACATTTAGAGAAATGCAAAATGCACTGGAAAGTCTCAGCGATAGACCTGAACAAGCAGAAGAAAGAGCTTCAGAGCTCGAAGACAAAGTTTTTGGATTAACCCAATTCAGTAAAGACGAAAAAAAGAATTTAAAAAAATGAAAAAAGCCTCCAAGAGGTTTGGGGTTATGTTAAATGAACAAACCTAAAAATAATGGATGTTTCTAAGGAAGAAGAAAAATCTAAAAATGTGGAAAACATATTTGTGGGAATAGTTGAGGAAAACTTCCCTGGCCTTGCTAGAGATCTAGACATACAAGTACAGGAAGCTCAAAGAATACCTGGGAAATTTATTGCATAAAGATCAACACCCAGGCACAGAGTCATAAGGTTATCTAAAGTCAAGACAGAGGAAATAATCTTAAGAGCCATGTATTCTATGGAAGTGGGCATCGAAAATGATTTATAGTCTAGGGACCCAGAAGTTAAGGATTACCGTTACATTAAAAGACTGTATCTAAACTCAAAGAGAACACGAGAAGTCAAGAGAGGACAGTGGGGACAATCTCTTGAGATTTGATTTTATCAGCCATCTCAAGCCAAAATATATTTGGTTAACTTTGATTTAAGTAAGTGGTTGCCATAATCCTCAACTTAGTTTACATGTATAGAATACATAGACAGTTTTCTGGTGATATTATTTAATACCACACACTATGTATCTAATGGGTGATATAAAAAACTTAACAGGAGTCTTCCTTCTCTTTCTTTGCTGATAGCCTTGGATCCTGAGTGATGAGTCAATCGGCTTTGTGAACACTCCCAAACCAAGGAGACAGCCCCTACTATTGCTGACAGCTTTAGTTGTTAGAATATTGTCCCGTATATTGAGCCAGACATCTGTGCCTTGCAACATCCATTCACAATTCCTAATTCTGCCCTGTGGAGTTTCCTCTACTGTTTGAATTTCTGTAAATAATAAATCTTCCTTTTCTTCTCTCTGGCCTACTAATGATGGTGTTGCCTAAGGATCACTCCGGGTTGCACTTAAGGCAGTGCTAGGAGGCAAATTCATAGCCTTAAATCCCTACATCAAAAAGTCTGAAAGAGCACAAATAGACAATCTAAGGTCAAACCCCAAGGAACTAGAGAAACAAGAACAAACCCAACTCAACCCAAGCAGAAGAAAAGAAATAACTAAGATAAGAGCAGAGCTAAATGAAATGGAAACAAACCAAAAAAATTACAAAAAATAAATGAAACTAAAAGCTGGTTCTTTAAAATAATAATTAAAAAAGATAACCATTAGCAAGATAGACCAAGAAAAGAAGAGAGAAGATCCAAATAAGCTCAATTGGAAACACAACAGGAGATACTACAACCAATACCACAGAAATGCAAAAGATCATTCAGGGCTACTATGAACACCTTTATGTGCATGAACTAGGAAACCTAGAGGAGATGCATAAATTCCTGGAAATATACCACCCTCTTAGATTAAACCAGGAAGAAATAGAAACTCTGAACAGACCAATAAGAAGCAGCAAGATTGAAATGGTAATTTTAGAAATTGCCAACAAAAAAGTCCAAGACCAGATGGATTCACAGCTGAATTCTATCAAACATTCAAAGAAGAATTGGGACCAATCCTATTGACACTATTCCAAAAGATAAAGAGGGAATCCTCCCTAAATCATTCTATGAAGCCAGTATCACCCTAATATCAAAACCAGGAAAGGACATAACCAAAAAGAAAACTATAGATCAATATTCCTGATGAATATAGAAGAAAACATCCTTAACAAAATACCAGCTAACCTAATTCAACAGCATATCAAAAAGATAATCCACCATGATCAAGTGGGTTTCATACCAGGGATGCAGGGATGGTTTAACATATGCAAGTCAATAAATGTGATACACCACATAAACAGAATTAAAAACAAAAATCACATGATCATCTCAATAGACTCAGGAAAAGCATCTGACAAAATCCAGCAATGCTTTATGATTAAAACCATCAGCAAAATCAGCATAGAAGGGTCGTACCTTTACATAATAAGACTCATCTATGACAAACCCAAAGCTAACATAATACCGAATGGGGAAAAGTTGAAAGCATTCCCCCTGAGAACTGGAGCAGGACAAAGATGCCCACTGTCACAACTTCTATTCATCATAGTACTGGAAGTCCTAGCCAGAGCAATCAGACAAGAGAAAGAAATAAAAGGTATCCAAATCGGTAATGAGGAAGTCAAACTGTCAGTTTGCTGGTGATATCATTGCATACCTACAAAACCCTAAAGACTCCTGCAAAAAGCTCCTAGATCTGATAAATGAATTCAGCAAAATTTCAGGATACAAAATTAATGTACACAAATCAGTAGCTCTGCGATACACCAACAGCAAACAAGATGAGAATCAAATAAAGAACCCAACCCCTTTTACAATAGCAGCAAAAAATTAAAATACTTAGGAACAAACCTAGCCAAGGACATGAAAGACCTCTCTACAAGGAATTCTATAAAACACTGCTGAAGGAAATTATAGATGACACAAATGGGACATGTCCCATGCTCATGGATGAGTAGAATCAATATTGTGAAAATGACCACATTGTCAAAGCAATCTACAAATTCAATACAATTCCCATCAAAATACCACCATCATTTATCACAGAGTTAGAAAAAAACTATTCTAAAATTCATATGGAACCACAAAAGAGCCTGCATAGCCAAAGCAAGACTAAGCAAAAAGAACAAATCTGGAGGCATCACATTATCTGACTTTATACTGTAAGGCCTTAGTCACCAAAACAACATGGTACTGGTATAAAAATAGGCACATAGCTCGATGGAACAGAATAGAGAACCCAGAAATAAATTGAAATACTTGCAGTCACTGATCTTTGACAAAGCAAACAAAAACAAAGCGGGGAAAGGATACCCTATTCGACAAATGGTGATGGGATAATTGGCAAGCCACATGTATATGAATGAAACTGGATCCTCATCCCTCACCTTATACAAAAATCAACTCAAGATGGAAGAAGGACTTAAATCTAAGACCTAACACCATAAAAATTATAGAAGATAAATCAGAAAAACCATCCTGTAAATTAGCTTAGGCAAAGACTTCATGACCAAGAACCCAAAAGCAAATGCAACTTTGTTTTTACAAAGATAAATAGATGGACTTAATTAAACTAAAAAGCTTCTGCATAGCAAAAAAAAAAAAAAAAAAAAAAAAGCAGAGTAAACAGACAACCCACAGAGTGGGAGAAAATCTTCACAATCTATACATCTGACAAAAGACTAATATCCAGAATCTACAAGGAACTCATACAGATCAGCAAGAGGAAAACAAACAATCCCATCAAAAAGTGGACTAAGGACATGAATGGACAATTCTCAAAAGAAGATATACAAATGGCTAACAAACATATGAAAAAAATGCCTAACATCACTAATGATCAGGGAATTGCAAATCAACACCGCAATGCAATGCCACCTTACTCCTGCAAGAATGGCTATAATCAAAAAATCAAAAAATAATACATGTTGGTGTGGATGTGGTGAAAGGGGAACACTTTTACACTGTTGATGGGAATGTAAACTAGTACAACCACTATGGAAAACAGTGTGGAGATTCCTTAAATAACTAAAAGTAGAACTACCGTTTGATCCAGCAATCCCACTACTGGATATCTACTCAGAGGAAAAGAAGTCATGTGAAAAAGAAACTTGCCCAAATGGCTATCAATCAGTGAGTTCGTAAAGAAATTGTCACACACACACACACACACACACACACACACACACACCATGGAATACTACTCAGCCATAAAAAGGAGTGAAATAATGACATTTGCAGCAACCTGGATGGAGTTAGAGACCATTATTGTAAGTGAAGTAACTCAGGAATGGAAAACCAAACATCATATGTTCTCCCTCATAAGTGGGAGATAAGCATTTGAATGCAAAGGCATACAAATGATACAAATGGACTTTGGAGACTCAGGGGAAAGGGTGGGAGTGGGGTGAGGGATAAAAAACTACACATTGGGTACAGTGTACAATGCTCAGGTGATGGGTACACCAAAATCTCAGAAATCCCCACTAAAGAAATTTTCAATGTGACCAAACACCTCCTATTTTCCCAAAACTACTGGAATAAAAATAAAAATATCAAGAAAACTGTTTTATACCTTAAAGTGATTTTCTTCTATTTTGTTTGTTTTGATAATGAGGTGAGAAAAGATATGAAGGACAGCCAGAGTGCTTATACCATTAAAAGATACATTAATTGATGTTTTTTCTTGAACTAAATTGAAAGTAGCCAACTTTCTTGCCCTAAGAAGATCACAAATTATTAGAATTACCTGCAAGGACATTTGATACTTAGGAGACTTGAAGCTGGGGTGCTAGAGCCTGAACTTTATTGTAAAAATTCTTCTGGCTCTTGGAAAAGGCCTGTCTAGATTGCTAGAGTGTGTTCTACTGGTTCTGAACAAAGTCAATGCCATATTAACTAGTAATTTAAAATATTAAGCTGGGTACTGTGGCTCATGCCTGTAATTCCAGCACTTTGGGAGGCCGAGGCGGGTGGATCACAACGTCAGGAGTTCGAGCCCAGCCTGACCAACATGGTGAAACCCCATCTCTATTAAAAATACAAAAATTAGCTGGGTGTGGTGGCACCTGCCTGTAATCACAGCTACTCAGGAGGCAGAGGCAAGAGAATCGCTTGAACCCAGGAGGCAGAGGTTGCAGTGAGCTGAGATCGTGCCGCTGTACTCCAGCCTGGGTGACAGAGCGAGATTCTGTCCCAACAACAACAACAAAAATTAGCTGGGCATGGTGGCAAGCACCTGTAATCCCAGCTACTCAGGAGGCTGAGGCACGAGAAGCGCTTGAACCCAGGAGGCGGAGGTTGCAGTGAGCAGAGATCGTGCCATTGGGCTCTAGTCTGGGCAACAAGAGTGAAACTCCATCTCAAAAAAAAAAAAAAAAAAAAAAAAAAAAATATATATATATATATATATATATATATATATATTTGAAAGTTATTGAAAATAATATCTAATTGTGTCTAGGTGTTTTGACTTTGTTTCACCCCATTTTTTTATGATTTTCAAAATAAGTTATTTTAAAAACAATTATTTTTAAGATGAATTTATTATGGATGGCATAAACATTTTTTATTCCTTTTGTCTGTTAACTTCACTGTGGGACATTTAACTTTTTACATGGCAAGTTTACTCACATTGCAGTACAGTGCTTCACAAAGAAATAAATTGCCTTTGGAGAGTAAGGTTACACCCAGTGCTGCGACAGATCAGAACTTGCCATGTCAGGTATGAAACTCAGACTCCCTGTATAGTGGATCCAAAAAGCAGTTTGTGACACACTATTCATTTTCCTTAGAGTTCTTTGGCTGGGAGCTATTAGCAGTGCCTAGAGAAAACATCTGACCCTTGCCAGTATGTGTCTCTGGCCTGCACGGGGTGGGAGGGTTGATTTCACTAGAGCCAACAGGATGAGTCCCCATAGGGCAGCATACACAGTAGCTGTTGTAGCAGAAGAAATGAGAAATGCAACAGGTCTGCAGGTTAGAATGCTTGTTCTTGTCCTCTCTTCTTGTTGAATGATCAGTAACACATCCTTTACTAATAATATAATGGGTAGCAGGTTAAAACTCAAAGTTAACTTGGAAATCAGCTATTTGGATTCATTTACAGTTTAGAGGTAAAAAACCAAGATCCAGAAAATATAAAAGACTCTCTCAACATATTTCTATATTTATGTTTAAATGTCAGTATGGGGCTTGATAGCATTTCAGACTGAATAAGATTCACTGATGTGAAGACCTGCATGGAGAAGGACTAATGCAAGTGGAATATGCATGCTCAATATGTGTGCATTCGGCTCCTTGACTGGAACATCTCCTAGAGACAAAAATAGGCAATAGCAGCCTTCCTGCAATGGCAGCATAATCTGAGTTCCCCTTTACAAGGGAAAGTTCACTGTCAGGGCTGTTGTGCTCAAAGACACTTTCTGTGGGGTACAGATTGCCCCAGAGAATGAAAGCTAACCTGACAGAGTGAATGATGGTAGTTCGTATCAGCCATGCATGTTTCTTAATTTTGTTAATTAAACCTTAAAAGAAAAGTTTTCTAGGAATAATTCATCTGTAGATTAAAAAAAGCTTTTTGGCTACAGATACAGTTCCTTAAAGGGTGCATCTTGCTGAATTGCTGTGTAGAGTGCTAGAATGCACACCTTCCTTTCACCATACAGGTTCTTTATCTCATATAGGGAGCACTTCAAAAAGTTTGTCAAAAAATGGTGAAAATGATGAAAAATATAAACTTTATATCTCAACATAAACTGCATCAAGGTCAAGAGACTTTTGTAAGTGATAACAGCAGCCATTTAGTCTATCCCTAGAGAACTGAGGGATAACCATGTCAATGCAGTCTTTTTTACATTATTAACTGAAAAAACAATAAGTGTTCCTTATAGAAATTTTAAGATAAAGAAACAAAAAGAAGTCAGAAGGAACCAAGTTACTACTGTAAGGTAGATGCCTAATGATTTCCTATTGAAAGTCTCATCAAATTGTCCTTGTTTGATAAGAGGAATGAGCATGAGCATTTTTGTGGTGGAGAAGGATTCTCTGGTGAAGGTTTCCTGGGAATTTTTCTGCTACAGCTTTGGCTAACTCTCTCAAAACAGTCTCATATGAAACACGTTATTTTTCTTTGGCCCTCCAGAAAGTCAACAGGCAAAATGCCTTGAGCATCCAAAAAAACCATTGCCATGACACTTGCTCTTTACCAATCTGCTTTTGCTTAGCCTGGACCACTTCCACCTCTTGGTAGCCATTGCTTTGATTGTGCCTTGTCTTCAGAATTATACTGTTGAAGCCATGTTTTATCTCCTGTAACAATTGTTTGAAGAATCAGGCTCAGGATTTCAATCCCACTTGTTTAAAATTTCCATTGAAAGCTCTATTTTTGTCTGCATCGATCTGGATGCAACAGTGTTGTCACCCATCGAGTGAAAACTTTGCTCAACTTTTAATTTTTCAGTCAGAATTGTGTCAGCAGAACTCACAGATGTCTGTGATGTTGACTATTGTTTCTGCTCTTGCCAGTCCTCTTCAATTAGGCCATGAGCAAGATTTATTTTTTTCTCAAAAATTGATGTGGATGATCTGCCACTGTGGGCTTTGTCTTCAACATTGTCTTATCCCTTCTTAAAATGAGTTATCCACTTGTATACTGTTAATTTCTTTAGAACATTGTCCCCACAAACTTTTTATAAAGCCTCAGTGATTTCGCCATTCTTCCACCCAAGCTTTACCATAAATTTGATGTTTGTTCTTGCTTCAATTTTAGCAGAATTCATGTTTCTCAGATAGAGGCTCTTTTCAAACTGAAGTCTTAGCCTTTTTAGTGTCTCAGACTAGATCCTGTTTGGACATGTTATGACAAGTTAGTACAAGTTTATTTTGGTACAAAAAATTGTGAAATTCATGCATAATTTTTTATAATATGCATTTACCATGACCTTTTGAAGACTCCTCATATTTTATGTAACCCAGCTTCTACAGGGAAATTGGAACATGATGAGAGTTAAGGGATAGTTAGGGAAGAGGTCAGTGGAATGCCCACAGTATTCCTTCCTGTATGGTAAATCCACAGTCCCATGAGGATAGCCTCCCTCCAGAGCTCACTTATTTATTTATTTATTTATTTATTTTTTGAGACAGAGTCTTGTTCTGTTGCCCAGGTTGGAGTGCAGCGGCGCCATCTCTGCAACCTCCACCTCCTGGGTTCAAGCTATTCTCCTGCCTCAGCCTCCCGAGTAGCTGGGATTACAGGCACCTACCACCATGCCTGGCTAATTTTTTTGTATTTTTAGTAGAGACAGGGTTTCACCATGTTGGCCAGGCTGGACTCAAACTCCTGACCTCAGGTGATCCACCTGCCTCGATCTCCCAAAGTGCTAGGATTACAGGTGTGAGCCACTGTGCCCAGCCCCAGAGCTCATCTTGATAGGCAACACTGAATGTGACATTTCCAGCCAGCATGGACAGAGAATCCTGTTTACTTGCATTCCAACCCCTATCCCAGAGAATGGTATGGTGTCCTCATCCCCAAGGCCTTCCTCAAGCAGCCATCAGCATTAATCAAGAAGCTCCTTCTTCAAGTACGCTGCTGGCACCTGCCGCACTTGTGTTCAAAATCAAGAAAGGCCACTCTGGACAATAGGCCTGAGCTCTATTTCTCCATAGATGGTGGGGCTCTTACTTTCCCTTTTCTTCTGTTGTTAATTAGGCAAACAAATAACACCCTTAGTACTCAGGGAAAGTGCCTGGATCCAGTTAATTACCCATTTTCACAAATCTAAGGTAATAAAAATATAAAAGATACTGCTATTCTCCACACCAGGGCTATTTTATGGCTGAGAAAGCCTTCCTTTTTCACAACAGCGGGCAGAACTAATACAAGCTGCTTCACTGTGCACAGATAAGTTCCCCTTTCTCAGTTCATGACCTCAAGCTGATTGGGATCAGCTGCTCTCTGGAGACCTACATGCATCTCTCAATGCCAGGACATGTGCCAGGACACCTCCTAGCTCCTGCTGCAACCGTCTAGACTAGATACTTGTCAACCCTCCTCACCACCTACACTGGTTCCCACCCTGCACACTGTCAGACCCACACACTCGCTGACACACCCTGCTCCCAGCAGGTCTAGATCTCAAGGCAGCATGCTTGTGACTTTTTTCTCCCTTGTTATGCTTAACTTTCATTTCTTTGTTTTCTATGTACAAAACTCCCTTTGAAGTATTGCGTCTTTTGTAGCATACATACAGCTCTATCTACTTGATTTGAGCAGTATCATGATATTCTGACATAGAATATTAAAGTTAATAGTGTTATTTTATGCATCCCAAAACAGATAGACTATAATCTCTCCTACTAAAATAGACATAAGTATTTATAGCTTCATACTGTGGTTTGGGGAGAGAAGATTGGTTATAAAACTGTTCAGAAATTGTTTTGATGAATTTATTTCTTTCCCATTGCTTGATATTAAAATATAAATATTGACTAAGCTCTAATTTAACACAATTTTCACTTTTTCTGCAGCACCTGAAATTCTTAGAGGTTGTGCCTATGGACCTGAGGTGGACATGTGGTCTGTAGGAATAATCACCTACATCTTGTAAGTGAAGAAAAGCAATATTTATGTAAACTATTTACCTTGCTGTGACATTTTCTAGATACCTCTAATGCTCATAAAAACCATAAAGATTACTTTTTGCCTTTTTGTGATTTTCTGTTACATACTAAATGCAGTTAGTGATAGAATTTCCTGAAAATGAACATTGCTTTTTATTTTGGAATTTTCTTGAGACCGGAATTCTTGTCCAGGGCTTTCCTATGTCTATATCCACTATGTAATATACAGCAGATTTAGGGAACAGTTTATTACTTGACACTAGTAAAGAATATGAGCCCAAGACCAGCTGTGTAAACTTGCTCTTGTTTTACTTATTTGCATCTTATATGAAATTATTAGATTTAGTCCTTTTAAATGGGCAAATGACTATTTAATTTCTTAAGCAATTCCAAACTGGTATATTTCTTATCAGGAATATTTTAAATGCATTTTTAGCTATCAATTTTGTTTCTTATTTCTGTTAGGTTTTCAAGGGTCTTAAATTTAACACCCTACACAAATTTCTTGGGAAAAAAAATGAGTGAAATATTTTAATCCCTGGTATCCCCACATCCATTCCTGAGCTCCTGTCTAATAAGAAATAAGGAGTTTCATGAAATTTGCCAAAGACATGGTGGAACTGCAGGTGGTGATGAAAAAAATCAACCAAATAGAAGAGCGTCTGAGATGGAAGAATACTGTAGAACAACTAGAAAATAAGATATCGATGCTTTCAAGAGTTTAGTTCAAAACAAGGAGACTTAGTTGCCATTTAGAGAGTACTACAAAGTTAGTTGTTGGAATGCATAATATTCCAATTTAGAGAAATTTTGAAGGGTTTGAAAGTAGGTATACTAGTCTACCTGGGCTTACATAACAAAATATATAGACTGGGTGGCTTAAATAACAGAAAGTTATTTTCTCACAGTTTTCGGGGGCTGGAAGTCCAAGACCAGAGTGTCAGCACAGTCAGCTTCTGCTGAGGGCCCTCTCTTGGCTTGCAGATGGCCGCCCTCTCACGGTGTCCTCACATGATGGGGAGAAGGAGAAAGCAAGCTCTGTGTACTCTTTTCTTATGAGGGGACTAATCCCATGAGGAAGACCCCACTCTCATGACCTCATCTAAACCTGATTGCCTCCCAAGGGCTCCATCTCCAAATACTATCTCATTGGGAGCTGGGGCATCAACATATGGATTTTGGGGTTGGAGGGGGGAATACAATTCAGTCCGTAGCAGAATGCTTTTAATTAAAGTTGTTTTTAACTTAATAGTGATCTTAAAAAATTCAATATCCAGGTGATATGGACTAGGAATGGGCTAACTGTGGTAGGGCCCACAAGCACGTTAGCAAACTCTAATTTACCTGATATACAATGGTTGATCGCCAAGACAGAAAGGTTTAACAAGCAACTGATAAAATAGCCATCCACTAATATGTAATACAAAAAGATATTTTGTGTGCTCAATTCCTTGTGTCTTTAGAAAAGCTTGAGAGGGGCCGGGCACAGTGGCTCACACCTGTAATCCCAGCACTTCGGGAGGCCGAGACGGGTGGATCCATGAGGTCAGGAGATCGAGACCATCCTGGCTAACGTGGTGAAACCCCGTCTCTACTAAAAATATAAAAAATTAGCAGGGTGTGGTAGTGGGCGCCTGTAGTCCCAGCTACTCGGGAAGCTGAGGCAGGAGAATGGCGTGAACCCAGGAGGCGGAGATTGCAGTGAGCTGAGATCTTGCCACTGCACTCCAGCCTGGGTGATAGAACTCCGACTCAAAAACAAAAACAAAACAAAACAAAACAAAAGAAAAAGAAAAGCTTGAGAGGAATTTGGAGAGATAAAGATCCTGTTTTTGTCCCCAAAATGTAGGTTTGCCCCTAAAGTATAAATATACCCAATTTAGGTACCAGTGTACCAACAATTGGTAGGTACATTGTTGAAATGTACTGGGAGGCATTAAGTATTAATGATATGAAAGAACTTGGAGAGATGGAAGTAGGAAATTAAGTTACATTTACCCAGAAAAATTGGAATGTGGAATGCATAAAACTTAATGATATCACTGACATGGGAAAATGAAGGGAAAAATATAATTACTTGAGAAATATTTTATTGTAACCCTGAAGATAGTTCTAAAAATCTGTCCTATCCCCTAGTCCATTACCAAATTATGCAAACTATTTTATATATTTCTTTTATCTTTATACACTTTAGGTAATTAATTAATAGGTTTAGTTGAAAGTAAGAGTGGTAGCCTCCAAAATGAAAATAACAGTGCTGCTTACAACTAATATTCTTTAGTTTTTGGCTAACTTCTGTCAGGCCCTAAGCCTGAGGACGTTTTATTTACTCTGTAGTTCTTTAATAATTGGTGAAGTCCACTGGCACGGTCGACTGGCACATTTTCTCTGGTGGGTTGTGCTACTTGATCTCTGTATCTTCTTTATTAGATTGGTTTAATGTACATTTAGTGGCCTGCTGGGCACCTGAGACTATGACCTCTAACATCTCACTCATTTCACCAGAGTGGCTTGGAGACAGACACAGTAGAGTAGAGAAGTAACCAAATGAAGAATTAGAACTAAAGATCCATTTTGTTAATGCTTCCTGGGAAAGTAAATCTTACAATGAAGCTACGTTATAAGCTTCAGTCAGATTCTTTCTTCTGTCTTCCAAATGTTGAGGCATTTGCTTTACTGATACTTGTCTGTATGTACATAAACTCTGGGGCTGTTTTTTTTTAATAAAGCCATGAATAGACATTGGATTCTTCCTATCAGTGTAAAGAATTCTGTTACCTCTTTTGTCCCTCTTCTTGTGGCTACTGCTGCATTTTAACTTCACTCTTTGCTTCTTTGTGTGTGTGTGTGTGTGTGTGTGTGTGTGTTTGTGTGTGTGTGTGTGTGTGTGTTTTGAGATGAAGTCTTGCTCTGTCTCCCAGGCTAGAGTGCAGTGGCGTGATCTCGGCTCACTGCAACCTCCGCCTTGGGTTCAAGCAATTCTTCTGCTCCAGCCCCCCGAGTACCTGGGATTACAAGCACGTGCCACCATGCCCAGCTAATTTTTTGTATTTTTAGTAGAGATGGGGTTTCACCATGCTGGCCAGCCTGGTCTCAAACTCCTGACCTCCTGTTCCACCTGCCTCAGCCTCCCAAAGTGCTGGGATTACAGGTGTGACCCACCGCGCATGGCCCACTCTTTCCTTCTTAAGAGTTCTAGCTTGTCACCACCAGGCTATTGATGGGGCCTTGCTATTTCTAAGAATGCCATTAGGCTGAAAATGAAGGCCATTCTATTTTTCCTCCCAGGAATTCTCATATCTTTACCTTTTATACCTAAACCCTCTTCCCCTACAGACAAAAGCTGCAGGACTGGGCCTTATGATCTGATCAGAAATCAGATAACATCAGAGATTCAAACTCTCTCCTTCAGCTTTCAACACTACAGTTCTGCCCTAAGGCTTGAAGTTGTCACCTTTTACCTCTGTCACCAAAGCAAAAAGTCACTGATAGGAATGAAATGAGAGAAAAGGCATTTGAGCACTATAACTCTTCAGTGGTCATTTTTGTCTCTAGATTTTCAGAAGGGGAAATATAAGGAAACTCCTAAACTAAGTCTAGGAAGCTGGCTCATTTCTCCATGACTAACTGCAACAGGCCATAGGTTTCTAGTGTTGTGGAGAGCAGGGCAGGGCAGGCAAGGTCAGACTCTCTCGTTGTCAGGGTGAGGACATGTGCCCTGTCTCACCTTAGGCTGCTCTTCCACAGGTGGGTCAGGAGCGGGATTCTCTGTGCAGACTGCTCAGTAGGGAAAGGGAGAACACATTGGCCCAGGGGTCTGCACTGTCAGGCCTTGCATTTTTCTCACTGGCTCCAGAATATCTGGAAGAGACAAACATTCTCCCAGTGGGACATTCTGTGAGTAAAAGGACATACGAAACTGCTTCTTTCTAAAAACTCACTGTATTAGGATGCACTTTAATTTTTCATGCTATGTACCAACCTGGCCAGCTTGAGTGAAGCCTTTGGGAAAATGTCTTTTATTCATCCTCCCTCCCACCCTCATTTTTTTTCAAATGGAACACATGCAACACATGCCCTGCCATGGGCTTTTTTAAGCAGTTCCCTCTTGGTCCCTACTGATTTTAGAACTTCCACCCGTCTGTAAACAGTGGATGCTTGGTGGTCACAAACAACTCGCTTTTCCTTTCTCTCTTGTTAAGATGCCCAAGATAGTTCTCCGTCCCTTTTATCCCACTTTTCCCATTCATTTTTAAGTTGACTCCATAGTAGAAAATGATACAAAGAATGAGGTAAATTGAGGGTGCTCATCTCTTTGGCTGCATCTGGTGACTATATTAATCTTATACATTTTTTAAGGTCATTGCCTGACAATAGTTTCAGCTTCTGTCTTTGTTCACTCTGAAATCCAAACTGGAATGGAATGGAAATGTCATAAAGCTTTACTCATTTCTATGGAGGATTTCATAGAATAGGGCAGAATAAAAATAAGTGAAAATTTCTAATTTCCACTTTTTAATTTCTTTACTCTCAAAATCCCAGCTCTTCCCTTTCACACTAAATTGGAAGTCTATTCAATCTCTGTCTGCCTGTCTGTCTGTCTTCTCAATACCTGTCAAAAAATCCATGGAAAGGCTTTAGCATAATGTCTATAATGTTAGCTATTATTATTATTGTTCTTCTGTGTAATAAGAATTATAATAATAATTATTATTACACAATAATTATAATTATTATTATAGCTTTTTGTAGAAATCCTAAGTTGGTTTTATATTAATTCCTACTTCCTGAGGACTTGATTGTGTGTTTACACTATAAATAGTGAATTGTAATAAGGCAGTTGCATACTTAAGCTGAGTAGACTTGCTTCCATGGCAGGAAGCAGTGAAAAAGAACAGTCCTGAATTCCTACAGAAATTGGATGAAATATACTTGAGCTTTTAAAGACATTTTATTCTCTATATTTTATTCCTCTAGACTTTGTGGATTTGAACCATTCTATGATGAAAGAGGCGATCAGTTCATGTTCAGGAGAATTCTGAATTGTGAATATTACTTTATCTCCCCCTGGTGGGATGAAGTATCTCTAAATGCCAAGGACTTGGTAAGTGTAACCAAAACAAAATGAAACAAAATGAAATAAATTTATTTTTAACTAATTAATGGGAAGTACAATTTTTTAAAATTTTACCCATATTAATGCCATATTTTCTTTCAATTTTAAAGTATTTTAATAAAATTAGTTCATTAATACATTTTCCTTAGAGAATAAAAACTAGATATGTTTTTGACTCATCACTAGTTGAATTATCATAAACTACAATTACTACAGTATTAATGAGCTTTTACTACCTTATAAGTATAAAAACCTTGCTTATGAAGAAAGCTGTGCTGGGTGAATTCAAACACAATTTACACAGAATTCTGTTTTAACATGGCTTGCAATTGCCTAGAATTTAGATGTACTTCATTTCTTTTTTGTTTCTTTGTTTTTGAGACAAGGTCTCACTGTCACCCAGGCTGGAGTGTAATGGCATGATCATGGCTCATTGTAGCCTCCAACTCCTGGGCTTAAGCAATCCTCCCACCTCCATCTCCTGAGTAGCTGGGACACAGGTGCATGCCACCACACCCAGCTAATTTTTAAAAGTTTTTTGGAAATATGGGGTCTTGCTATGTTGCCCAGGCTGGTCTCAAACTCCTGCCCTCAGGCGATCCTCCCACTGTGGCCTCCCAAAGTGCTGGGATTACAGATGTGAGCCACTGCACCCAGCCTAGATATACTTCAAGTAAAACAATACTGCTTCCTGAAATTTCATCAAATTTATTAAAATATCCTAATAGTAACGTAAGTCCCATTATGCATCATTGGCATTATAAAAATGTTCCACTGTGTTAATAGTTCATTTTGTTTGTTTGTTTTTACATTGCTTCTCACTTAAGTTAATATTGACATTTGTTTGCATTCAGGAAATCCATACCTTCTGGGGAGGTCACTCACCTCTTATAAAATAAAGAGGATGCTAACATGAGATTGAAACATTTCTCATCAATCCACTAGAGAACAACCACACAGACATAATCAAAAGCTGACTTTTGAATCATAGAAGGTTAGATATAGAAGAGGTCTTAGGAGGCATCTAGTCCTCCTCTCATTTTAAAGATGAGAATGCTAAAGACCAGAGAGGTGAAATGACTGCTAAGGTCACACAGCTTCCCAGCAGAAAGACATTATTAGGGCTGATCCAGTCGTCCAGACTCCCTTTCCTGTGCTCTTTTTTCTTCAAGCATTTCTTCCTTACCCTCTGTGTTCCTTCATGGAACAGATTCCCTAAGGCTCATGGCTTTTCCAGCATGAGTGGGAAGAGAAAGTCAGTGTGTGTGATGTGTGATGTATAAATATGTCATTGCAACTCCTTCCTCAAGTCATACCCCATGCTCCTAAACACCTCTTGAATCCATCCAGTTCTCTCCCCCGGACCACTGCCCCAACCTCCTATCTGACCTCCCTGCCTCTTCTCATGCCTTTCTCAAATACAGTCTGTACAGGATCCAGAGGGATGGTCTTATAAATAAATCGCATCATGTCCTTGTCCTGCTTTAAGAATCTTAGGATAAAATCCAAAACCCATAACAAGATCTACATGACGCTGCCTGGTCTGGGGCCTGCCACTCTCTCCTGTGCCATCACTCACTTCACATCTCTCCCCTTTGATCACTTTTCACTCTAGTGCACCACACTTCTAGTTTCTCATCAGCATAGCTCAGGATATTGCCATGGCTCTTCTGCTCTGTAATGTTCTTTCTTCCTCCCCACCTTCTTCTCCATTACACATAGGCATGTAAACACACACACACACACACACACACACACACACACACACACCCCTGGGTAACTCTTATTCTCAAGCCCCAGCTGCCACTAGATATCCCTTGGGAGGCATGGTCGGCCTTCCCCTTCAGTCCCTCCCACCTATAGTTGGTTCCTTCTGCCAAAATCTTCCTTTACCCCCTGCACTCCCCAGTTCATAACAGTCATCACTTATATATTTAATGGTCCTCCTTAATTAGATTTTAAGCTCTGGGGCAGGACAAAGCGTGTGTACCCAGACCTTAGAACCACATAGGCATATAGGACTGACTCAGTAAATGTTTATTGGATGAAACAATGGATCTGGAAGTACACCGTGAAGTTTCAGAGTCTGACACACCTGGATTTAAGTGCCCCCTTTGTCATGTCCTGGAAGTGTAACCTCAGGCTCATGATCTAACCTTGCTATGCTTTAGTTTTCTCATCTAGGATGATAATTGTACCTATCTCTAGGTCGTTGTGAGAATTAAGGAACATAATATATGTTAAGTAACTAATATCAACTAACTTAATAATAGTAATCTTATTTAGCCCTCCTTCCATTTCTTTTCACCCTTAATAAATATTAAGTGAATAAGAGGGTTAGCTTTGATGTTCCTTCATTCAGCTAGATCCCTTGTTAGTTTATCACTGCTTAAAACTTCAGAACTGGAAGAATCCTTGAGCTCCATAAATGTATACTTACTAGCAAAACCCACATCTGTTGTGTCATCGGCAGAGACTAAGTGCTAAGGAGTTGGGGAATTGGATGTAAGGGGTACTGCAGGGTAATGGCAAGGCTTTGAGTGTGATTATAACCTTCAGAAAGTTTCCTAATAATTCAGTTAGGATTGTTATCAATATCTTCAAATGTAAAGATTAACAATGGTGTATATAAATTTTTGGTGCACATTGACTTTCAATAAATTCTTTGTATTTTTGTGAGGAAGATAGTAATGAGGAGGGAGAGGAGAAAAATGATTGGAAAAGAAAAAGAAAATACCTAATTGTCAAAAATGTTGTAAGGATTAGGGCTCATTTACATAAAATTATTAGTAGTCCTGTTCAACGGATAATAGCCATGACTACTATCAGATTTTTATTTACTACCATGCCTTCTTTCTCTTAACCATCCTACCTTCCTCCATGTCCTCTCAGATTTTAAGCCTAAAGAGCCTCATGTCTCTGCCCACTACAAATCTAGCCCAAACACACATTCTTTTGCAGAAAGGAAGTGAAGAGAGAACCAGATAGTATTTATTCCTCATTTGACTTGCCGCCTGATTTCCTTAGCCTATGTTCACGTCTCCTTAGGTAATTAGAGTTAGAAAAGACCTGAGACCTACAATCATTCAAAGCTCCTTATTTTGCACATGAGCAGGCCAAGGTACAGGGAGATTGACCACCTTGGAGACATCATGCTGTAGTGGCCACAAGATGCGCTCTGACATACACAGACCTGAGTCTAAATACAGGCTCCATCAATTCCAAATTGTCTGACCTGAGGCAAGTCACTAAATCTTTCTGAGCTACCCTGCTTCCCTCATTTATGAATTGGCACTAGTAGTTCCAAATGATAAGGCTGCTAAAAGATTACATGAGTTTTTAAAAAGTTATATATGCATCTAAGAAGCAATTACAAAGGAATTAAAGTGGAAATAAGATTCTGTAAGGAAAGAGCCTGAGGGGGTGTCCACAGGCAATTTATATATTTGTCTATATCTAGGGTCACAAAAGTGGCGAGTGGCATAACCAGGGCTTGAACACACTTCCTGACTCCCAATAGTCTCTGCCTCATATCAGGTCACCCCTACTAAGCCCAGGACTGTGGATTATTTTATTTGCTGACCTTCCTGGGAATTTATTGACTGCCCATCCTCACAAGCAGGGGTAAACCTCCAAGAATGGGCTGCCATTGATTGGATTCCATTCTTTAGGCAAATCATGCCCTCAAGCCACTGACTTCTTGGATTATAAAATGATTTTTAAACTCTGGGCTTAGTCCTTCAAGTACCCTCAAGGGGTTAGAAAGAACTATAAACCCCAAGATAGAAACATAAGGTAGTATTCCATAAGTTCTGGGATACTCTCCCTTTTGTTTGCCATTTAATCCCCACAGAAAGAATGATGATGCATGAATGATTCCATTCTGTTACCATAGAGATGTACTTTAAGTTCTGAATTCTAGGTGATTGTGAAGCGCAGCCCAGAATTATTTTGCTGGTTCTGCCTTCAAAGAACTTCCAGTCCACAGGCAAGTGAGGAGCTGTTTCTTGACTTCTGTTGGAAAGCCGTCTGCCACTTTGGGGGTCTCAGGTGGTACATGGCCCTGTCTTCTCATACTCCCTCAGCTACTGCTACCTGAAGCTGTGCCTACCTACAGTGGCCCCTGAGGACTTAAACAATTTTTTTCTCACATATATTTAGTGGTACTGCTGGGAAATGGAATAAGATCTGGAAGTTTGTAAGCTGAGGGCAAGCCCAGGTCATCCTAAAAACCTCGCTAAGTTTATGGTTCTTTATTATTTCAGGTCAGAAAATTAATTGTTTTGGATCCAAAGAAACGGCTGACTACATTTCAAGCTCTCCAGCATCCGTGGGTCACAGGTAAAGCAGCCAATTTTGTACACATGGATACCGCTCAAAAGAAGCTCCAAGAATTCAATGCCCGGCGTAAGCTTAAGGTAAGATAGCATATATTTTGTTTTGTTTTGTTTTGTTTTCAAAAAATTTATCTCATCTTGATCTATCAATAATAGTTCTACCGTTCTTCATCTAATACTATTATCTATTTCTTAAGGCACCAGGGAAAATCCTGCTTTGAAACTCCAATAAGGCTGACACAAAGCTACTTAAGTTTTCTTATACTCTCATAAGGAATATATGATTAATAAAGGGAAATTTGTTATATAAGTTGATATTTACATATCAAATATATTATTGCTGCTTCTCATCTAATTAAAGTATACTGCTTAAACAGCATTGTTCAGGGAAAACTGATATTTATTCAGAAAGTTGTTTTCTTTCAGAATATGTAAAACTTGGTAAACAATTTTTGAAACTATATTTCCTAATATAGATAAATAATTACTTGACAAAAATTTAAAAATTTAAGTGATATAATAAATTACTTAACTAAATATATCATTTTATATAGTACCTATCGAATAGAGATTAGGAGCTTTTCTATTACATAACTGTGTTTAGGACTAGCTATGTAAGTAGAGGATCTCAGAGAGCAGCTGGGGGTCAGAATTAGGGTCCTATGCAGCCATTGCTTACGGTCTGATACAGACTAAATAAATCTGAAAGGCTCCATGGTCAAATTAATTATAAATACCCCAAATTAAATAGTATTGACTTCACCTAGGATTTCTCCAGCTAGTTTGATCACGGAACTCTTATATCCCCATGATGACATCCATGTGGTAAAAACTACTAACGTCCACAGAACTAGTGTTCCGTAAAACAAATACACCGGGAAACACAGATTAAAATTTTCAAAAATTGGTTAGCCACAGGTAAACACATGTATTCAGGCTTTCAGTTGTCCAGATGATTAAATACACTAATTTGTATTTAATTTGAGATGAAAGAGGTTTTACTGTTCATTCTCCAAATTTTCTTTTGGCAAACAATCTAGGAATAAGGTACTTTGAAAACTTTAACGCTAACCTATAAAACGGAATCCCTAAAAGCAAAGCTGGGGTTGAGCTCTGATGTGGGGTGTTAAAGCAGAGGTAACACTTGACACTCTTCTGTTTCCAATCAGGCAGCGGTGAAGGCTGTGGTGGCCTCTTCGCGCCTGGGAAGTGCCAGCAGCAGCCATGGCAGCATCCAGGAGAGCCACAAGGCTAGCCGAGACCCTTCTCCAATCCAAGATGGCAACGAGGACATGAAAGCTATTCCAGAAGGAGAGAAAATTCAAGGCGATGGGGCCCAAGCCGCAGTTAAGGGGGCACAGGCTGAGCTGATGAAGGTGCAAGCCTTAGAGAAAGTTAAAGGTGCAGATATAAATGCTGAAGAGGCCCCCAAAATGGTGCCCAAGGCAGTGGAGGATGGGATAAAGGTGGCTGACCTGGAACTAGAGGAGGGCCTAGCAGAGGAGAAGCTGAAGACTGTGGAGGAGGCAGCAGCTCCCAGAGAAGGGCAAGGAAGCTCTGCTGTGGGTTTTGAAGTTCCACAGCAAGATGTGATCCTGCCAGAGTACTAAACAGCTTCCTTCAGATCTGGAAGCCAAACACCGGCATTTTATGTACTTTGTCCTTCAGCAAGAAAGGTGTGGAAGCATGATATGTACTATAGTGATTCTGTTTTTGAGGTGCAAAAAACATACATATATACCAGTTGGTAATTCTAACTTCAATGCATGTGACTGCTTTATGAAAATAATAGTGTCTTCTATGGCATGTAATGGATACCTAATACCGATGAGTTAAATCTTGCAAGTTAACACAACGTAACACTTAAAAGCATACATTTTCAGCAACCAGTGGCACATATTTGAAGTGAATAGTAGCAAATTGTTTTTGCTTTGAAAATCTAGCCATCCTACATCCTTTGGATTTCTTCACAAGGCAGTAATTCCTTTGAACTACTGCTTAGCTAATACTAGGTAGTGCTAAAAGACATGTTCCCATAACTTTTACAACATTTTACTTTTTATCATTGATGTGTTCAAACTGTTTACAAGGAGATGCTTATAGATGATAGTTGTACATATGTGCAAAAAAAAATCCACTTGCAATGGTAAGAAATTGAAGTATCCTTAAAGGCCATGAAGCCATATGTCCCTAAAGCCTGTGTGGAGAATGCTTTATTTTATTCTTATTTATATACACTATATTAATAATAACCAAAATGTTCTAAGATTCTGCCATTTTACAACCCTGGAGGAAGTAATTTACAAACTCACGCTGAGTTCCATTCTTTCCTTCACCTGCTCTCCAATAAGATGACTTTCTGATAGACAAAGCTTAGGGTGTAATAAACAGGGAAGAAAAGAAGGTAAGACTGTACTTAAACTGATGAAGATAAGATTGATTCCTTTTCATTTTCCAGATAAAATTGTATTTACTCATGAATTTATACAACTTTACAGATAAGAACATTTTAATGGATAAACTCTATAATTACCAAGTTGCAAATATTTAGAAAATTCTATTTCACAGGTTAGTGCCAAAATGTCTTCATAGAGTAGGAATAATATTCCATTTTAAGATTATTCATTATTGACTTTAATAGAGTAAGAAAACATTATTGTTTATCAAAGCTCTTTTTTTATCCAATTGATGGTTATCTACACATATCACTTATAAACTAAAGTTATTTATGAAAAGCTAGTATGTCTTTTTCTCGTATTTGGAATGAAAGTACCCACATTTTACAATGTAGTGTTGAGAATGTGGCTGCCAATAAATTTAGCACAATGCAATTTATTTACCTTAAAAAACAAACAAAAACAAAAATAAAGAAAAATACTGATTTCAAATCAGACTCTTAAAAAGCTGGAACATTAGACCTGATATTTTATTATGATTTTTCCCAGAATAAGTTTAATTTCTCTTTGACTTTCATAGAAACACTTTCCCCTTATAGAAATTGCACTATCTCCAATTTATTTCTAGTTTGAGTTGAAATGAATATTTTATCAGATTAATTATGTGTCACATTTTTGGTGGGTTTTCTCAATTTTAAAAAAGAATTCATTTTAAAAAATAATTATTTTCAGAGACCAAATAAAGACAATAAAAATGACTATCACATAAAAATCCTTGTTAAAAAAGAGATCTTAAATTATGTTGGCTCTCCCTCAAAACTATTAAATTAGAAAACGAAACTAAAGCTCCAGTTTGTAGAGGCTGTTGGACCTCAGTAGACATTCTTCTTTTCAATCACAAATCTCTCTCTACTACTGTTCTCATGGGAAGAAAACAAGGTAGGACTTCTTATCTTTCATAGTTTAAGAATCTGACAGGTCACTGATATGGAGCCCCTGAAGAAGCACATCATCTGGGCTCAGAAGATTATTTTTTGTTTTGTTTTATTTGTACTATCTAGTAGAGAGCACTTTTCTTATTCCCTCTTTCCTTCCTTCCTCATTTAATTATTCCCTCTCAGAATTCCCATGTTGTCCATTATAAGGGGCTCGCTATTTTTAACCTTTAAGAATGTCTTCTTTGTTAAGCATTAAGATTTCCATTTAAGAGGATCAATTTCCTGTTGTACTTTTTACCATGAGACTGAAACACACACACACACACACACACACACACACACACACACACACGTGTTGGAAGAGCAAAGAGAGGGAAGGGGGTCTTTTTAGAAAGTGGCACTTGGCGCTTAGCTGAAAGATCAGAACACATCATTCCTCCCTGCCCACCCCCATATTGTTCCAAGGGCAGTTGTTACATTATTTCAACACTAGAGTAGGGCGGACTGCATTGTTTGGCCCTGAGAACTATAGAAACAACGTTGCAAATACCATGCCCAATGTGTATTTTAGAATTTACTCATTTAAATGAGTGCATATTACCATTCCTCCATGTGAGTACTCGAGTTGATAATTCCCTCTATCTTTTTAAACCCATAAACTACATTTTTAAAAAAATCAATGGGAGTTTTAAATTTTGACTCATGTTAAAGATAAGATTCTGATAATGACTATATAGTGACTAATTTCATTGTTTCAGTAGGAAACAAATCAAACTTTCAAAAATGTTGGTCATTTCAGTCAAATTATTCAAAGATTTCATATACATACATCCTAAGTTAGGATAATTATGTTAACATTTTTGAAAGAACAGCCAATGTTTATATTGCTTGTTAAAATGGAATGTATTGTCTATCTCAAAGATTACTTAGCTAAATAATAGTAGACAAATGGAGATTTAATTTCACAAAATACTTCATAACATCACTCCTAATTGGCAATATAGTCACAAAGCAAAAGAATTCAAATTTCAGCAAACAATAAATTACATTTTACATTTTAGAGCTAACACTTATCACATTACATTATGGGTTTTTATTTTGAGATAAGTTCAGCTACATAGCATAAACTAGGTTTTTTTTTATAACCATGAAGGACAGTCTTGAATTATTTCCCCCATTAACAAAGTCTAATTGGAATCCAGTATTTTTTCTCAAACTGTAATTTCACTTGTCCCAGGACACATAAATAGGTAAAAATTAGAATAATATCGTGGTAGAAGTTAATTGTCCAGAACAAGTGCATTATATAAATATAATGCAAGCACATGTCATTTAAGATTTTCTATTAGTCACATTTTAAGAAAAATAGATGAAAGTATAGTATTTTTAATCCAATTCATCCAAATTATTCTATCGATATATAGTCAATATTAAAATTTAATGTGATATTTTGAATTCTTTATTTTTATACTGTTTTCAAAATCAAGAGTGTATGTTAGGCCTTTGGGACATCAAGTGCTCAATAGTCACATGTGGCTAGTGGCTACCATATTAGACAGCACTAGTCTAGAGTACTTTTTATTTTAAGCAAAGTGACACTTGAAGTTCTATGCTTAGATTTAAGTGGCCTCAGTTTTCACATTGAGGAGCTGGTGGGAGGCCACAAAGAAAGTGTTTCAGAAATGTTACACACTGAGTAAAAGCTTATTGACCACTCCTGCCCATTCATTTACTTCAGAGGAGAAATGATTCCTAACATGACTTCAAAGAACGGGCATTACTAAATTATCTACTGACCAATCCCTCTGATTCCTGATGGGCCCTGGAGTCTTGACTACAGCCTAGAGTCTCCTGAGTACTGCCATGATGCCAATAGCATTCTTGCTTACCAAAATCTACTCTCAGCCAACTATGTGTCTTCATTCAGGAAGAACTGCACATAGAATCTGATTTTGAGGCCTGGATTAAGCTTCATGCCATCCTTGTATCACAGGCAATATGTCTTTCTGGAAATCTAATGAACCATACCAAATCTGCATGATGAAGATTGTGTAATGATGGTGATATCATGCCAGTTATCCTCAAAGTGGGAATATGACCATTAGCTGGCATTTTTTAAGATTTCCTTAGAAGGGTTTAATCAACACTGCCATTACACATGGATTTAACAAAAGACTTTTGAAAATTTTTTACATACTGATTTTAGAATAATCCTCAAGGTTCTATAGTCATTTTTAGTGGAAGACTTAAAAAGAAAGGAACAATTTTTACTGTGACTTCAATTTCATAGTATTTTAAACATATTTTGTAATTCAGAATGTTTAGCAATCCCTATGTCCTGTTTCACATGCATGGTAACTGATGGTGGGTTGCCTACAGGCTGAAGATTTGGAGAGAGCCATTTTGTTTCATAAATCAGTTTTTATTGCACAGAAGCAGCTGGTTGTATTTCAAGTTGGAAAAAGAAAAGTAAATGCCAGAAAAGGCAAAGGATAAACTTAGTAAGCCATTTATTTTGTTTTAGAATTGTTTTTGCAAAGCAAATTTTTTTAAAAAAAGGTCAACAAAGTGAATCAGCACTAGCATTTTCTTGATGGTTGACTCAATGTATAATTAACAAATATACATAGCAGAGTCAATTAATCATAGTGCCATTATGTCACTTATTTGTCATTGCAAAGTATTCAGTCATGTTGTCTAGATTTACTTTAGATGGTGCAAAATTTCCAGATAGTAACCTATGTAAAAGGATTTGTAATTTCCTTGTAATTCCTGCCTATTAGTCCATATTCTGATTTCCTTATGTTCATCACTGATATGTTCCTGATCAGGGTCATTGCTAGTAGTTGAGCATTTACTGGTTGAACATTGTTTAATGGTTAGATGTTATGTGTGTCTGCATTTAAAAAAATTGTGTACATGTTATTTCACTATTGGTATTACAATATTCATAACCACATGATAAACAGAAATGTACCCAATAATTTCCTATAAAATTTTTCAAAGTCCTTTTATTCCCCTGACACACTCAGGGTGAATTTTTGTCTCCTTGGCAAATAAGAAAAAAAAGGAGAGAGACCACTGGAGAGATATCAGCAAACCACCCACAGTAACCAAGTTCAGTATTTCCTCTTTCTATATTTTGACCAATATATTAAGAGCAAATTTTGTCATTATTACTCCTTGTGGCTATTACCTGAGATCAGATAATATAATCTCAGCTCATAAAGCTTGGCCATGTCTATACTTATCTTGGAGAGCAATAACAAACTTGATTAATTTGTTTGGTTATTTAAAATTCCAACTTTCATAAATGCTCTGTGATGTACTCAAGACGATTGGGTTGTGTGATACTAACTTCCTTCAAGAACTCAGTCTGTTCCCTGTTGTCTGGTTCAGAGGTCCACCAGGGCAAAATAGAAGCCTTGCCGAGAAAGTGAACTGTCTTACTCCTTCAAAGGAATCAGATGTTGCTCTAGAGAAGACTCCAGGCATCTACCTGGTTGAGCTCAAATGAGGCAAGTGGGAGAAAACCTCTTCTCATCCTCTGATTGAAAGTGATACAATTTGAATATTGGTATATTGTCATTGGTCAGTAATGGAAAAATGAGATTCCACCAGTGGGTTACTCTTTTCTTGTCTTGGTTTGCTATGCCTTATCCCAGATCAGTGTTTTGTTCCATCCCTATGGTCATCTCTAAAGCCCTGACAGGAGCATCCCAGACTGGAGAAATGCAGCGTATCTGTGGCCCAGAATTTTGTTTGATACTCTAAACAGCAATGCAAAGACTGCAAAATCACACTATTCTAAACAGTTGTTTTCAGCTCATTTTGAAGATTGACCTGGAAAACATATAGATACAGAATATATACATTTAATCGTTGCTTGTGATTCATTGTGTCAAAATAACATTTAATTTTCACTCTGATTAATCTTTATTTTCCATTTAAAAGATTATTTCAGGCTACTTAAATACAAGACCTTGCATTCTAATTTTTGAAAGCGGTTGTTTTCCCTGAGCTCTCTCTCAACTTTGACAGTTTGTGAATGATAAAAAGTTACTAGGTTTGTCCTTTCCTTGATAGATGTAGAGCAGTTCATCTGTTTTGTAAAGGTACAGTTAAGCATAACTATAGGCTGGGCGTGATAGTTCATGCCTGTAATCCCAACACTTTGGGAGGCCGAGGTTGGCAGATCACCTGAGGTCAGGAGTTTGAGACCAGCCTGGCCAACGTGGTGAAACCCCTAATACAAAAATTAGCTGGGCATGGTGGCACGCTCCTGTAATCTCAGCTACTCAGGAGGCTGAGGCAGGAGAATCTCTTGAACCCGGGAGGCAGAGGTTGCAGTGAGCCAAGATCATGCCACTGCACTCCAGCCTGGACAACAAGAGCGAAACTCCGTCAAAAAAAAATATATATATATGACCATAAATTGAAAACTATCATCTCATACTGCCTCCTTTTAACCTGACCTATTTTATATACCTACAATACAGTTAATATGCAGCAGCGTAGAGAACAAATAGCATATTCATAATTTGTAATTTTGTTTTTCTTTTTACGGCACCCTTAAGTCTCAGTAATATTTTAAAAGTCCTCTATAAGCCAAAAGAACGTTGTAACATATCCATTTATTAAGGAGTTAGGCCTAAACATAGTAATAGTAGTCCATTCCATGTCCAACAGATGTTGCTGTGTTTCTTTCAACATTTTTCAATGTCTTGTGAGTTTAGTGAGTGGGTACAGCTGAGTTGGGGTTTAGGTGATTTCTTATGCCCAATGAACTAAAGGTATCAGTAAAAGATTATTAGTAAACAAATTAGTTATTTATGCTCTTACTTGAATGTCAGTCATTCATTTTATCTCTCGTCTTTGAGATACACACATTAAAACTTATGTGCATATTTTTTTAAAGAGTAATTTCCACATAATTCCCCAAGAACTGAACTCAAATCTCCAAAAATTTTTCAGAACTCAAGCAACCAATGATTCACAGAGCAAATCTACCAAAGCCCCATTTTTATTGGAACACAGGCATGCTCATTTATGTACATATTGTTTGTGGCTGCTTTTATGTTGTCAAGGCAGAGTTGAGTACTTTCAACAGAGACCATATGGACTGCAAAGCCTAAAATGTGTATCTGGACCCTTACAGTAAAACAATGACCCTGGGTTTTCATGGCACCCCAATGCCTTTTTGGTGACTTGCAGGAATACAGATTCCTATATTCCAGTTTGTTTTTTTTTTTTTCTCCTTAGCTTAAGGTTCGTATTCCCATTTGCTTCTGAGAAAGTTAGGAAAATTTTGTTTTATGTTGCAGATGCTCTCACAACAATAATTGTGCTGGAGATAGATACAACTTAGTGAAATTTTCCTACAGAACTAAAAACGCAAAATTGCATCACTCCTGAAGAAAAGAAATTTAGAGTATGAATTGAGTTGGTTGAGAGTAGAATTAAAAAGATTTCTAGCACTTTGAGCATGTTTTAGAAATTTGATCCTTACATTTAAAATTATGTAAATGACATCTTTCACTGGCATTTGCTCACATTTAAGTCAATCTACAGCTGTTACTTACTAAGCTAAGAAATAAGAAGATCCCTATGGTTCTGAATCTCTCATAATATTCTGAAGTAATTTATATCAATTGAATTTTCATTAATCATTTTAGGAAATATTATGTTTTATTTTGTGGCATTATATGACAATGACTTTCTCAACAATAGCTCAGGGAATACGCAAACAGCCAGCTCTTTTATGTAAGAAAGCCATTTTCTAATCCCCACGCTTTCCTGAGTGTTACGTATTTTATTTCTTTGAAAAGAGAGGGCCTTGAGTAAATGCTTTCGTTTGCTTTCCTTACATATTTAGAAATCCAAGAAGGGCCCTTGTCTTAGTCTATTTCTGTCACAGAGAAATTGTTCATTCCAAAATATCCACCTTAAGGGAAGCTAGTGACCGAGATATGGAGAAAAACATAGGCATTCATGACCTTTGTGTTTCCGTTTGACTTTCAACATCTGTAACCAAAAGGTCACAAATGAAATATTTAGTAGAAAGTGCAATATCAATTTATTAGGAGTACCTAAAATTATAACTCTAAATAATATACAGCAATATTATTGCTCTATTATTACAGCAATCAATAATATAATATAGCCACTAGGATACACTCGCTGTAGAACTCAGAACAAAAGATATCAATCTTCTGCCAGTCCGCATCATTATGTGTAGCAGAGACTTTACTGGAATGAGTGAGGGGAAAGATAACAAAATGTAGATTAGGATTCCACATTCTCCCCTGCCCATCTTCTTGATTGCTCAGTTTGAAGACGATCATTGATGGACAAATACTTTAGAAATGAATGAAGTCAATAGCTAATGTTTCTCCCAGAAACTAAACAACATAGTTTAGGGGATATTAGGCCTACATTCTAATCACATTGTAAGGAAGTGATTTTCTAATTTTGAAGCTTCCCAGGAGCAGCCCCCTCCAGGAACAATTTTCCCTGTGAACTTTCACTGAGAAACTATTATATGCCATGGAGGAGTCAAAGATGAATTAAATCCAATGCTATCCTCCAGGAGTGAGCTTTGTAGTTGGAGAGAAAAGCCAACCTTATAGATACAACCTGTACATATATAACCTATGCTGCATTTAGGCAGATGATAAGCCCTAGGAATGGAAAGAGGGAAAAGCTCCCTTTTGCCAGGAATGATGAAGGAAAGCTTTATGGAAACACAGGCTGTATGTGAAAGATGGGTGAATCTTTGCAGGTAGGGAAGAAGTAGGGGGCATGTCTGGCTGAGAACCGGCCTGATCATAGAGTGGAAAAATGAAAGGCAGAGGTGAAGGAAGAATACTAAATGTGAAAGGCTGAAATACACAGGGAAGTGTTGCCAGTGTGCAACAGAATCTCATCTCGTGCAAAATTGAATTAGACTTCCTTACTCCTTCCTTACTCTGGGTAGGTCCATGTGCAGCCTTTCCTCAGAGCATCTAGCCTGACATACTTGGCTCATCTGCTGTGCTTCTAAGCCAAATAAAAATCATCAAACACATCGAAGATATTTTTGGGAGTCACCAGGTTAAAGCAAAGCCTCAGTCACTGAAAGCAAAAACTGAATTGGCCAGGTCTCCACTGACAAAACAGAGTAAATGATAGTATGACAGATAATTTCAAGTTTTCCAAGACTCCAATTTCTGAAAAATGTCTCATGACTCCAAAAAATCACGTACTTCCTAAAATGTTGCCAGTGGAGGACCGAATCAAGGTTATTGCTGACCTCATTTTTTCAACCTTTTCAGTTATTTGACCTGAATAGGCAATCCCCCAGGATTTCTGATTGAATTCTACCTGAAAGTTTAGATTTTAAAAGACAACCTGTAGGAAGCTAAGTCTCAGGCAACAAAATTTAAAACCATCAGAACTTGTTTCTCCAAACATCAACCTGCTCCTGTCAAGTCCTTTTTCATCTCTCCCTTTTGTCCCTTTACATACTGTTTTGTAAGTTCCTTTTGATATCATTTATTGCAGGCAGTATTTTTACATCCATCTTCAAGAAACTTGGGAGACATTTAGACATTTAGTATGTGTACTTTTAGTTGTCTTGCCTCTTTATTTCAGATAATGCCTGTGATTAGTGAATGGCGGCATTATTCCTGAAGACAAATGAAGGAAGATAGGGAGCAAGATTGACTGTCATTTGAATGATGGAAGAGAAGTAGAATTACTGTGAGGTTACAAAAATCGTAAGTTAGCAGACATTGAGAAAGGAAAACTTCCTACTTGGGCTTTTCAGGCTTATGTGACATTATCTGGATGTGTTTTCTAGTCTTTCCTAAAGGAGAAATTTTTATTCCTGGGTTGCTGAAAGCTTTCTGGACTAAAAGGATATAAGCAGCTCAATAGCAGCATAGAGGATTAGATTAATGGAACAGCACTGCATACAGGAAAGCTACATCTCCAATAGTTTAGGCTGCAAGTCAGTAGCCAAACACAAGAGCATGTAAGATTTGGAGGACAAAGTATAAATATTTTAAGTTTACACAACCAAGATTATAGGCTACCTTCCCAACTTCTAATTTGAAGAGCACTGAAAATGGAGCTGTGAACACTTCATTTTTAAAACCTGACAATATGGTGCTATTGACTACTTAATACAAAGATATATTACAATATTTTTAGGTAAATGTATTAAGTCTGGCCTGGGCATAAATGTACATACAGAAAATGTTTGTAGAGAATTCATCAAAATCATGCCCATTTGCTGTTGTAGAGCTACAGTATTCTTCAATGGTGGTGACTGACCAGTGAGTTTCTACTTCTTACAGATGGGACACAACAGTCATGGGCTGTCTCAGCTGCCCAAAGCCTGAGGCAGACCACATGAGAGCTGTGGCTTCTTCTTGGATTCAGGTTGGATAACCCAATTCAGTAATTAAATATGTAAATTTTGGGGGGGGTTGGGGGGTGTTTTCTAGGAACTTGAAGAGTACGTGACATTATAAAAAATGGGTGTTGGAAGACTAATTGTAGAAATTTGACCTGAGGGCCAATGTTACTTGGTGTAAGTTCACTCAGACAGACATGTCAGAACATGCCCAAAGAAGCCTATATCTTGCTGCTGGGAAATGTAAAGCAGTTGGCATGTAGAATACGATAATAAATCATTTAAGAAACCACCAAAACTTTGCATTCTGTGATTTCAAATGTTACCACAATTCAAGAGAGACACCATGGACATTTTTCTTACACCTGAAATGTGCAGTTGAATCACTCCTTGAGTGTTTTCCCATTCTCTCAGATAAAATTATACTTTGAGTTTCATAGCCTTTTTTTTAACACTGAGTGCTCACATATTTTCTGTTGAGTAAAATTATAAAATCACTAGAGTTAAAAGAGGATATTAGTAATCATTTAATCCAATAAGCTCACTTTATTAAAGAGAGCTATTATGCCCAAGAGAGGTAATGGCTTACCTAAGGTCACAGTGGCTGAAGAAGGAATAGACCAGGGTTGCCCAGCTCCTAGTCCAGTGCTCTCACTACCATTCAGGCTGCTATAATAAAATACCATAAACTGGGTGGCTTATCACAATTTATTTCTGACATTTCTGGCACAAGTCCAAGAACAGTCCTGCAGGTTTGGTATCTATGAGTGCCTGCTTCCTCACAGAGGATGCCTTCTTGCTGTGTCCTCATATGGCAGAAGGACCAAAGCATCTCACTTGGGCCTCTTCTATAAAGGTACTAATCACATTCATTAGGGTTACCTAATCAACTCTCAAAGCTTTTAAAACCATTATCTTAGAGGTTAGGATTTTAACATCTGCGTTTTAGGGGAACACAAATATTCAAACCATAGTACCAGATGTTTTATTAAATGAGGAAAGTAACTCCCTGCTTCACAGTCATATTTTCTATTACATACTTACCACAGCATCCCTAACTGCCTTCTTATAACATAGATCGTGGGTGTCCTTGTAATCACTTTTAGTTTTTTTCAATTCCAAACAAAATATCATAATTCCTAATCAAGGTAACACAATTATTTCAACATGTGTACAATAAATCCTGTCCATAATTTACAAAGGCACAATATATTATTTGTTCTGAATATATAATAGCAAATAAAGTTTCAGCAGTATTGTATAACAGCTAATATTATATGAGACACTGGCAGGAGAGATCAGCATGTGTGTTGTTAATTTGACTTTCCAGGTTTATATTTTCCTTTTGTAAGAATTCAGGAAGTTAAATTACATACTTTAAATTCAGGCATATGAAACTAAATAGTACTTAATGTTAAATTACAAAGATAATATCAATGACCAATTTTAAGAGTGTCTACAAATTTTTATTTTGTTTCATACCAATTTAAAAATAAATACATATTTTATTGATACTAATACATATTATTAGTTTAATAAATATTCTAGTTTTACATATTGGTTCACAAAAGAATTATATAAACTTCTTAAAAATAAAATCTATACTATAGCTTTTATTGAACTGCAAGAGATGAATTTTAATATTTAACTATACATGTAAAATCCGTAAAAACAATACAATAATTTAAAAATTATAGTTCCAACTTCCTGTTTTTTGAAATTATTCTGATGTTTCTTCTACACTCAAGTCCCAACCTTCTCTACTTCTAGAAGTTGAATAAGAAAGACATGGAAGATACAGCAGGCAGGCAACACAGGTTCTAGGGGAAACCTGATCAAGCCCTTAGCTTCTCTAGTTCTGTTGATTTCTCTACAGGGTAGGGATCACTACAGTCCCATTTAATTAAAAGAAACTGGATTTAAAACACCTGATTCTAAGGACGGTGGTACACTCTTGAGAAAAGAGTTAAAGCTTTTATTTGTATGAAAGGCAATTACTCAGCCCTAAAAGCTCAACAGACAATTAAGGGCTTAAATTATACAATGTTTTCCCATCTTCTCCAGATACAACCTCAATTACATAGTTTTTTAGCTTGAGATATTAATTGAATTCAGCATGATTGTTGATAAAATGCCCTTTGGTTAGAAAAGGAGGAGGAGAGAGAAGGGAGGGGAAGGAAAAAAATTCTATTAACTAGGAGATGTTGTACAGATAGAAATCTACAATTTCAAATATATCCAACCTGAATGAACACTGAAATAAAAAGATTTTTAAGATTTACAAGCTCCCTAGTACTTTAGCAATTTATCTTATAGATTAGTTAACTACAGAATACTAGATTCTCATTATTTTTTTTTGAGTACTGTTTTAAACTTTAAGGGTTAACTAAGAGTTATCAACACAAACTAATATTTCATGCAAAAGTATCACTTTTATAATAATCTTTTTCTTGTATGAAACTAATTTCCTTAAAAAATAGCTACTATATACTGAAAACAGTATTATGCCAAATATTTCCCACATACACAAGTTTCTAATACGTACTACCTACAAGCTACAGAATAGTCAACCATTTAACAAGAAGGCAGATTATATTCTTTCATTTCACCAACTGCCATATCAAAAGTTACTTATCTTTGAAGGAAAATATTTGCTGGCAATAATTTTATCTCATTGACAACTGATTTATATCTAAAGTTTAGATGTCCTATTTATCAAGCAATGAAGGCTCTAGAGACTAACAAAGATTTCCATTTAAGATATTATTCCGTATTATTGTCTATTTCATCTTACTACAAGACAAATTAATAAATATGCTATAGGACTGTGCTATTCAATACAGTATCCACTGGCCTCATGTGGCTAATGAGCACTTAAAATGTGGCTTGCCCAAATTTGTAAAATGCATACCAGATTTCAAAAAATTAGTACAAGAAATAGTACAAACTATCAGAATAAATCTTTACATCAATTACATGTTAAAATGATAACATTTTGGATGTATTGAGTTAAATAAAATATTAAAATTAACTTCAGCTGTTTATTTTTATTTTTTAATGTGGCTTCTAGAATTTTTTAATTACATATATCACTTACATTATTGTTCTATCCTACAGCATTGCTATAGAAGCAGCGGACTCAATTATTTATGTTAATATCCATCCCAACCCACATCATTAAGCTTTTTTATCATTATAGTATGAGATAACATATTTAATACATGATCACAAGATTCCTGAGCTTAGAATCATGAACACCTCCACTCTTAAAAATGAAACCAAACATAACCTGCTGTAATTATCCTGGCAACAGTGATAAACTTTAGATTTGTGTTAGGTATGAGTCTGCAAAAAAGACAAAAGGAATCTTTTGGAATGATGGAAACGTTCTAAATCCAGATTGTGCTGATGGCTGCATAGTTCTACATATGTATTAAAACATCACTGAATTAGATACTTAAAAGTGGGTAAATTACATAATATGTAAATTATATATCAATAAAGCTGTTTTTGTTTTTTTAAAGTACACAGCTAGAGCCCAGCAGATCTAAGGGGCCATCTAGAAGCTGCACATACATTTTAGGTGATTCAAACATAATTTTTAAATTCATCATTCTCACAGTGAAAATGTTTCCATGAGGGTAATTTTACCTAGAGTGGGTCCATGTTTAACGGTGAATTATGTAATTACTTATTGGAGGTATATGTTGATAAGGACAAAGAGAGCACTAGAGTAGAGATAGTGGGCAGTTTATTTGCTTTTAGGGACATCCAGTTCAGGAAATAATAGCCCTTATAGTAATGTGTACTATCTTGTCACAAATCCCTTACTCAAGTTAGGCACCTTTGGAATTTCACCATCCTAGATAGAACAGTAGAATATGAGACTTCCTACTCTACGCTAATAAAAACAAATAAAAAATAGATGAAGTCAAAACTAACATTTACCAATTTCCATGAGAAACTGAAACTAAACTACTGAGTTTTCTTTCACTATTGCAGAACAAAAAAAAAGAAGAAACCTAGTAATTCAAAAGTACATTCAATTTAGAAAAGGATCCTGGTAATTAATAAATCATTAAGAATATAGAATCCTTTGTGCATTCCTTCTGTCAGATCTTGATCAATCTAGATACTATGAGATAATTCACCATGAACATTGTGCTGCTGCCACCTTTTGTTTTTTGAAATCTATCATCACCAGTGGCAAAAAATAAATAAAAACAAAAGCAAAAAACAGCTCCACTGTTCCACTTTGTCAAAATGGGTATGAAGAACTTTGATTTATTCTTTCTTTACACTCAAGAAAACACAATAAAGTAAAACACAGATCAAACTACCATGCACTTGAAACACTATGTACCTTTCTGCATTTCATGTCTTGTTTAGCATGTATTTCAGGGCTCACTTTACCCATATTAACAACAACAAAACAGTAGACACAGGAATACTAACACATAAACAACTAACATTAAACACGGAAATGGATTTCGAGATGTGTGCATGTACACAAAAAAATATATACAAAGATTTGCCTGGATACCTGAATTGCCTCAAGTTCCCATTTTAGAAGTAAACTAGATGGAGAGTTCAAAACCCAAAGTCATTTAGAATGTGAAAATCATTTAGAAATTCTCACTTAAGGCACCCACAGAATTAGGGGACCCACAATACTCAATTCTAATCATTATAAAATGATATCTAGGCACTTGGGTAAATCTAAGACTGTATTTGTTCTAGTTACAGACTGATGCTTTTAAGAGTCTCAAGATAAGTCTTGGACACCAACTGAATTCCACATTTTAAATTGGGGCCAGGCATGGTGGCTCACGCTTATAATCCCAACACTTTGGGAGGCTAAGGTGGGGAATGACTTGAGGCCAGGAGTTCAAGACCAGCCTGGGCAACACAGTGTGACCACATCTCTACAAAAAATTAAACAAAAATTAGCCATGCATAGTGGCGTGCACCTGTATTCCCAGCTATTCAGGAGGCTGAGGTAGAATAACCCCTTGAGCGGTCAGATCAAAGCTGCAGTGAGCTGTGATCATACCACTGCCCTCCAGCATGGGCAACAGAGTGAGAGCCTGTCTCAAAATTTAAAAAAAAAAAAGTGAAAATGCCCTCTCTTAGATAGCTATTTACTTTAGGAATAAAACCAAACATTGTACTAGTGAACCAAAAACATTTCAAATTTTTCTACCGGCTATGCAGAAAAGTGGAATCAATGATTTTTACAGGCCATGTAGCTGAGAGAGTTGATCTGTAGTACTACAAGTTTGAATGTATTTTGCCTCTCATAAAGCTTTTCGTAAATCACCATAGAAGTTGGTTAAAGTGCTTGCCATGGCTGTATCTACCGCAGACTGAGGAATCATCCCACGCAGATCTGTCTGAATATATCCTGTCAAAAGACTCTGGTTTGGGTTGTCTTTAAGTGGAACACAAAACCAACCACAGGGATGGTTATATCCTCGAACAAATTCTGGTCTCTTTTCATCCCAGTCAAGACTTATTCCTATAAGGCAATTTTTAAAATAGCACTATTAATAGCAATAACTGACATAAAACTCTCATTTTAAAATATTACCAGAATTCTTATTTAAATATTTATTATTATCCATATAGATGAAAATTAAATCCCAAAGTGACCATGGCAGAGTGAAAAAGAGACTTACCAAGGAGAATTCTGACAAGAGGTTGGCAGATAGGTAATGGGGAAACTTTTAATCCTTTCAGAATACATGACATCATATCATCTTAGTACTCCTTGGAAGCTACAAATCTTGGTTGTAGTATCCAGGCCTTGAGGTGCCAAAAATCAAATCCATGGTACCGTAACTATTCCCCACAGCGACTACCATATTATAGTTTGGTACTGGCTAGTTAAGAATAAACAAGTAGATGTTTACTTACAACTGCTAACTTAAGTATACACTATATACAAAATAATATTAATTTACCTATAGGTACGTTTTAGAAAACAGGAGCCTTCCAATGGCAGTATTTTTAATCTTGAAAAGAAAAATACAACACAGCTCAAGGAAGGAAGAATATTCTAAGACACACCAAATCTAGTACTTCTCTGTGTATGACCAAGAAACTGTTTTCTGAGAGTGGCTTAGAAGAAAATCCATTTACTAGAACCCTTTCTTAGAGGCAGTCATGTGATCCACATTTGCTACCTCTGACCTAGAGGATACTGTGTAACTGGGAACAAAAACTTATCAGAAGGGTTTCAAAACTCTTTTGATATTGCTATTTTACTCCCTAGAGTTTAGCACTTGCAAAAAATGTTAGTGATTACAGAGTCAGAGTTGAAAATATATCTCACAAGGAAAGAGACATCCAGCCAAGAAAACACAAATATTTAAACCATACTGAAAAAAAGCATAACATGTTGAGATTATTACCACAAGATAAAAGCCCTTCTTTATAGCCCACAGTATAGGAGAAATCAACAAATTCTCTTGGGGAAATTATATTCCAAAGCTGACCAGCAGTAGTGTAACGCATCACACAGCAATTCTGAAAAAGAAGAGATAAGACAAGTGTTACTACTATAGGAAACATACATAGCTTCATATATCATAAACTTATCTCTGGAAAGAAACTAATATTTATTTAAAATGTTTCATAATTATAATAATTCTTACACTGATTCTGACAGGTCTAGATCTCTATTCTAAATCTCACTGCTATTGGATGGCCATGAAGAAGATATATAATCAAAATACAGAGGTACAAGTTATCCAGTATCCAAATATCTAATTAAATGCAGTTGTCTTATTCTACATAACATTCCAAATGGAATTAGGGATGTAGACTGTTTCAGTGTTTAAGATCAAATCCACAAATACTTTGACTGCAACATCAAACATTTTAAGTAAAAAATTCAAACATTAAGCAATGAATTAATAAAAATAGAAACAGGGCAGGTCATTTTGGCTATATAATTTTAGAATATCTAAGGTGGCATTTTTATCTTTGGTCATTGATGTTGGCTTAGTATTAATGGAAAAGCTGCACACATTCACCTAGAAACCTAAATATGATGGTGGTGTTTTCAGAATTTTAGATTTCAGAATCTTAACTAAAGTTTTACAATGAAGGATGCTGAATATAGTTTTAAGCAGCAAGGGTATAGGTACTGTGGAAAAGAAACTCAGTCTAACACTCATTAATTAGTATGAGGAAACACAAACTTTTTAAGAGGCAGCATGGGACTCCCCTGTGATATCTTTGTCGTGACTGCTATTCTCAAAGCAATGAATATAAGTGTGTACAAATGCTCATGCTCACATGCTCTGGCTCACTCATGCCCTCCCTCATGCACATACACACAGTCTAAAGTAATGTTTCTAAATAGATACCTCTTCAAAGTTCTCCAGAATATCCAAAGAAGTCATCAAGCTGTCCCAATCCAAACGACAAGGCCCTGGGCGTATATGGTCTATTATACTATAGACAAGGTCATCTATAACACCTTGGGCTTTGTAGCTGGAGAAAAAAAGTTTAAGTCAACCGCTGTTACAATAAAAAAATTTCAGCATACCCTTATAGTGCATAGCTAACTTTGAAAGTAAGGAAAAAAATTAGGCCGGGTAGGGTGGCTCATGTCTGTAATCCCAGCATTCTGGGAGGCTGAGGTGAGTGGATCACTTGACGTCAGGAGTTCAAGACCAGCCTGGCCAACGTGGCAAAAACCTGTCTCTACTAAAATTACAAAAATTAGCCAGGCATGGTGGCATGCGCCTGTAGTCCCAGCTAGTTGGGAGGCTGAGGCAGGAGAATCACTTGAACCCCGGAGGTGGAGGTTGCAGTGAGCCAAGATCATGCCACTGCACTCCAGCCTAGGTGACGGAGTGAGATTCCATCTCAAAAAAAAAATAAAAATAAAAGAATAAAAATTAGTGAAGGGTGGGCCAGGCATGGTGGCTCATGCCTGTAATCCCAGCACTTTGGGAGGCCAAGGTGGGCAGATCACCTGAGGTAGGGAGTTTCAGACCAGCCTGACCAACATGCAGAAACCCAGTCTGTACTAAAAATACAAAACTATCCAGGCATGGTGGCTCCTGCCAGTAATCCCAGCTACTTGGGAGGCTGAGGCAGGAGAATCGCTTGAACCTGGGAGGCGGAGGTTGAGGTGAGCCGAGATCACGCCATTGCACTCCAGCCTGGGCAACAAGAGTGAAATTCCATCTCAAAAAAAAAATAATAATAATGAAGGGTTTTTTTTTTTCTAAAGGGAATAAATCCCAATAACTTTTCTGATAAATTACATTCTACCGGTTACTGTTATCAGCATGTACCCTTCGTCCTCAAATCTAATAAGAGAACTGAGGGCTATACTACGTGTCATAATGAAGATAATAAAGTCCCTTCATGTAATAACATAGCCAAAAACAGTTTATAGAATGCCATAAGGTTTCCACTTATTTTTATATTCTTTCCTCAGTTATCCTCTGACATACTAGTACATGAATATTTTTACCCTGACTTTTTAAAACTTTTTATTAGGAACAGAGAAATAGGCCAATAGAACAGAACACCAAGGAACTGACTCATAAATATGTCAGAACTTGACATATTTCAAAGGCAGCATCACTTATCAGTGGGGAAAAATGTACAATTCCATAAATGGTGTGCCTAGATTCAATAGTTATCCTTATGGAGAAAATAAAACTTAGATTCCTATTTCTACCACTCATAATAATTAATTCCAGATAAATTAAATATCTGTGTAAAACATGTAAAATGGGCCAGGCGCGGTGGCTCATGCCTGTAATCCCAGCACTTTGGGAGGCCGAGGTGGGCGGACCACGAGGTCAGGAGATTGAGACCATCCTGGCCAACATGGTGAAACCCCGTCTCTACTAAAAATACAAAAATTAGCTGGGTGTGGTGGCGCATGCCTATAGTCCCAGCTGCTTCGGAGGCTGAGGCAGGAGAATAGCTTGAACCAGGTAGTCGGAAGCTGCAGTGAGCTGAGATTGCGTCACTGCACTCCAGCCTGGCGACACAGCGAAACTCCGTCTCAAACAAACAAACAAAAAAACACATAAAAGGAAAAACTTTAAAATTTTGAGAAAAATATACAAGATACCATTTTTGTGACCTCAGAGTACAGGGGGATTTCTTGAATATGTAAAACACAGAAAAACACAAATAATACAAAAGATCAATTAAAATTAAAAACATGCATACCACACAAGAAAAAATAAGTCATTTTTTAAAACTAGCCACACACTGGGAGAAGGTAGTATAACACATATAAACAGAGAATTATTATACAGGATATATGAATAACTCCTATAAACCAATGAGAAAAAGAAAATCCAAAGAAAAGATGTGCAAAGGACATGGTAAGACTGACCTGAAATGTCAAGAAATATACAAAAGATTTCAACTTCACTAGTAATCAAGTAAATACTAACAAGAACAATCTGATTAATACCTCTCAGACTGACAGAGATTAAAAACTCGTAAGTAGTGAATGGAGGGGGATGAGAATCCTGAAACTGCTACTTTAGAGAGCAAGTTGGTAATGTCTAGTAAGGTTGGAAGATATACATCCCTAAGACCCAAAGAAAATTACACGTGTGCACAAAGAGATATATACCAAGAGGTTTACTATCGCATTGTACTTTATAGAGAAAAATTGACAACAGCCTAAAAATCTATCAATAGGTGAATCTACAAACATAGATAAAAACATTGTGGTATATTCACATAGAGGGAAAATAATGGATTTACATATGACAACATGGCTAAATCCTGAGAACATAATATTTAATAAAAAAAGGCAAATTACTAAATAAAATATGTACATACAAAGACATACACATGAATATAAAAAACACACCAAATAATGCTTTTCATTGTTTATGGATATATAAATATATGGTCAAAGTATGAAACAGGAACAACACACATAACTTCAGGACAGCAGTTACTTCTGGAGATGAAAGAAAGGAGATGAAATAAGAAACTAGCTTCAGCTCTATCAGTACCTTTTTTTTAAAAAAGCATGTGAAGCTATTTAATCATTTTATAACTCAAGCCAAACTTATATTATCTCCCCCACCATAAATCTGCTCTCTCATCTTGTATTCTTTAACTTGGGGTAGAAGGAGGTAAAACAAATTAATCTAGTCAAATTAGAAAATCTTAGATTCAACTATGGCTCTTCTTCTTCTCTTAACCCCATTTCCATAGTCAGAACTTATCAGTCACTATGGTTTTATCAGGACGATTTCCTAAATGTAAAGTACTTAGAACAATATTTGGCTCTCAATAAACGTTGGTTATCATTGCCACCACCATCGCTATCATTAAATCTTTCACATGCATTTGCCCTTTTTGACTTCTGTGCTGCGGCCTCAGTTACAGCACTTTGTGTCCAACTCAACACATCAGGTCCTACCTCTTTTGATCACATATCCCTTTAAGACTCTGAAAAAAAAAAAACCAGTGTTTCTCATATGTGTTTATGCAGTAGATATGCAATTCCTTCTGCCTAGAACATGAACTCTTTCATTCCTTAAGAAATACTTATTCTTCCCTTAAGTGTTAGCTCAAACATTAGTTCTCTATGAAGTCTTTTCAGATCTCCAAGCATAAAGCTCCCTTGACACTCGTGATATTTTCAACCCTCACTGGGAATTACTAATTTAAAGAATTAACTTCCATACTTGCTTACAATGCTTAATCCAACTCCAATTTCCCTGTCCTCATCATAAATATTGTAAAATTCATCTTTCTGGAAATGTTATCTTTGGCATTACACTTCAGAACATTCTGTATATACTAACAGGGTCCAGCAGTTTTATTTTGAAAAATGGCTGAGTCTTAAGGATGTGAACATTCTACTCCAAGTATGCAAGGCAGTTGTCTCTACAAGCTTTAAAAAACAATATATTATTTTCTTATGTTATTAAATAATCTTCAAAAATGTGGTTTTTAAAGGCTATAGCATATTCTATCACAAATGTTTCCTACTGAATTGTCTCCTCCTATTGATTATTCAGGTTTATAATTTTTAATATTATAAATAATGCTGTGATAGAAGAGCAAGTACTTAAATCACTGTTATCTTTCTGATAAATTCTTCAAGATAAGTTCCTAAGATAAAATGTTCTACAGCACTGAGTAAATGTAGAATATTAGAAGGGTCATGTATACAATGCTAAGAAATTCAGATTTTAGCAGTCATTTTATATCATTATTTATGACCTCCTCACCACCAACTCAGTCTACAAAGGACACGGACATTTTTAAGGCTCTGAATTCATAAGCCCAATTTGCTTTCCGGAAAGTTAAAAAAAAATCGCCAGGTGTGGTGGCTCATGCCTGCAATCCCAGCAATTTGGGAAACCAAGGCGGGATGTCAGGAGCTCAAGACCAGCCTAGCCAAGATGGTGAAACCCCATCTGTACTAAAAACTACAAAAAAAGTTAGCCAGGCACAGTGGCAGGTGCCTGTAATCCGAGCTACTCGGGAGGCTGAGGCAGAAGAATCGCTTGAACCCGGGAGGCAGAGGTTGCAGCGAGCCGAGATTGTGCCACCGCACTCCAGCCTGGGTGACAGAGTGAGACTCTGTCTCAAAAAAAAAAAAAAAAAAAAAAAAAGTTAAAGAACTCTTAAAAAGCTAAATCTTACTAGCAATGACTACTTAGTGACAATGGATATAAGTTTTGAAATGTCTTAAGAGCTGTGTAAGTCTATAAAAAGTTACTTACAGATATCCATTAAATTCTTCTGAGGGTTTTCTCCAAACAGTTACATCTTTCTAGAAAAATAAAAACATTATA
Organism: Homo sapiens; assembly: GCF_000001405.40. NCBI lineage: Eukaryota > Metazoa > Chordata > Mammalia > Primates > Hominidae > Homo > Homo sapiens. Next base: position 111,506,402 of record NC_000005.10, read on the forward strand.
TGGTAATAATTGCATAGGTGGAACCCTAGACACAAAACTGATAATTTTATAAGTCTATAGAATTTGTCTTTGCATTAAAATAAAACCAGTACATTTTCAGAATACATAAAAGTCATCTATACCATAAAAGGATTTGTATTTGAATTTCTTCTGTATCCTAAAGTTCTTCACATTGTACTTAAATTACAGACCTCCAAAGAATATTTTCAGTAGTATTTAATGATATCCAAACACTGTAAGATTCAATGATGGCACTATCTTAGTCCAATCTTATCTATTTACCATTACTGATGCATTCAGACTCTAACACTAGGAACACTATTTCATTCTGACATTGTTCATAACTTTTAAAAAATTAAACAATTCACATTTATTACGACAGTGTTAACATGAATTTGTCCCTACATTTTTTCCTCATCATTTCCCAAGTAATTCTGAATATCAGAATAGCTAGAGCACTTAACTAGAAGTGTCCTGGGTTCTAGAATTAGTTCTAGCAACACTCAAGTCACCTATGTAATAGTTTGGGCAAGTCACATTAGTAAAAAGGAATACTAACTAGCTACCTTCATAGGCTTTTTGATATACCTGAAACTATTCCAAACTCTCAAGTACTACACTTTCTTAAATTAATAATGATACATTTTATTTGCTGACTTAAGAGGCCATTCTTTAGGTTCTAGTTGCCATGAGCCTATTCTCTTGTCTAATATCCAAAGAGCTAATGAAAGCAGTATAGGATTACCACTGATGCATTTCTTCCTCTGTGTGACATTAGACTATCAACTTTATTAGCTCAATTATTTTTCTTGCATATCCATCCAAAGTATGGTCTTTGTCCATATTGTTCCATTTAATTTTAAAAGTCATCAACCAATTCATTAGATAGAAGATATACCCCAAATATAAGTAATTGAACTAATTTACCGTTTTCTTAGCAACTCGCCACTTATCTTCTTCAATGCTATGGTACTGGATGAGAGTGTTTTTAAGTTTAGTTGCAAAAGAAGCAACATCAGACAGGCCTTCCATTACTTCTCTCTGTTATGGAGACCAAGATTAGCATCAGCAAATACCACAGTTTGAGGCAATAGGCCAGTGGGTCTCGAATCTGGTTTCACAATATAATAACCTACCAGAGCTATAAAAGATAGCTACCCTCACCCCAAATCAACTAATCATAATCTCTGAGAGTAGGACCCGGGCATAGTTTTTTTCTAATTGCTCCCAAGATGAATAACCCATAGCCAGAGGTGAGAATTACATATTTTTTACAATTAAAATCACTCATACAGAAAGTAGAAGAGAAGACAGGAGGAAGGGGAAGCAATTGTATCTCATATATAGATATGCTGTTAACTCTCAAACATTTACCTCCAGTCCTCTTTGTTTCAATGAGCTCAAAAATCCCAGATCCAGAAGCCTACTTAAAGCTTCAAGCCTAAAGGGAATCTCTTGCCTCCCCTGGCTTCCCTCAATTTGTCACAGTATTCCTCATTTTAACAATTTACTATTAAAATGGCAATTGAGCCCAAGTTCTCAAGTCAAAAGGCTTGGAATTGCCCTTAATAAGAATAGGTTCCTTTTAACACCATCATACCTCATTGTCTACAGTATTCTACACTGGTTTTCTTTCTGTCCCTCAAACAGGCTAGCTTATCGCTGACTTGTGGTCTTTGATACGGCTAGATCCCAAATCTTAGCATCACTAATAACAATGTAATGCCAATTTCAGTTTAAACCTCCTATCCTTCATAAAGCCTTCTTAAGTTACTATTACATCGTTATTTTCTTCATAGTGCTTATCATTATCTGACAATATAATAACTTATTTATAGGTGTATGATTCTACTCTTTGACCACCTCATTCCTAACTAATAGCATAGAGGTCCTTTTCTTATTCACCACTATAACTCCACCACCTAGAACACTGCCTGGCACATAGTAGGCCCTTATTTTGTTGATATGTTATTGTCTCAAAACAAGAATTACTTGGTCTTTGTCTTCTTTTGGTGCCAGGGCACCAATTTCTTAGCATAATTCCTACTTTTCACTATTCTATCTCTATTCCTCCCATCTTCAGTAAAAGGCTAAAGAAGAAAAGAGTTTTAGGGGTAAAGTTGCCCATTACAGAACCATCAAATTGCTGGAAAGGAGGTCAAGAAAACATCTAAATGAAATCTCCTAATCTAAATGAAATCACCCTCTATGGGAATAAGGCTGCAGTTGTCAACTATGGATGCACACATCAGAATCACCTTTTTATGCTTTGTACTAGTTGTCGCTGCTTTTAGGTGTTAGATTTTAGGGCCCAGTGCCAAATAGTCTAATTCAGTGGCTTTGTTCTGGAATGGGCCTCAGAAATGTAGGTCCTTTAAAATAGTCTCACTAATTATTCTGTTGTCTAGCCAGAGATCAGAACTAACTGATCTAAAAATTAAAGTGACAGAAATAAATTAAGGTTGTAGCCAATATTTAAATACCACTAATTAGAGCATATAAGCCATTAAAATTTATAAATACTAAAATTATGTAGAAACATGGGAAAGTATACAAAGAAAATTCAATATAACTTTTAGGATCTATGTAAGTGATGCAAAATATATAATAAGTATAGATCCAATCCACGGATGAAAAGTTGATGAGCTCATTCAAAAAGTCTCTCAGTCAAGAATATACCTAATTTCCATTCAAGAGGCTGTCAACTTGATAGCCAGTTCAATAACTTTATTCAAGAGTATGCCACAAACAAGCAGAAGTTCTTGCAGAAGGCTTGTAAAAGAGATTTAATTTATCTATTACAGGGATCACTATGATTAAACATATTCTTTAAACCCAAAGGTCACCTGCTAGGTTCCTGTGGTTGGCAGATAAGAGTATTTATGCAAAACTTTTTGATAGAAATCAAAGGTGAAACAGAAAGTTATTATTATCATAAGCAAACATTATCACTGGGCAAATCCAGTGCACGGAAAGTTACCTAGAAAGCTAGCTACCTAGAAGAGATGAGAATCTGCAACTTTAAGGTACTTGACTTAGTAATTCATACTGATCAGTATAAAGTTCAAGCTCCTTACTATAGCTTACAGGCCCTTTTATAATGTGGCATATTTTCATTACCTAATTTCCACTTATCTTTCCTGGATTCCCCTGAACCTGGGTTAGTTCCCCCTCCAATATTTTCTGACAGCAACTCTGTACTGTAATTATTCACTTGTTATCTTCTCCCGTTTAACTGTAAAATCTTTGGGGGGTAGGAAATCTGGCTTGTTCAATATTAATTCTCCTTACGTCTAGCACTCAGTAGGAACACAGTGAATAAAAAATGGAAAAATGTATAGACAATAAGCTACCATTCTCACTTATGGAAGACCTCAAGATATCTAAAGTATGCCCATTTACGCCAATCCTAGAGCTTCTGAATAACTAAAACTTCCTTTACCATAATGAAACACCATTTCTCAAGAAGGACTACTATTAAATATTTATCAAGCATCTATTATATACCAGGTCCTAGAACTACAGAAACAGATGGAATTCAGATTTTACTCTCAAATTGACTTATTCCACCCTTAAGCTTTAACAGAAATAACAACAACAAAAACTAAAACATTAAAAAATTCTATTAATAGCCTTTTTAAGAGTGGTGCAGTGGGAGGTAGGAAAGGAAGAGAAAGAAGTACAAAATCAGAAAGCTCTCTCTGATTAAATATGTCCAGCAATGTATTTAACCAAACAGTTAAGTCTTGCATGGATTATTTTCATCAAGATTAAGTCCATAATGAAATAATCATTGCCATCAAAACTGCTACCTCTGTGTAAACAGGCATAATTGAGCATTTCTCAAAATATTAATATATTCTAGAACCAAGAGGGTTGGGGGAGATGGGTTATCAAGGTCTTGGCTCTCTCTCCTAATATAACAGGGTACTGACATTAATTGAGAGGAAAACACCTAATTTGCCCTCCTGCAATCTCCAACTGTGGAGAATGTCAGGTAAATGTTTTAAATGCCATTCTGAACCCATTCTGAACTTCCTTTTACTAATTCAGTCTTTTATTCCCTTATCTTGACCTTATATCAGGAAATTATCCAACTCTAACATTTACACGTCAGAGAGAACAGGCACCACTTAACCTTATCAGAATATAATAGGTTCATATAAAAGATTTTATACTCTTGTCAGTCCCATGGCCAAATGCTGAGTAATGTCCACCTCCATGTTTTTCCTTTAATCTTTTTGTTCATGTTTTCTATGCCCATGCTTTTGAAGCTATCACTAGTGGTGATAGTGGCTGCCATCATAGGGAGGGCAGCTGTCTCAAGTTACTTTTCTTGAGGCCATCTATCAGCACCATAGTCTTGACCAATCCAACTCCAATTATTCTCAAATATCTGTCACAGTGAGATGGCATAGGTTCTATTTTAAATATGGAACATAATAAAACATTTAACCTGTAATGTAAAGTGAATGCCATAAAAATCTGTTTGGACTTTTGTAGTACGACTAGGTCAGAATTCACTTGTTAAAGAAATGCAGGTATCAGAACGGTCTAACCTTGCATTACTTGATTAATATGGTTTTCACTTCCGTCAACAGCTTCAGTTTAACATGCCATGGACTTTCCCCAATGTCATACAAACCAAAGCTTTGTAAATTAAATTATATTTTCTAACTAACATAAAAATTTCAGCATATGCTTGATTTCCAATCAATGTTGAACTGTTAAGTTTTCTAACTCAGACAAGTACAGCAGCTTCTCATTTTTTGAGACTGGCTCTGGCAGGAGCTCACTATTTAAAGAAATGCAACATGGAAGTATATTTCTACAATATGAATAGTGAGCCAACTTACTGTTCAAACCCCTAATGCTCTAATACTTGATTAAAAAAAAAACCTAATGCTCTGTACTTGATTTTAAAAAATAACAATAACATTTATTGATCACTTACTACATGGTCAGTCCTTCTGGCTGCTTTACATTGCATTTATTTTATTTAATCCTCACAACAGTAATAGTCCTCCTTGAGAAAATGTGTTTCATTATGGTAAAGGAATTTTAGTTATTCAGAAGCTCTAGGATTGGTGTAAATGGGCATACTTTAGATATCTTGAGGTCTTCCATAAGTGAGAATAGTAGCTTAATGTCTATACATTTTCCCTGTTTTACAGAAAGGGAAAATAGCAACAGGAAGGTTGAGTCACTTGTCCAAGATCACACAGTTCATAAGTGATGGAGCCAGAATTCCAACCCAGGGCGTCTGACTTCAGAGCCTAAAGCTCTCTCTTGTAAAACTGTGGAAGCTGATCACAGGCTGGAAAAGACTTCATATAAAAAACCTGGGCCCACCAAATATTTGTCAAGTTTTGTCCTGGCTGCTGAACCTAAAAATCTAAGGTAATCTTTCTCAAGTGTAAATTCGGGAAAACAATGACACTGATTTGGTGAGAAATTATTTGAGTTAATACATTTAGCAGGGACCTTGGAAGGCAGTAAGCCCTGGGAAAACTTTGTCTCTTGTCTTTGGCATCACCTCCGCGAAGCCTGGTGGGACGCGGCTGCCCCTGCGCTGTCTGTGCACCTCCTAAGAACCAGGAAGCGCGGTGACCTCCAAAGAACAGGACTGTCCCAAATCAAGCGGGATTACCACCGCCCCTCTCCCATTTAACAGCTGAGGACACTGAGGTCTAATGGATTCCAAGTACTTAAATAGGTGAGCGGCGCGCAGGGGCGAGTTGCAAGCCCTGGGATCCTTCCAGCTCGCCGCTTCCCCTCCCAGGGGCTCAGGTTTCTCTTTCATCTGTGAGGTCCTCTCCCGCCCGGACGCCGGGGCCCGCCATCCCCAACGTCCACCGCGAGCTCCCCAGATCCATGGTCTGGAGCAGGTCCAGAAGACGCACCTGGCAGGACGCCCCGGGCGCCACAGTCGCCCTCCACACGGGCCACCCCAATCCTGCCGCGGCTCCGTGGCTCTCCTTACCTTTACCTGAGGTGAAGCAAGGACGTGGAAGCAGCTACGGCGCGCTACCAAGCACCTCACACCGCTCTCAACAGTACTGCTCAGCCTCCCGGCCCGCCGATGCGCAGGCGACAGCAGCCAACTTGTAAGTCACCGCTGGTCGCAGCCAACTGGAAGGCACCCAGCGCCTCAGGGCAAGGCGGGCCGAGCCCCCAGCCCCGCCCCCTGGCCCGATCCCGGGGGCTCCGGGGAGGGGGGGCTGAGAGGAGGTGGCCGGAACAACGTGCGCTTGTTCGGATTGGCTGGCGCGGGAGCGTGTGGAGGGCTGATTGGTGGCCGATAAATGGAATGATTCCGCGTGGGTGTGGGCTGGCCCGAGCCGCGCCAGGGTTCCCTGGATGTCTGGGGTTGCCTGCAGGTTTGGATTGGTTGGGTTGGGTTGTCCTGTGATCACTTAATTGTGAAAGAATTTTGTCAAGCAGTAAACCGACTGGGAGAAATTGAAACAGAAGGCGAAGTGAAGGATCACAGTGAGGGATAAGGTCCAAATTCATCCCGCTTGTGGATATCCTAGTATCTCGCAACTACGCTACTCCTCCCAGGACTAAAAGTCAAATAAGAAAAAGCGCCCATGCAGAGGAGGACGAGCTCTCTGCCTCCTGCTTAGCCTGACTCAGAACTGAGAGAGCTGGGAAGGAAAATGCATATAAACGAAAGTCCCTGCCACTATGTGAATTGACCTTTAGCCAAATACGTTTGTGTGTGTGTGGGTGTGGGTGTGTGTGGGTGCGTGTGTGTGTTTCCATCCTCAGATAAAGAGTTTAGAGGGCAACCTTAGAAGCAGAGAAAAGGAGGAGGTGTGACAAGTGGATTTAGCAACTGCACAGTTTTGGAGTTTCCATCTACTCGAACATGAGAAAGATTTCTTCCAGTGGCTGTGAAGTCACCCATCTGATGGGATGCTTGGCAAACAGTGAATTTCTTCCTTTACCAGAGTAGCCATGATGCACTGATTAGCGAGGCTTGGTTTGTCTGCAAATTGCGTTTACTAAGATACGTAGTTTGAGAACCAAAAGCAGGGAAGAATGCAGTGCTACACCATTAGTGATTTCTGATAGACTTGCAATGAAAATAAATAATATTTCGTAAATTTTTAAGTCGGCCTCACCAAAAGAATTACCAAATACTACTTGCTAGTTATTATTGGCCGATTTATTTTTTACCTCCATCGTTTATATGTAAAATAATTTGTTTTATATTTATATTTATAATTTCGTGTGACATAATAGAAGAGTTCTTCGTGTGTTGTAAAGCTCCTTTCACTTAGGAATTATTGGCCAATTATTGAGGTGCTTTGGATGGATGGATGAATACGTAGATAAATAATTTGAAATGGTTGGGGAAAAGTGCTTTGTAATTAAGTTGTACCTACTTAATTCAATTACATTGAATCCTCTTAACAGCCCCCTAAGGTAGGTGTGTTTTACAGGCGAGGAGCCCCAGACATAAATCTTAAGGCAGGTTGCTTAATTACTGAGTGGAGAAACTGGAATTTGGCTGAGGTCTGCTGGACTCTGAAACTGGGCTCTTAGTCTCCATAAAATTCAGATGGTGCTTGGTAGCTCTTTGTCAAGGCACCTGTGAAGACCACTGGGACCATAAATGAAAGGCCTAATTCCTACTGTGAGGGTTTACACAGGTTTAATGGTGGAGAGGAATAAATCCACGTATCTATTTCAAAAAAGTAAAAAAGTTGTATCTGTCATTATTAGGATTCAGTTCTGGATACTTTGCTCAACAGTCTATATATTCTCTTGCAGGATGGTGTAAAACATGTTTAAAACAAAATTAACTTGGCTTTTTTTTTTTGGACGGCGGGAGTCATTACATCACACTTATGCCCCCATGGGATTTCTTATCTTCCAGCCAGTTTCTGGGAGGTTTTTGTTTCTTTTGCTTTTGTTCTTCATCTGTTGCCATTTTTCTTGGTTAGAATGAAGTTTGGGTAATTGGAAGCCACTCTATCAAAGTGGAATGCTACTAACAGCAAAGCTTCAGATTCAGAAATACATATACAAATACATCATCTGGAGCTATTTTTGAGGGTTTAGTATGGTCCAAACACAGTGCTAAGCATTTTACATTTTACAGCAATGCCTGAAAATAGGCATGTACTATTACTATTTTCATTATACACATGAGAGAACTGTAGTATGTAACACAACAGATAGATCTCCCCTACAAATAGTTTGAAAATGGGAAAATAAGGTCTCCATCTAGAATTCAAATATAAAAGAGGCATATAATGAATTTGATCAGCTAAATGGAAACTTAACCTAAAGAGACAAAACAACTGCCCTGCCAAGTCCTGACTATAATCTGACTGAATATAGTAACACATCTAAAGAAAGAATTTTCAAGAAGAAAAACATTAAAAATTCCAAAACACAGAAATAATATATCCACAATTTCTAACCTGGGCAATAAATCTAGAAGTAAGCAAAGCAAAAACACGCTCACAAATATCCCCAACTACTTGAAAATTTCTAAAAATCTGTCCCCAAACACATTGGTTTAAGAGAAAAATCAAACATTACATGCTGAAGAATATTAATAAAAATATTTTAAAATATTAATATTAATAATAAAAATCAAAACACTATATATCAAAGCCAGAGAACAGAACAAATTTCAATTCAGGAAAATTCATAGCCTTAATTTAATTCAACAAATATTTATTAGTTGTTTGCTACCTGTACCAAGGACTGTGGGTATAGTGTATCTTAACAGAGAGCTATTTATTTGCTAATAGAAGAAACTCAACCTGAATTAAGCTAAAAAAAATGTGTTAAAAGGATATAGAAATGTCTTATAAAAATTTGATACTGAAAGTCGGGGCCACAGACCAGCAGCATTGGTATCACCTGGGCGCTTAACAGAATTGCAGAATCTCAGGCCCCAACCTACTGAATCAGAATCTACATTTTTAAACGACATCTGGATGGTTTTATGCACATTAAATATTGAGGCCAGGCGTGGTGACTTACGCCTGTAATCCCAGAATTTTGGGAGGCCAAGGCAGGTAGATCACTTGAAGTGCCCAGACCAGTCTGGGCAACATGGTGAAACCCCCTCTCTAATAAAAATACAAAACTTAGCCAGGCGTGGTTGGTGTATGCCTGCAGTCCCAGCTACTTGGGTGACAGAGAGAGACCCTGTCTCAAAAAAAAACAAAAAAAAACAAAAAAAAAACTTGAGAAGCACTATTATAGAGCACAAAGCCTTGACTTACAGCTAAGCCTCAAAATGATTGAAGCCAGAACTTAGCCACCAAGAACTAAGACTGTACAAATTCATTGAACTGTACATTTAAATTGTGTGCACTTCATTGTAAATTGTACCTCAATTAAAAAGAAAAAGAATCAACCAAGAAGTTAGAGAAAAACATCAGAAAGAATGAATTAAGAAATATACAAACAAAAAATTGGGAAAAATGGAAAGCAAAGAAACAGTAGAATTAATTTTAAAACTACATCACATGTGGGCTGATAGATGCAGCAAAGCACCATGGCGCATGTTTACCTATGCAACAAACCTGAACATCCTGCACATGTATCCTGGAACTCTAAATTTAAAAAAATACATCACATGATTTTTTTCCCCTGTTGGGGATTGGTTTGACTATAATAAAATAGGTAAATAAACAGTCTAATAGAGAAGAGGAAATGGCAGAGGAAAAAAAAGTCAAGTAATTATGACTAAGAAAGGGGAAGAAATCATAATTAAAGAGTAAATTAAAATAGTAAGTCTTTGTGAACTAACAAATTAAATCCAGGTGAAATGGATACTACTTCCAAGGAAACACAAATCACCAAAATTGATACAAGAAGAATTTTGAGTTAAGAAGTCTAATAAACTTGTAAAAATAAAAACTATGAGAATATTAGGGAAAAACTATGACTAAGAAAAGGACCAGAGGATTTCACATGATAATTTTCAACTCCCAAAGAAACTAGTCGTTCTGTTTCTATTAAAACTGCTTTTAGACCATAAGTTTTAAAAATCTATTTTTTTCATAAATTGAGTATTTTGCATTACTCTGATATCCGAATAAGACACTTGAAAATCTTAGTAATGTATCTTGCTGTGAGGTGGTAACTGGTGTCAGACTTGTTCTCCTACCTCCTCAACTAAATTTATGAAAAAAATGGTTTCAGACATTGAGAAACTGGCAACACAAGGTTTTGATCCTTGGAAAAGGGAAACAATTGAAGTGAACACCTATATATCTGAACCAGGAAGGGCTTGAAGTATGTTAACCACTGAAGCTTTGCAAAATGATCAAAAGGAAAAAAAAAATGAGTCTGTCACTGTCCCTAATAAAAAGAAGGATGGCATCAGCTGTAGAGGAAATATGTCTCCAGACTTCAGAGGCCAAAGACTAAATAGATGATTTATAGCTGGACACAGGGTTAGAATGAAAAGTGAAGAATCTTTATTTTTTGAAATAGTACTTAACTTTAATGTTAGACTAGTGAATATGCTTTTGAGAAGCCAAATAGAACAGAGATACATGACACATCAGTAAGAGTTTTGCTTGAGGACAAAAGACACACCTAAGCAAAGCTAATACATTTCAGTGACTGGATTTTGGTACTGGAAAGGAAATTTGGATTCAGCCAGAATCCATATCCTGCCTTCTTCTCCTTGGGTACCAAAGGCTTCCGGAAACCAGAGACCCAGAGGTGATATCCCACCCATCAACAAGCAAAGAGGGGCAATTTACTGTCCAAACTCAAAAATAGTATCTTGAAGAAAATTATAGAAGGGACTAAAAATTCTTATTAGCCGTATGTGATATTATGACTTAATATATATATTGATTTTCATCCACAGTTCCTGCCTCGTAATTCCCTTAGCCTTTGTTACAGTCTTTTGTTATAATGTTGGGGTGCTTTAGGCCTCAGGAACAGGCCCCAGGAAACAATCTCTCTCTCTCTCTGATCTCCTGGCCTCCTTTTACCTGTTCAAGGTGAGACTACAAACTGATTGTGGGTACAAAGAACCTCATTCTAGAGAGGGTCCTTCTTCAGGTTCAAGAAGAATCTGAAGAGACAGGTCTTGCTAGTTTTCCCCACTCAGTGTGACATCATACCCTTTTTGTCCAGTCACATTTCTACATGGTTGTCAATCATGCCTATGTAATAAAGGCTCCATAAAAACCCAAAAAGACAGGGTTTAGAGAGCTTCCAAAATAGCTAAACACATGGAGGTTCCTGGAGGGTGGTGCACCCAGGGATGGCATGGGACCTTTGCACCCCTTCCTTCATACCTCTCCCTATGCATCTCTTCACCTGTATCCTTTCTAATATTCTTCATACTAAACAGGTAAACGTAAGTGTTTATCTGAATTCTGTGAGCTACTCTAGTAAATTAATCAACCCTAAAGACGGGGTTGTAGGAAACCCAACTTGAAGCCAGTAGGTCAGAAGTTCCTGAGGCTGGGACTTGAAACTGGTGTCCAGGGGGAAACAGGGGGAAGCAGAGGACAGTTTTGGTGACTGAGCCCTCACCCTGTGGGATCTGAAGTTATTTCCAGGTAGATAGTGTCCAAATTGAATTAAAGGACACCAGCTGGTGTCTACTGCTTGGTGTGTGGGAAAAGTCCCCACATGTGGTCACAGAAGTCTTCTGTGCTAATTGCTGTGGTGTGAGAGCAGAGAAAAACGGATTTTCCCAAATAGCATAACGTTAGGGCCAACATGAAATTGACCTGGTTGGGATTTCCCCTAGCAAATTGAGAAAGGAATTTGGGCCTGAGAACTTGAAAAGATGTCATCCCAATTTATATTTGCCCTTAGGTTCTGTAAAAGTGCCCAGTTTTTCTCCTTGATCCAATTCCACTACAGCCATTGTGGTCCCTTCTCTTGTTTTTTGTTTTGTTTTGTTTTTGCTGCTGTTGTTTTTTGTTTCTGTTTGTTTTTTGTTTTTTGTTTTTGAGATGGAGTTTTACTCTGCCACTCAGGCTGGAGGGCAGTGGCCTGATCTCGGCTCACTGCAGCCTCCGCCTCCTGGGTTCAAGCAATTCTCCTGCCTCAGGCTCCTGAGTAGCTGGGACTACAGGCACCTGGAACCACGCCTGGCTAATTTTTTGTGTTTTTAATAGAGGCATGGTTTCACCACATCGACCAGGCTGGTCTCGAACTCCTGACCTCAGGTGATCTGCTTGCCTCAGCCTCCCAAAGTGCTGGGATTACAGGTGTGAGCCACCGCGCCCGGCCCTCTTGTTCTTAAGCAGCTTTATTACATTTCCAGCAGGCAGGCCAGAGAGTGAGGATGCTGCTGGTGTGCTGGGGAGGAAGTGCAGGAATCTGTAGAGGACAGTTGTTTTCAGAAGTCCAAGATCCTATCCCCTTTATTCTGTTAGTTGTACTTCAGTTTGCTTTCAGGAACCACTACTTTTCCAACTACAATTCTCAGTGATTTAGATACACTGACTGCTCTCCTACTCCAGGGCTAAGCTCAAGACCCAGGTTTGGCAAATGAGTACATCACAGCTGCTCTAGCAAGGGAATAAATTCGCCAATGACCAGATGACCCAGTTGGTTAAGTGAGTTTCGCTCCCTGGACTATTTCTGGCAGGGAACTGTCAGCCTGCCCTGTTCAACATTTTCTTCCTTAGTTTTATCTAGGAATGTCCTGGGATCAGCTGAAAAGAGGGAGGAGGTGGGGTTTGGGGAGGAGACATCCTAGCAGCAGTTAATACAGGAAGGAGAACCTGAAATTTTTCATCTGTGGGTATGAGAAGACAAGGTTTCCACATTCCTCGGCAGCTCCTGCACCTGCCTGGAGCAACTTTTTGGGTATAGCCATTTATACATAGGCTAGGCAACCATTAAGAATCAGTGGATCAGCCAGGTGTGATGGCTCATGCTTGTAATCCCAGCACTTTGGGAGGCCAAGGCGGGCAGGTTGCCTGAGGTCAGTAGTTCAAGACCAGTCTGGCCAACATAGTTAAACCCTGTCTCTACTAAAAATATAAAAAAATTAGCTGGGCATGGTGGCATGCACCTGTAATCCCAGCTACTTGGGAGGCTGAAGCAGGGGAATTGCTTGAACCAGGGAGGTGGAGGTTGCAGTGAGCCACGAAGACGCCACTGTACTCCAGCCTGGGTGACAGAGCAAGATTCAGTCTCAAAAAAAAAAAAAAAAAATCAGTGGATCAAATACTAAAATATCCATGGAACTTATGTTTTCACTCACATTTTTGTGTACTCTTTTGTGCTATCTGTTCTGTTGTTTAACACATATGCTCAATTGTTTAAAAAAAGAAGCATACTTTTAAGAAAACTTAGGGCAACTAAATAGTAAAACACACTATACCGATGTATAGAAAATATTCATGTTATGAGATCATAATTAAAACAAATAAACCGAAACAAAAACAAGCAAACAATTCAAAATTTACTTCATATATATATTTATATATATGAATAAATATATATATTTAATTCATATATATCAAAGTATTTCAATGAAAGCCAATTAACAATATTATAATCCTCATAAATTATATAAACAACTGACGCCAAATCCTCCATTACAGATAACATGTATCACGTGCTTGATATATAGTCCAGGCATTGCTCTAAGTAGGCACTATCATGATCCCTATCTTGCATCTTAGGAAATTAAAGCTTAGAAAGCTTAAGTACTTACCTTAAGTTCATACAGCAAATGAGTGGCAGAAGTCAGGTGTGATTCCTGTACTCTTATTCACTATTCTATTCTCCCTCTCAGTACAGAATCTGTCAGGACAGGGCAGCAATAGGATAAACTAGACTAGGGCTACCTGGGACTTCCAATTGGATGTGAGAGGCCATGTGAGTTCACAGGTTCTCATGGTATTGAAAAGAATGTCAGAAGCCAATGGATGAATCCAGCCCACAGTTGAGGCTGACAGAAAAACACTGGGCTGCTTCATGTGTATCTGAGACAGTTAGTAGCAACTTGATGTCTCCATTATGAAGATGGGGTTATCTAAGTTTCCAAAATTTCATGTTGTGTTTCAGTTCCCAAATGGTCCAAAGAACATTGATATGTGATTTTAAAGTGAAACCGAGCAGAAGAAAGTTGTTTCAAATACCAGAGCTAAACTAAGTACAGTGTTTGAAAGAATGGACTCCATAGCAGGGAAGAAAAAGACCCAACTGGAGTCCACTTTTTAAGAGATCAGCAAGGTACCTCTGATGAGGTTTTTTAAAATTTATTTCATGCAAGCACACCACAGTCTATGTGCCAAATTAGCACCCCCAACCTTTGTTGTAAAGAGTGTTTTGGGGATGTAAGTACACTTATCCACACACGCACTCTCTATGACAGCTTTTATGCTACAATGTCATGGCTGAGAAACTGCAACAGACACTGTATGACCTGCAAAGCTGAAAATACTGCTACCTGACCCTTTCTAGAAAAACGTTGCTTACCTCTGCTCTAAAATATATTTTACAAATCTAGATTTAGGATTTAAATTTAAACAGATAAAACCAGGCTTGGTATACATCTGAGAGCTCTTATCTGTTTGGATCAAGGGTATTAGAAAGCATGGGATGGTGAAACCACTTGAGAAAGAACAAGGTATAAGAGAATTCAATTGGGCCAGCATTTTTATTTTATAAAGTCAGTTGCTCCAGAGAATGAACTTTGTTAAACATAAGGTTACATTTGCAAATATTCTAGCTCAGAGGACGTTGTGTTCCACCAAAATGAGCAAAAGGTCAAAGTGATTGAGTTCTTTGTATCTGATCTTGTATTTCCGATTGTGACATAGATTTCTTTTACATACCTGATCTTATATTTCTGATTTTTTTCTCCTAAGGAGGACACGTGTCTTATACTTCCATAAGTCTGTCAATTGTTAAGGGCCCACTCTGTGCCAAAACAAACTTCAAATATTTACATTCACAATCTGACCACTTGTTCTTCAATATCTCCTTTCCCCTTTGTCTCATGGAAATAGAACCCTTGATTCTGGACATTACTGTCCAGAATGACAGACATTGTCCAGATACTCTTACAGATACAGCTCTGGATTGACTTAGATTCTGCTCATCAGATGCGCACATGAGGGATGTGCAAGGTAGAAGTCATGCTTCTATTTCTTCCGCAGTTCCACTCTGGGTCTCTCTGTCCCCATCCCCTGTCCTGACTCAAAATTGAGTTGTGATCATGGCAGTTTTCCAGTATCTATAAGAACACCTGCATTGGTGGCCCAACTCTGTTGTATTGTTCTCAAAGCATTCTTGGAGTGTTTCTTTAGCCCTCCAGCCAACTCTCTAAGCCATAACAAAACCTGTACTAAATCCTTTTCTGATTAAACTAGCTAGACTGGATTCTGTTCTCTACAAATGAACACTGAACAACACAAAACTGAGAATTTAGAAGTAGGGTGCTGCCCTAAAATATATTAATGCACATTTCATTGTCTTAGCAGTCCAGGCAGTAGATGGTAAGAACAAGCATAGCAGTCTGGAAAACTAGAGACCATAGTTATTCAGTGGCAGGGTATTGAACAAATTCCTGCCTAAGCTAACTTGGAAAGGCGATTACATGCTTATCAAGTCTGTAGCTATAGGCTAGATCACTGGAAAAATTCAATTGATGTCAATTGGTTGCTTCTGCTACTTTCAGCAACGTTTTGCAAGAGAGAGTTGAACTATATCTAGATCTAGCCAGGCTTCAAGGACAATAAAGGGAATATAGATCTCTGCTAAGGAAAGGACAGAGAATTTAAACCTGAGGCAGGGAATTTCAACCTGTGGTCAAGAATCTAAAAGATTTATGAGTCTGATAATTTGGTGCCTCTACACAGTGTTGAAAAAGTCAATTGTCTGCACTTCCACACTGAAGCAATAATGAGGGTGCTCTGAAGGAGCACTGTGACTCCAACAATTTACAAGCATATCTCCAAAGCATTTTGGGTACACAATGAATATAGGTCAAATAAAGCATGTTGCCCTACCATTGAAGTTCCTGATTTTAGGGCATTATGAATACAAGCCTATATTAGCTTGCTAGGGTTGCCATAGCAAAATACGAAAAACTGGGTGCTTTAAACAGGAGAAATTTATTATCTCAAAGTTATAGAGGTTAGAAGTCTAAGATCAAGGTGTCTGCAAGGCTAGCTCCTTCTGATGGCTATAAGAGAGTCTGTTTCATGCCTCCCCCAAGCTTCTGGTGGTTTGCTGGCAACCTTTGGCATTCCTTAACTTGTCGGTCACATTACCCCGACATCTGCTTTCATCTTCACATGACATTCTCCCTGTGTGCCATTCCTGTATCCAAGTTTCCTTTGTGTGTGTGTGTGTGTGTGTGACGGAATCTCGCTCTGTCGCCAGACTGGCGTGCAGTGGTGCAATCTCGGCTCAGTGCAACCTCCACCTCCCGGGTTCAAGTGATTCTCCTGCCTCAGCCTCCCAAGTAGCTGGGATTACAGGCACCCGCTACCCTGCCCAACTAATTTTGTATTTTTAGTAGAGACAGGGTTTCACCACGTTGGCTAGGATGGTCCCAATCTCCTGACCTCATGATCTTCCCACCTTGGCCTCCCAAAGTGTTGGGATTACAGGCATGAGCCACTGCAGCATGCCCCAAGTTTCCCTTTTTTATAAGGACACTGCCAGTCATATGGATTAGGGCTCACCTGAATGACTTCATTTTAACTTTATTTCCTCTGTAAAGACCCTGTCTCAGCCAGGCATGGTGGCCCTCATCGGTAATCCCGGTGCTTTGGGAGGCTGAGGTGAGAGGATTGCTTGAGGCCTGGACCTCATGGTGAGGACTTTTTGTCACTCAGAGATTCTTTCTTTTGGGCTCAATTCAGTCTTTGAATGGGACTTTGGGGTCGTGTCTCTTGGACGGGGTATGAATTTTTCTCTGGAGAAAAAAGGCATTCAACGGTATTGGAGATAGGAAAGGGCTATCTATGGCAGAGACTGCTAGATATCTTTTAATAACTGTTCTCGCCCTTTTGTCTAATCTGTACCCATAGAATTCCTGAATTTTATCCGGACACAAGGCCACTCCAAATAAAGACTGTATTTCTGAGCCTCCCATGCAGCTACAGTTCTTGTTGTGACTTAGTTTCTACCAATCAGATGCTCTTTTGAAATATTTGAAGGTGAGGCATAGACTGAGGCAGTGTGGAGATCTCTGTTTTGTGGTGGCTTCTTGATCAAGGAGGCTTTCCTGATCATGGTAGAGGCAAAGTAGGTCTAGAACTGGCAACCATAGCAGCAGCTTCCAAAATAGGCAGGCGGCTTCCTGAACATATAACAGGCAGTATGTCCATGGTGGCCCAGTTTTATGGTATGACTGTCACATTTATTTTAGAGAGCTGTATCTATAGCCTATTTCATCAGTCTTCCCTGAAATTCTATAGGACATTTAAGACCCTCTAGAAAATTGCCTTTCTACTTAAACTAGCAGAAAGACTGTTTTCTGCAATGTGACATATCTAATACAGGTTGAAATTATTATTCTCATTTTGTGGAGGAGGGAATAAGGCTTAGCGATGGTAGTAAGCTGGTAAAGCAGCTCTCTGGGAAAAAAAGTGCCCTTATTTGTAGCACTTGCCCCCACCTCTGGTGCATACTCCCACCAACACCACTTTCAAACCCGCAAAGGTCATACAACTTTTAGGCAAGTCTCTTGAATACTTAGCAATTGGTTCTCACGAGCTGGCTTCAGCTTCAATGCAGTACTGTTTAGAGAGTTTAAATAACTTTCCCACGGTCACTAAACCAGTAAATGTTTAATAAAAAGATCGAAAATAGAATGCTATTTATTCTGTCAGAAATAAAAAAGCTATACTTTATCAAGAGAGGTTTTCTTTTTTTTTTCTTTTTGCTGAAAACATAATGCTAAGCAGAAATTTGCAACATATAGTATAAATGCCTTCAATGTCTTCACTTCAGGGAATTAGCTAATGAGTACCAAGGCAGAAGTGGAGAAGTTTTTAGTATCTTAAAATCTTTAGGTAGGATTTGGAGGGGTAGTCATTGCCAATATTATTACACACACATGGCATAAAAGGGATTTAAACAGCTTAAGATGATAAAAGTTGCAGATGGGACTTAAGGAGTGAGAAAGAATCCATCAATTAATAAATTTAAAATCAATGCTTCTTGACTTCTGCTATGGTTTGAGTTTTTCCAAAATACAGGTGTTACCAATTGATGCTATTAAAAGGTGAGGGCTTAGAGATGTAATTAGGTCATAAGGGCTCCTCCCCTCATGTGTGGTATTGGGTGCCCATATAAAAAGGATTTGACAAAGGACTTTTATTTTTTTCTGCTCTTGTGTCCCTTCTACCATGTGAGGGCACAGCATTCAACTCCCCCAGAGGATGCAGCATCAAAGTGCCAACTTGCAAGCAGTGAGAAGCTCTTAAAAGACAGCTGAACCTGCAGCTCCTTGATCTTGGACTTTCTGTCCTCCAGAACTGTGAGAAAATAAGTTTTTGTTTTTTATATATTACTCAGTCTCAGATATTCTTTCATAGCAGCACAAACAGTCTTAGACAGCTTCTATGGAACTGAGTTTGTGCCTGAGGTAGTTATGTAGCCGGTCTCCTAGAAAAAATCCTGAAGACCCCAAGGAAAATGGAAACTGGACCTATTATCACTAATCCAAATAAACTTCTTATTTATTTATAAATAATCCTCTTATTTAGATTAGTGATAGTATTGGGTTTTTGACATTGTATGAGCAATCAAGAAACTGACAGTGTGCCTCCTATTTTTCTTTGGGTTTGTGAGGAAATTTGGTGCTAAGTCTAGTGAGTTGGACATGGCCATTCGATGGAGGCTCCCAAGAACAATGAAGTCAGGCATCTATTCTTTCTCTCACTGTGACTGTGATGACCTGGCCGAGGCAAACACTTTCAGGTAGGTGCTCAGAAGAGACTTTAAAATGAGACGGCAGATTTTACTTTTAGAAATATGAACAAAGAACTGAATAAGATGCTAAAATAAGAGATAAATTATGCAAATGCCTATAATAATGAACATTTCATAGGTCTTGACATTGAAAAATTGTAAGGTGAGAGTTGTAGGTAAGAGAACTCCAAAGAGAAATGAATGGGTAATGAAAGATAGGACCTGGAAGGCCTAGATGTAGGTCTGCTCCACTCATTGAACACACCCAACAAGCTCCTAACATGCTCCAGGCACTATGCGGCGCTGCAGGAGACAAGGTATGGGCTGTGTCCTCTCAGGGAGTTATTCGCAAGAAGACATGATGAATTCTCTTTCTCTAGGTCAAATGACCAAATATGTTTTGATTTTAAACATTGTAAGAGAATAATACGGAAAAGTGTAATAAGATTAGAGATCTCAAAGTTCCTGTCTTAGTTTGGTGCAAAAGTAATTGAATTTTAAATCATTATAACGAGGCTTAAACACATCTTTATTAATCAGAATAGGAACCATTACAATCCACACATTTTTGCCAATGAGAAATACATTTTTTCATTACTGTAGTATAGAAATCCGTGCTTCAGGATTCAATGAACTCTTGAAAAGCATTTTCTGCATCCTGCTGGTTGTGGAAGCATTTTCCCTGCAAAAAGTTGTTGAGATGCTTGAGGAAGTAGTAGTTGGTTGGCAGAGGTCAGATGAATGTGGCGGTTGAGGCAAAACTTCATGGCCCAATTCATTCAACTTCTGATGCACTGGTTGTGTGATGTGCAGTCAGGCGTTGTGGAAAAGAATTGGGCCCTTTTTGTTGACCAGTGCTAGCTGCAGGCATTGCAGTTTTCAGTGCATCTCATTGATTTGCTGAGCATACTTCTCAGATGTAACAGTTGCAGTGAGATTCAGAAAGCTGTAGTGGATCAGACCAGCAACAGACCACCAAACAGTGGCCATGACCTTTTTTTGGTGCAAGCTTGGCTTTGGGAAGTGCTTTGGAACTTCTTCTCAGGCCAGCCACTGAGCTGGTCATTGCCAGTTGTCATATAAAATCCACTTTTCGTTGCATATCACAATCTGATCGAGAAATAGTTTGTTGTTGTTGCATAGAACAATGGAAGATGACACTTCAAAAAGATGATTTTTGTATTTTCAGTCAGCTCATGAGGCACCCACTTATTGACCTTTTTCACCTTTCCAATTTGCTTCAAATGCTGAACACTATAGAATGATTGACACTGAGTTCTTGGGCAACTTCTCTTGTACTTGTAAGAGGATCAGCTTCAATGACTACTCTCAAATGGTCGTTGTCACTTTCCAATGGCCAGCCACTACGCTCCTCATCTTCAAGGCTCTCATCTCCTTGGCAAAACTTCTTGAACCACCATTGCACTGTACATTCATTAGCAGTTCTCAGACCAAATGCATTGTTGATGTTGTGAGTTGTCTTTATGACCCATTTCGAACTCAAATAAGAATATTGCTTGAATTTGCTTTTTGTCTAACATCATTTCCATAGTCTAAAATAAACATAAAATAAACAGCAAGTAATAAGTCACTAGCAAAAAACATAAAGCGAGAAATGTCCATTAAAATGATATATAATATAATCACATTTATTTAAGAATGCATTGCAATATCAAACAGCAAATTCCAACAATGCAAAAACCACAATGATGTTTGCACCAACCTAATAATTCAAAAGGACAAAACATTTTGAGACTAAGAGAATTCCTTGAAAAGTAATGTGAATTATATAAATCTTGCTCTTCCTTATATATAATTGCTTTAGAAAATATTTTCCTTGGCTTCCTTTTATCATCTGTGATGAAACCTCTTTTGAGTAATTAGAAAACATTACTGCTTGACAAATAAGCACAAATGCTGAGAAAATAGGTATTTTAAAGATAAATGTGAAGATTCAATTTTATCTAGAAATGCTACTACTTTAAAGATAGAAATTGATTTTAATTCTCCCAAAATCAGTGGCTAAGTGTGATAGATTCTTCCATTTTACTATTTCTTCCATCCATTCTGACATCTCCATTCATCTGCTGCTACCACAGCCTCATTTTTAAGCATTATATTACAATCCTAATGGTATGGAACAGATTTTGCTACTTCCAGTCCTTCTCAGCCCAAATCCGTCTTCTATAGTAGTTCCTGACTAATTTTCCTAAATCATTGTTTCCGTGAGGCCAATCCTCTCCCACAGACTAATGATCTACAGTGTAGTTTATTAAAAGCATTATGGAAACTTGCCTCAAGTTAGAAAGAGCTTAGATGTCCAACAATAGAGTATTGTTAATATAATTTGGGGTATCAATAAAGTAAAATTATATACAGTCGTTAAGAATATGTTATAGAAAAAATATTGATCTGAAGAAAATATTTGCAAATTATTGAATATAAACATGAAACAAGGCATGTAACAGTATATATAAATTCTAGAGAAGGAACTATATACTCTTTGATTCAAAACTTTTGTTTCTGAGACTTTTAAGAAAATAAAAAAGAAAGGGTAAAAAGAACCCAAGTTCATCTTCATCTAAGAATTGTTTTTAGTAGCATAAAAATTAGAAACTGCAAGTCCAAAAATACGTGATTAAATTTCCATTTCCAATCAAGAAGCCTGACAAAAGACATTCAAAGTATATTATCTGACCACAATAGAATTAAATTAGAAATCAGTAAAGTAATCTGGACAAAACTCAAATATTTAGAAAGAAAATTACACACTGCTAAATAACCCATGAGTCAAAAAAGAAATAAACAAAAAATTAAGATTTTTAAAAACTGAATGAAAATAAAAAAGACATATGAAAATCTATTGTTTACGACTAAGGCAGTAATCATAAGGAAATTTTTGCTCTAAATATCTAAATTAAAAAAGAAGAAGTCTCAAGTCAATGACATCAGCTTCCACCTTAAGAAAAAAGAATTTCAAGTTCCTTAAAAGATACAAACTATTCTACTAAGCTCATTCATGAAGAAATAGATAACCTGAAGAGCACTATATCAATGAATGAAATTAAATTTAGAGCTTTAAAACTTTCCACGAAAATTCCATTTTCAGATGTCTTCACTGGTGAATTCTATGAAACATTTAAGGACGAAATAATAGCCTTGCAACCCAAACTCTTCCAGAAAATTGAAGTCTTCCCAACTCATTCCACGAGGCCAGCATTATTACATTAAAGCCAGAAAAAGATATTATAAGAAAACTACAGAACGTTATTCCTCACGAACGGAGAGACAACAATTCTTACCAAATTATAACAAATAAAATAATAAACAATTTATTAAAAGGATAATACATCATGACCAAGTCGGGTTTATCTCAGGGATGCAAGGTTAATTTAACATTTGAAAAACAATCAATGTAATTCACCATGTTGACAGACTGGGGAAAAAAAAAAAAGAGATGACGAAAAAGCATTTGACAAATGCCCAAAATCTAATCCCAATAAAAACAGTCAGCAAAATAGGAATAAAAGGAACAACCCCAACCTGATCAAGGGCATCTACGAAACTGTACTGTTAGCGTCTTATTAATGATGAAAGATGAAATGTTTTCCCCTAATATGAGGAAACAGGCAAGGATGTCTACTCTCTCCCTTCTATTCAACATTGTCCTGGAGGCTTTAGCCAGTCCAGCCAGTCAAGAAAAAGAAATAAGAGATATCCAGATTGGACATAAGAAAATAAAATTTTCTTTATCCACAGATGAAACGATCATCTACCTAGAAAACCCTATGGAATTTATATATATGTATTACATCTAATAAGTGAGTTTAACAAAGTTGGGAGATGCAAGATCAATATAAAAAATCAAGTCTGTTTCTATATACTAGGTACATACATACATACATAATTAAAATTAACATAATACCATTTATACTGGCATAAAAACATGCCATTAAATATGCATATTAGGGATAAATATGAAAAAAATGAACATGGCCTGTATATTGCAAACTAGCAAACATAATGAGAGAAATTAAAGTCTAAGTAAATAGAGATAAATGGCATGTGTTTGGATAAACATGACTAAAATATCAATTCTCCCTATTTGATCTACAGATATAATGAAATCCCAATTAAAATCTCAGCAGGCTCATCTGTAGATGTTGACAGCTAACTCTAAAATTCATGTGGAAATGCAAAGGGCATAGAATAGCCAAAACAACTTTTAAAAAGAAGAACTAAGTTATCTAACTTTTACTTCCTGTCTTCACATCTTGGTATAAAGTTACATTGATCAAAATTATGATATTCAATCAAGATAGACAAATAGGTCAATGAAATAGCCCAGCAATAGACCTATACTTACATAATTAACTGATTTTCAACAAAGACATAAAGGCAATTTAAAAATATGAGATCGTATAAATTATTTTGTATAGGATGCAGGTATTAAATTTTGCTATAAAAATGCACATGTCAACATATCGAGATTTTCCTGATATATTAAGAGAAGAGTATAGGGTCTTAAACAGTAGGTAAATTATTATTCTATTTTTTAACGGGATCTATATTTTTTCAAAAGGATGCATATATACACATACACATATACAATAAAAATAATAGTAAGAGCCTAGAATTTTTATAATTTTAGTTTTGCTTTTAGTGTTTTTGCTTCTATTTTGTTATTTATTTATAATAGACATGTACTATAATAAATGACAAAACCGAAACATTAAAATACTCTATAATTATTATATAAAATACAGTAAATATTGTTTTGGGGGAAAATTTATGTGTGTGGTATGAAGACTGAAAGATATATTCCAAATATTAACAAAGAGAGAGTTACAGATAGTCTTTTAGCTTTGTGTCTTCCTTGGTTTCCAAATATTTCACAGTGGGCACACTTGCTTTGAAAAATTATAAAGGCTATAAATATCATTTTTAAACTCTCAATAGTTCCATATAACCGTTGAGCTAAAGATCTAACTTCTTCATCTGACATGAAGATCGTACATGAACAACATGGCCCAATCTGACCTTCCTGCCTTTCCTCTGTCCCCACGCGAGTGCCCCCATTCTCCGCCTCATCACATCCTTCTGCTGACTCACCCACACTTCCTCTCCTCACTCCATTGCATTGCTGCCTCCACCCATCCTGCCGTCCGCTCGTACTTGGGCTGTGCTTCCCCCTCTGTGTCTGCCCACGTCACACCAACCTTTGAAGTCAAGTTCCTGCTGTCTGAAATTCTTCTGAGAAATGCCTTTATCAAGTTCCATCTCTAAATTCCTAGGGTTCTTCTGTCTCTCCCACGTGTTTGAAACCTAACCATATATGAGTTAAAGTATAAGCAAGTTTGAGATTGCAGGAGAGCCTATTTGATTCCACTGCCGTAATTGTACTTGATGTACATATTTACCCTATGCTAAAGAGGCTTAAGATTCTAGAACTGGATTGTTGGATCTTAAATCTTGGCTTTATAGAAAAGAACAAGATCATGTCTTTGCGGGAACATGGGTGGAGCTGGAGACCATTATCTTTAGCAAACTAATGCAGGAACAGAAAACCAAATACCACACGTTCTTACTTATAAGCTAAATGATACAAACCCATGGATACAAAAAGAAAGGAACAACAGACACTGGGGCCTACTTGAGGGTGAAGGTTGGGAGGAGGGAGAGGAACAGAAAAAATAACTATTGGATACCGGGCATAGTACCTGGCTGATGAAATAATCTGTACAACAAACCCCTGTGACCCGAGTTTACCTATGTAACAGACTTGCACATGTACCCCCGAACCTAAAATAAAAGTTAATCAAACAGGAAAAAAAAATCTTTTTCTTTTTTTTTTTTTTTTGAAAAGGAGTCTTGCTCTGTCGCCCAGGCTGGAGTGCAGTGGCGCGATCTTGGCTCACTGAAAGCTCCGCCTCCCGGGTTCACGCCATTCTCCTGCCTCAGCCTCCCGAGTAGCTGGGACTACAGGCGCCCACCACCACGCCCGGCTAATTTTTTATATTTTTAGTAGAGACGGGGTTTCACCGTGGTCTCGATCTCCTGACCTCGTGATCCGCCTGCCTCGGCCTCCTAAAGTACTGGGATTACAGGCGTGAGCCACCATGCCCGGCCGAAAAAGAATATCTTGATCTTACTAGTTAATAGCTGTTGGTCTTGGGACAAAGTGTTTCACTTCTGTCTTAGATTTCTCTTTTAAGAATTGAGCATAAGAGAATTTATATCATAGAGTTGTTGCAGAGATTAAATAAATACTACCAAAAAGCATTCAGAATATTACCTGGTACATACTAGGCACTCAAATGATGTTAGCTATGCTAATATACCTATTGTTATCATTATCATCATACCTTAAGAACCAAGACTCAGTCATGTGTACATTTGGAGAACCCAGAAGTTTAGAGGCTCTTTAGGAAGCATTCTGAAATTTGGCTTCCTCATGTTTCATCCCCTTAGTTAATCTAAGCTTCCATACGTTATCTCTCTTAAAGAAGTATTTAGATGGCAAATAAAGTATTTAAATAGCAAAATTAATTTAGAGCTAATGTTTTGAGTGAAAATTGAATTTCCAATTGCAAAGCCCAATTTCGGCCACTAGGTGGCTATAAAACACTAGCGCGCTCTCTCTCTCTCTCTCCCTCTCTCTCTCTCTCTCTCTCTCTCTCTCTCTCTCTCTCTCTCTCTCTTTCTATATATATATATATATATATATATATTTTTTTTTTTTTTTTTTTTTTTTTTTTTATGGAGATGGAGTCTTACTCTGTTGCCCAGGCTGGAGTGCAACGGTGCGAGGCTCACTGCAACCTCCGCCTCCCGGGTCCAAGCAGTTCTCCTGTCTCAGCCTTCCGAGTAGCTGGGATTACAGGCACGTGCCACCACACCTGGCAAATTTTTGTATTTTTGGTAGAAACAGGGTTTCACCATATTGGCCAGGCTGGTCTTGAACTCCTGACCTCAGGTGATCTGCCCACCTCGGCCATCTAAAGTGTTGGGATTACAGGCGTAAGCCATTGCGCCCGGCCAACACTAGCTATAATTTTTTAATCACCAAGAAATTTTTGTATTTTAAACAAACGTTCAGTATTGCTTAAGTCATATTTTCTCCTTCAGCAAATAGAAAGACAGGAGAGAAAGCGAACTAGGAGTCACAACTCTTCCTCTTAGAGCCCAAGGGGCTTGTCAGAAGAGGTAGGCAGTGTTTCTGAGGACCTCCATAGCCTGCCTGCACACCCAGACAACAAGAAACCTGGCAAAGGTAGTGTTGTGTAAGAGGTACTGCTTACCTGACATGTGCACTCTGGATACGGCGAATATTGGTCTTTCCACCCCAATGCTACCTAACAATAGATAACTCCAGCCTCCCTCTGGCTAACTGTTCTGTTGGTGGTGGACAGTGAATGCTATAGACTAACACAATTGGGACACAGGCTGAAGCAGGAAGATGAAGGCAGAAGAAAGGCTGGTTGCTGGGGAGGTTGTCAGAGACTCATCCAGCAGCCTGTGCAAGTTTAAGAGAAGGCCTAAGTGCCTATGGGGTCAGTGCTCTAATTTACGAATACAAAATATTTTTAGTCTCTGTATCTGCAGGTCCTAAACGTTTGGGTTTGAATTATAGGGTTGGTGACTGTATTTAAAGTTTTCTGATATATTCTCCTGGAGATGGCTGTCACCAGTCATTTCGTGCTCAGGAATAACTCTGTTTGCATGTGCAGGAAGAATGTCTCTGTAGCTCTTGCTGCTGCCTCTGCCTGGCACAGCTGTAGAGATGGAGAGAGAATCACATTCCATCTCCCTTTTGTTAGAGGAGAGAAGAGAAAGTAACTTCCAGATAGAGACCAAGTCTCCAACTGGTCTAAACGTGGACTCTATTCTTCTTCCTATAATACTACAAAGTGTTCTCTATAAATGAAACTTCTCAGAGGCTTTTTAAAAAATGTGGTAAACTATATAAAACATAAAATTCACCGTTTTAACTATTTTTAAGTGTACAACTTAGTGGTATTTAGTACAAAGTTGTGCAACCATCACCACTATCCATTTTCAGGACTTTTTCATCATCCCAAATAGAAACTCTGTGTGCTAGTTATTAAACAATAGTTCCCCATTCCTCCTTTCCTGAGGGAGGGTTATTTTTAAGCTGTTTTGGTGCCCATAAAGTCGGTGGCTATGTTCACACCTCTTTTTAAGCACTTTAACATTTCATTTATTTAAAGAATATTTACTAGGCAACTCTACTGAATGAAATATTAGGAATAGATTATCCAATAAATACCAATTCTTTTCGCAAAGGAGCTTGCAATGAATTGAGAAAGAGACATAAATAAATGATGTCAGTGCAGTGTGGTGAATGCTATGATAGAGAAAGGCAAAAAGAAAACTGGCAAGAGATCTAGCTTTTGTAGAACACAAACTGTCAGACTGCACCAAGTACTCACCCACTTTGTTTCTCTTCACAACAGTCCTGTGAAGTGGCTACCATTATCACATTTTACAGGTAAAAAATCTGAAACCTCAAATGATCATGCAAGTTGCCCATGGATACTCAGGGTATAGTTTAGAGAGGTCAAGCACTAAACAAATAAGGAGTTATGGGTTCTTAGCCAGGCATGGTGGCACATGCCTGAGGTGGGAGGATCTTTTGAGCACAGGACCTGGAAGCTACAGGGAGCTATGATCGTGCCACTGTACTCTAACCTGGGTGACAGAGCAAGATCTTGTCTCAGGAAAAAAGTTATGGATTCTAATCCATCTAATCCAGACTGTATAATTGACAAACTTCGTGCATTTAGGTTTTTTCCTACAGTTCTGTGGGCCTAATTTCCCTCTATAGAATGGCAGAGCTATACTACTACAAGACGCCTTAGGATTTTTTTCTTCAAGAAGATGGGAAGGAGTGAGTGGACATTGAAGAGTTCTCATCACAGATCTAAAGAAGAAACAAACTGAAGAAAATTCTGCACCTTTAGACTCAGTGTCAGGAGTACCCCAGAACAGAGATCCCATTATGCTGAGTGGAGTGGGGCTTTGGGATCACAGATATGAGACCTCTAAATAAATCTCAGGCATTAAGAACTGCTTTGGAGACAGGCTGGACTTGGTCTGATAAGTTAATATCTTCCACAAAATTTATGTTTTCTGCCTAAATTTTTCGTTATTCTTATTCCCTATTAAGACAGTTAACCAGCTCTACTTTCTAACCCCAGGGAAGGACTGTAGCAGGGTGATTTGTACTCAGAGCTACTTGCCTCACAGACTGTATGCAGGGAACAGAGGGAAATGCAGTACAACAAGAGTGAGAATGTAGATCTTAAATAAGAGTCTTCCAGACTGGGAGGGAGAGAGTAGAAGGCAATGGATGGGATTCTCAGAAGCAGGATCTGAATCCTGGTACTGCCAATGAAGTAGAGGTGAAAAATCTTCAGATACAAATGCACACAAGGCTGCTGTAGGCAGGCAGGATGGTAGCCTCACAGATGTAGCAAATATGTCTAGATCTAGATCTCCACAAATACATAGTAAAATATGATGTTTCCAGGTCTTCACCAATGCTGTGCTTTCTGCTTGGAAAGGTCCCCTCTGTTTGTCTATTTGTTGACTCTCTATTGTCAAAGCAAAATTGTACCACACAAAGTGAAACAGGCAAGGAAGACTTTCTTCAAGGCTACTGCAATAGGGAGTGAGACCAGAACGAAGTCTGAACTCAGGAGGTATTTTAAGAGCTGAGGTGAGCTAGTAGAAAAATACTGGAGGATGTTTGAAGGAGATTTATCAATGGGATATGTCTAGCAAATTGAGTTATTTAAGTTTGCAAATGGTTTTCTTGGTGATTAGTTCACCCGAGCTTACTAATTGTCTCCATGGAAGTTAGGCTCTTATTCTCCCACAGAGACTGGAAGATAGGGCACAGTTTCCTTGATGATTACATTTCAGTGGAATGGCTCCAAGGTCCTTGAGAAGGACAGTTCTGAGTTGTACAATTGGCAAGGGGCTTTTTAAAAGATTTATATCTCAAAGGGGGCAGATAAATAACTTACAAATATTCTAAAGTCAATGTTCTAAGAAGGAGAGGTCAAGGGCCTAGAATCAGAAAGAAACATGTCTAAAGTTTAGTCAAGCTGAAGGGAATATTAAAGCCATCTTGTAAATTCCATCTTTAGTCATAGAAAATGTGGCCCACTTTCTGATTCTCTTTCCTTCTCCTATACCCAATATTGTATTCCAACATCTACAGAAACTCTGATTCTTGTTCATACATTCAACTCCAATGTATGGAACTAAACTGCAAGTATCAATTTATATATTTAAGACATTTAAGGAAGAGACAATGTCTTTTTTCATCACTTAGTTCAATGATGATTGCATGGTTGAAAATGCAGAATAAATATTTGTTAAAATAAACTAAATCTTAGTAACTTATACAGGCTATTTTGACTACTCTCACTATTCGACCTTTCCGTGAAACTGGCCAATTTTATCACTTTTCCCCCATCCATCTATCACATATAACTTGTTTTCCTGTTTGTTTGCTTTGTTTTGTTAATTTGAATAGTTTACAAACGTCCTTAATTTAAGTGACCAGAATTCTAATGTTATGTACTACTACTTAGTTTAAGCTCAGTTCAAAGACTGGGTGATTTTTGGCCAAATTCTCACCATTGTGACAGTAAGTTTTCTACTTTCTCTTTTAGTAACACCCATGGATGGTAAGAACAAAGAAGAACCTTCATGAGTGCTTTGATGGTAGCTCCTGGAAAAGTAGTTTGAGTAATAAAGTAGCTCCCAATTGCTCATCAGCTGAAAAACCAACTGCCCTTTATATAGTTCTACCATTATTTCTATACAGGCAGAGCCTTTGTTTTCACATGGTGAAGGAAAACCTTGAAGACATGGTTTGCATTGATTTCAAATTCCTCTTAAAATGACTCTAACAGGAGGAAATATTCTTTTGGTCTGAGTTATTCTGAATTGTATCTGTTTTGATTACATCTACCAGACAATTTTAGTTAGCTCTTAGCAGTAATCTTATTTAGCCATCCAGATGGCTGAAAATACCATGCCAACATCCTTTTCCTATTGTATTGTTGACTAGACACAGCCTATTACCTTGAATTTCAGTTGGCTCACAAGCACACCCAAAACATGGAGTATAGTGTAGTTGATATTTTATATCTGCCAAGTGCTTTATTCTATTCCTGAGATTAATTTTAGCAATTGTGGACCGACAGTTATCCTTGTTGGTCACTAGACTAGTGTTTTGTACACAGCACCAATGGTTTATTATATGAATCTCTTCACATAAAAGAGTTAATATGTGTCTTCAAACTCTTATTGGCCAATTCTCAGAAAGTCAGTTATGTCCAGACCACCAGATGACAAGAAAATAGCATCATATACATGTCTAATGATAAAGTGCATTTAAATTCATTTTGTTCTTGCTAGAACATAAGAACAATTTCTAAGTACAAAGAGGGTAGGTTTTTCAAGATAAAACATTTTTCTTATGACCCACTGTTTTGCAAATACCTCTCCCCCAAGTCCCTTTATTTTTTCATTGCCTTGTTTTTCTCAATTACAGAGTATTTTTAATATGGTTATCTGATTTATTCACATGGGGATTGATATGTCTGCTAGGTTGAAAATAAGTTGTATGATAAAAATACATAAGATGGACTCTCAAGGGAAGAATATATAAGACGTTTCTTTAGCACTTTTAAGTCTGAGTCTGTGATTGGAGTCTTGTTTGTGAGAGGTTTGTTATTTATATTAGTTTTTAAAATGTTTCCTCCTAAATATCTTCTGTATAAGAAAAAGAAATAAGAGTACACATTTAGATGCTTTAAAAAACCCTGCTCTTTTGTAGCTGACATCTTATTAATTAGGTGTGACATTAGGCTCTGATGCTGGGGAAACATTGCCATTAGTATACTTTACTAAGGCTAGTTCATGGTGTTTTATATCTTTGGATGTCCTTCAAGTTTAAGATTTTTGTTTATATCCATAGAGGTTTGGAATGATGTCATCGAAGAATTGTATTTCTAGTTCCCTCATGAGAAAGGTCATGTCTCTTCAAGGCCATGGAAACATGATTGAATTTGCTTTAAATAAATTACATTCTGTTAAGATAGCTCAAACTGCTACAGTTAACCACTTCTCAATCTGTATATCTGCTGTAAAGGAAAACAAAAAAAGAATAGTCTAACAAAGATAATCATCTTGCTCCAGTTTTTCTCAAGGAGAAATTTCATGGTATGCATGCACATGGAAATCATTAAATAAAAGAGACAAAATGTAATATATTTAGTATCAGTCATAAAAGAACTGTTTTATAATAAAAAGTCTTCCCTGAAAACAAAGCCCTTACCCACAGATGAGAGAGCTAGGCTGTCTAAGAGATGTCAATTTTCTTTAAGCCTGATTCTAGACAGATACATGAGCAAATTACTCCTCTTCTTAGCTGTGCTAGCTTGGAAAGTTATTTCAGGTCAGTTGACTTTCATGTTCATCAGTGTCCTCATCTGTAAGAAGGGAATAAAACCACCTGTCTCTTAAGGCTGATGTGACAATTAAATAAGACATTCTATAAAGCACTTAAGAAAAACAGTTGGTGCATATTACATTCTCAGTAAATACTAGCCATTATTCATTTTGTGAATAATCAGGGGAGGAAAGGTCAGAGAAAATAGGTGAAATATCTACTGGAGAAATATGAGAATCAGATCAAGAAAGTTTCATGGTTCTCTTAGCTCTCGAGTTGACTGTGGGTAACAACATTTCTTCTTTCTTCTCCACACATTTTCCTTGTCTTTCCTTTTCAAGAAACCCACAGGGGTGTTCCACCCTCCAAATTACATTCTTATTTTCTTATTAACAACAGGTTTCTAGGACCCAGCCTACTTTCCTCTCCTCTTGGAAACTGCCACTAACATACTGTCTCTGAATGTCCTGTTTCTTCCAATCTGCTAGAATGGGGTATGTCTTCTCCACCTCCTTCTTTCATTTCTGCCCTGAAAGTATGAGATACCTGCAATGGTCTAAATGCATAAGGAAAGATAGTGTGCATGGAAAAATAAAAGTAGGCTAATATGGCTCGCACTAGAGAACAGGGGCAAAGGAAGAAGCTAGAGGAGGGAGAAGGGTCAGATCATGAATGCATCGAGGCTCTGCTGAGAAGTTGGATTTTATCCCAAGGTCAAGGGTGAGCCAATGAAGTATAATTTAAGTCAAGAGGGACCTGGTCACACTTTTCACTTTATAATGAGGACTCAGGCTGTAACATGGAGAATGGATTGGGAGGTCAGTTCATTTAAGTGAAAGGATAAGAGTCTCTATAAAAGTTGTGGTGGATGGGAATGGCGTAAAAGATACCCAGGGGTAATCTGGGAAGGAAATAGAGACAGGTAGAACAGTGGATCCTGGGAGGCACCAACACTAAGGGGCAAGACAGTGGCAAATCAAGATGGGGAGCTGGAAACCAGGAGAGCAGTGTTTTCCAGGCAAGAGATGAGATGGTTTCAGGAAAGAAGGGGTGGTCATCCATGTTGAAAATAACGGTTCTCATTTTGTTGAGAAACTTAAATACCTGAGGGAAATTATCAAAGATCATAAAGTGGGATCTTGTAGAAACTCATCTGTTTTAACGTTTGATTCAATTTGATACACATTTATTGAAGCACTCCTCTTTCTAAATGTGTGTTAGAGACACAAGGAAGAAATATAATCTAGATATAGTTTCAGTACTCAAAAAGCTTATAGTCTAAAAGCAGACGCTGAAATCAGATATTTTTAAAAAGATAATTAGCAAAATAATTTATTTGAGAAAAAGATATTTTGCTATGTGAAAAATGTAAACAAAGATAGGAAAGGTTAATTAGCAATATTAAAAACAGAACAATTGTTTTAGTCAGTCATGTAGATACATTCATGATATATTACTATATGAAATTATAGCACAGTTTAATTTGTAATCTCATTCCATAGTAGCAGATCTTGTAAAAATGTAAATGCTCTCTAATTGTGTTTATTAAAAAGTTGTATGTCATTATTGTAACTTCTAAAGGGACTTTGAGCAAATTCTTTAATGCCAACCATCTGTTTCTACAGGGCCTATTTCTACAGTATTTACATTCATCATATTCCTACATTTTACAATGAAGAGTATGCAAATAGCAATTAAAGAACCTCATTAACTCAATTACCATTTTGAAGAAATTGCTAAGAACATTTATCAATTATTAATAAACTGGGAAAAGAATGTGGCATCCAGAATCAGAAAACTGGGTTTTCAGTCTCAACTCAATCACTTACTATTTGGATAACTTTGGAAAAGTCACTTGACTATTCTGAGCCTAAATGTGCTTATCTATAAAATGGTAATAATAGCAGGATTGTTGTGGGGCTATAAAAAGGCATGAAAAGTACCATATCAAATAAGTATGTGGAGTTGCTTTAGAAATTATAAATTTCTATACATACATTTATCATATTATTATTTCATTAAGAGAAAGGTTAATTTGGAAAAAAATTACAAATATGAACTCCTACTTGAGGCTTATAGCAGCCTGTTGTCATTAGTTTCAATGGCATATAGGTCCTTTGCCAAGTTGTAGACAAAGTCATCAAATAAAAAATCCCTTTCAGTAGTAAATAGAATAGAAGAAGTCAGTTAGGGTGTTTTGCTGATCTTACTGACCAGATGTTACTGCTTGGCACTTAACATTCATAATAGATAAATAAAATTAATTTATATGTAAATAAATCAGTTATAGAACTGAGATCTGGGAATCTTTTAAAATCATTTTATATATAGGAATACATGGATATATATAGTATATGTATAAATATATATCCTAGCTTGAAGTGATAGAAGATGTATTCGTATAGCACAATTACATCAGTGGTCACCAATATTTTTATCAATGCTTTTCATTGAAGAAAGGAAGAAATTGAAGAAAGAACGACGTGGATAAGAGATTAATGCTTTGCATATGAATAAAAATGCAACATCACTGATGGTAAGAAAAATGCAATTTGAAACCACAATGAGATATCATCTCATACCAGTCAGAATGGCTATTATTAAAAAGGCAAAAAATAAACAAAAACAGAAGCTGGTGAGGTTGTAGAGAAAAGGGAACGCTTACACACTGTTGTTGGGAGTGTAAATTAGTTCAACCATTGTGGAAAGCAGTGTGGTGATTCCTCAAAGAGCCAAAAACAGAACTTCCATTTGATCCAGCAATCCCATTACTGGGTATATGTCCAAAGGAATGTAAATCACTCTATCATAAAGACACATGCACATGTATCTTCATTGAAGCACTATTCACAACACCAAAGACATGGAATCAATCTAAATGCCCATCAATGGTAGACTGGATTTAAAAAATGAGGCACGTATACACCATGGAGCGGTATGCAGCCATAAAAAGAACGAGGTCACGTCCTTTGCAGGGACATGGATGGAGCTAGAGATCATTATCCGTAGCAAACGAACACAGAAACAGAAAACCAAATACCGCATGTTCTCACTTTTAAGTAGAAGCTAAATGATGAGAACACATGGGCACAAAGAGGAGAATAGCAGATACTAGGACCTACCTGAGGGTGTAGAGTGGGAGGAGAGAGAAGAGCAGAAAAAAATAACTATTGGGTACCAGGCTTGGTACCTGGGTGATGAGATAATCTGTACCAAAAAACCCTGTTACACGAGTTGACCTGTATATGAAACCTGCACTTGTACCCCTGAACCTAAAATAAAAGATGTTTAAAAAAGGAAAAAAGGAGATTAATGCTTTGAACAATCTTTAATATGAAGCAACATATTTACCACAGAACAATCGAATTATGCTGTAAGTTGAATGAGTTGTAAGTAATCTTAAATGTTGTATATTTATGCCCTCTACTAGATTCCTTATCAATAATTTTTCTGACTCTGCTTGCATACAGAATTGGAGAGTAAATATTCTACAAGATCATTCATTCTTTTAAAAAATAATTTTCCTCTTCCATTTTTGAGTGAAATTAATTTGAGAAAATTCTTCTTTTTATTGAGCTGAAGTATCAACTTCATCCTTAATTAAATGCTTAAGTATTTGTAGGCATGGTCCATGTTTTTATGGGTGAAAAACACGATGCAATCATTCATTGAACAGTTATTGCTAGTTACCACTTGACATTCACTCAAGTAGACTCTACACACAAGTCAGACTACAGTCAGGTTTGAGATATGTACAACTCAATTGCAATTGTTTTCCTCCAACACCAAACCCCAACTTTGTAGGAAAACATCTTTTCCTACAACAAAGCTAACTACTTCTCCTGAAATACTTCTCTGAATTGATTTTGCAATTGAGAAATTATCACATTTTCCTGTTACTTCTGCAAATCAAATATTGAGGTAATGTAGGCATAACCACAAGGTAGCAAGCAAACAAAATAATTCCTATCCCTCCTCTTAGAGATTTTCTCTGGCTCCATTTATATGTGGTAAAGAGCAAAATGGACAAAACTGTTATGATTCTACTTCTCTTTTAAGCAGATCAGTGAAGGCAATGAGTAATGGGTTTGGCACAGTTCTGCAAAAGTATATCGTGTACCAGCCAAAAAAAGTCTCTCTCTGCCTGTCTGTCTCTTTCTCTTGTTTTCCTGTTTAAGGTTCTTAATATCATGCCATTGCTCTGGAATCGAAATCATTTTCAGACCTTTCTAAAACTTAAAGGAAATAAAAAGCTAAATCACATTAGAAGGGCAGAGGGAAAATACTCCTTGAAGTCCTAAGAACAAACTTTGAAGTCATTGATAGACACAGAACACTGTTAGGCTCTTTTATGTTGCTACATACAGTACCTGTTGATTATGTCATCTCAGGCTCTTGACTTGGCAGCCATTACATATATCAACTAGATTTGTGAACTCCAGAAAAATGCCCATCCACTCTGCTTTGGATCCTACCGCAATGTTCTCCATGGCAGAGTATAAGAAGAACTGCTGTTATGCATTGATAATTTTGCAAAGCATATAAATCAAAGCATGATTGAATGAATGAATGCAGTGCCATCCTTATTAAGCTTTCCTTGAATGACTTCTCCCATTTTTTCCTATTTCTTTAGTGGACTGTACATATGCATGTGGTTTTTACCCACTGTAAGTAATCTTAAACACTTATTAAAGAGAAGTAGTGGTAAATGTAAGACTCCTGCCTACCAAAACATATAGATCCTCATTGCTGTGGGTCTTACAGTGCAGTCTTGGTGAGCTTTCATTCATTTATTCACTCTGCATCTTGTGTGATGCATCTCCTCAGCACCATGTCTTGTATCAGATGCCAGGAACACAGAGATTAACAAAACATGGTCTCACCCATGAAAGACATTAACATTATTGGTGTTATTGAATGAGAGGAGCTAGATAGCCAGGAGACATCCCAAACCCTCCAGGAAATACATTAATGGAGCAGGACCCAAAACCCAAGAGGAAATTCTGGCCATTATTGAGCCTTAAGACAGCCCTATGAAAGATCTCGGTGGTACCATTTAATGGACTCCAGGAAGGCCGTTCCACTCTGAAATGTTTCTCACGTAAATGTAAAAATACATATGTATACATATTATATAGAATGATATACACATCACATCTATACAAGTCACACAGAATTTCTCATTCAGTGATTTTTTTTTCTTTTAGATTTTGGATTGCTTTCTCTTAAAATGCAAATATCCTTGAGAGGTATGCCATATGAACTCCTTTATTTTTGACCGTGGAAGACTTTACCAAACAGAACTTTTTACTCCAAAAGGACATAATGAAAATTCCAGGATTGTTCTGGTGTCACAAAATGGCCAGGAAGGGCCTATAAAATGGAACATCTTCCTTCTGAACAGCTACTCACTTGGATGGTTCCTTTCTCGGTTTTCAACATAAATTCATAAGCCACCACTTTTCCACATCCCAACTAAACTCTAACTTTTAGAAATAGGAAAAGATTGTGAAGAGATAGCCTGATGAGCAGGAACACAGAGGACATACATAGATAGGGCCATTAAATGAAGTTATTCACTGTGTTTCTACGTATTCCAAACAAAGAAGTTCTGCCCTTTGAACGCAGACAAGTCATCAGCTTAAGAACAGTTGGATTGTTTGTAACTAAGAAGTTGGGCACAAGAGACATTTCACTATAGACCACTCATATGGTATTGGGGTTTGTAGGCCATCCCCTCCAGGCCTCATAAGCCAACAATGAACCTGAAGTTAGACAAACCTGAACTAACCTAAGCTCACCATAACTAACATTAGTTCTAAGGAAATACTCCTAGAATTTTAGTTCAGAATTTCAAACAGTTTTCCCACCCCTTTCCTCAACAACCACATAGTCTAAATAGTGAGAATTCTTTCCTTCTGCTTTATTTTATTCTCCCTTTCCCCTAATTTGACATCTTGAAACCTCAACCCAAATTCTTGAAACTAGCTGTAGGAATTTTATGTCCAATGAGTTCCCTCCCTTGTTCCCTCCTTCCTTCCTGCCTTCCTCCCTCCCTAAATTTGAAAAACATATAATGTATTTTCAATATTTCAAGGTATATCAAAGATTATTAAGACATGTTTAGATTGTTAGTGTCTTAGAATTTTTGACACAAATCCAAGCTAGATATGTATTTTTCTTATTAAAATTACAATTTTGACAATATATGTGATCCATTATTGCAGTATCCAAGAAGCTGGTAATGTATTTACAAATTTATTTCTGGGTTGATTTATTTAGAATTGTAATTGTCTTATTTATTAACATATCTATGCTGCTTTATTACCCTGAGGTTTTCAATGACTATGAGACTATAAAAAAAAAACTAGAGAAAAAAGGCCAGGCGCGGTGGCTCACACCTGTAATCCCAGCACTCTGGGAGGCCGAGGCAGACGGATCACGAGGTCAGGAGATCGAGACCATCCTGGCTAACACGGTGAAACCCCATCTCTAGTAAAAATACAAAAAATTAGCCGGGCGTGGTGGAGGGCGCCTGTAGTCCCAGCTACTCGGGAGGCTGAGGCAGGAGAATGGCATGAACCTGGGAGGCAGAGCTTTCAGTGAGCCGAGACTGCTCCACTGCACTCCAGCCTGGGGAATAGAGCGAGACTCCATCTCCAAAAAAAAAAAAAAAAAAAAAAAAAAAACTAGATTAAATAAATGGAATAATGAATAATACAACCAACATTTAAGAAATACATGATAGTTGAATTAAAACTTTCCAGCATATCTTTTATGATTGGTTGTCATCCTAAACAGAAAAATATATCAAACCTTCTCTTCAGCCTTGAATAGAACATTTAACAACCATGAAATAGTGTTATCAATGGATAAAAAATAAATTTGCCTTAAGAATATCTATATTTAAAGACATATATTTCATATAACTAATAGATAATTCAATGATGTAAAAGATCGAATTGCTTCTTTAGTCCTCATTTTGGGGAATGATTATACAATTCTATGGGGTTTTCAGGTCTTACACCTTTGTTATCATTTGTTAGTCTTTTCTCTATCTATGGAAGCTTTCACGGGCCAACCAAGGAGCGGCTTTCTGAACTTCTTTTTCTTTTGACACAGCACTGGGATCAGAAACCCTGCAGAGTTAACTGTGTTTGCTCATTAGTCAAGAGAATGCATAGTTTCAGGCTGATTAAAACAAGATTTTCTGCAGAATGGGGCTAATTTTCCAAGTGCCATGATGTAAATTCCCCTCTGCTTCCCTGTCCCCACCATATCCTCTCTAGACTGGATTCATGAGAAGCAAATAATTCTGTAACTTTCCACACCACATCTTTCAGCTGAAGAGACTCAAGCATTTTCTGGAAACAACACGGAAGCAGGAAGGTGTAACTCTTCCTACTCATTCATCTCAGGCTTGCCCATGACCCTGGGCAAGTCCCATCACATCTTGGTTTCCACATAGGTTGAGCTAAGTAGCTAATGAAGCTCCATAGGACTCTCATCCTTTCACTGCTGTTTGCTTCATTTATGCAACTTAAAAAAAGATCTTTATTTTTAAAATTGAATTTAATTTGTTTTAATGATCATACAGTAAAGTCACTTTTTTTCTTTTGAAGTAGAATTCTATGAGATTTAACATACATATAGATTCATGTAACCACCACCACCATTGGGATACCGAACTTTTCCGTCTTCCAAGAAACTCCCTCAAGCTATCCCTTCAGAGTAACATCCCCTACTTATAGCCCCTGGCAACCACGGATCTGGTTTCTATTCTTGTAGTCTTGTCTTTTGAAAATGTCAAATAAATGAAACATATGTAACCCTTTGAGACTGGCTTTTCTGACCCAGCAGAATGCTTTTAAAAGTTATCTAAGTTGTTTAGTATAGTGTGTTCCTTTTTACTACTTAGTAGTATTCCATTGTGTGAACGAACCATAGTTCGTTTATCCATTTGCTCATTGAAGGACACTGAGTAATTTCAGGTTTTTGGCGGCCACAGATAATGCTACTATGAACACATGTGTACAGGCTTACACGTGTGTGTGTAATATTAGTTCTCCCCATTGTAGGATAAATGCCCCGGAGTGGGGTTGCTATCAGTGGCAAGGGTGTGTTTAGCTTTATAGAAAACTATGAAACTGTTTTCCAGTGGCTTTACCAGTTTTCCTTTCTACCAGGAATGTGTGAGAGTTCTAATTCCTTACCAGCATTGGTATTGTTGGCATTTTTAATTTTAGCAATTTCAAAAGGTGTGTAGTAATGTTTAATTGTATTTGAATTTATCTAATGGCCAATGATGTTGAACATCTTTTCATGTATTTATTTGCCATCCTTAAAACCTCTTTGGTAAAATGCCTGTTCAAGTCCTTTGCCCCTTTTTTAATTGGATTGTATGTTTTCTTATCAATGAGTCTTGATAGTTCTTCATATATTTTGGGCACGTAGCCTTTGTCAGATAGATGATTTGCGAATATATTCTTCAAGTCTGTAGCTTATTTCTTCATTCTCTTGGCAGCATATTAAGCAGAGAAAAGATTTTTGATGTAATGAGGTCCAATTTGTCAATTTTTTGTCTTTACAGATGCACCTTGGTGTCAGTCCTAAGAACTCTTCACCTAACCTTATGTTATAATATTTTTCTCTAAGAAAATAATTTTAAAGAAAGAAAATGCTGTATACATAAGGACATTTCTTGCAATACTATTAGTGAATGGTGAAAACTGAAATAATCTTGAGTTGCCACCATAGAGCAATGGGTACGTAAATTATGACTCTATCATCCTTTGGCTATGGAAAATATTTATTAAGAGTGTACAATAATGTTACAGGGAAACAATCATGACTTAAGTTAAAGTAAGATGCAATTATATGTACTATATGCCCATAATAACAGGAAAACAAAAACAAATACTGCTTAGAAAAGAGATGAGAAGGAAATACGATAAATACGTTAACAAAGGTAGGCTAGAGTGATGATGCTGGGTAGCTTTTTCAATGTTTTCTACTTTTCTATATTTCCTTAATTTTCTTTAAATATATTTATGAAATAAACCAAAACACACAATTTTATTTTTAAAAAATTCACTCACGGCCGGGCACAGTGGCTCACGCCTGTAATCCCAGCACTTTGGGAGGCCGAGGCGGGCGGTTCACGAGGTCAGAAGATCAAGACCATCCTGGCTAACATGGTGAAACCCCATCTCTACTAACAATACAAAAAAAAAATTAGCCAGACGTAGTGGTGGGTGCCTGTGGTCCCAGCTACACAGGAGGCTGAGGCAGGAGAATGGTGTGAATCCAGAAGGCGGAGTTTGCAGTGAGCTGAGATGGTGCCACTGCACTCCAGCCTGGGCAACACAGACAGACTCCGTCTCAAAAAAAAAAAAAAATTTACTCGCTATTTTGTGTCAGATGTGAGAATAAGCACTGTTTTATACTGAGTCTTCCTGCTCTGTCCTGACAGGTTGGTCAATTGGCCAGAGGAATAGATATTTGAAGAAAAAGGTCTTCCTCCCCTAACTGGGGTAGAGTTAGTTGCTGTAGAGTTGCAGACGTGGTGAGGGATAAGGGTGGGAGCAGGAGCACATTTGATAATTCATGGGGACAGTGGCTGTAGCCTCCATACAGACCCTATTCCCATTTCACTGTCTTGTCTACTACCTCAAATTGCTACAAGTTAGGAATTCTCGAAAAACACTAGACTTTTGTACAGAGAAGGGATCATATTCATTTAGTCACGTGTAGGGCCCTCTGTGTGTCAGAACCTGGGTCCTGTGATACCAAGAGGACTAATGTACAGCTTTTATCCTGTAGGCCTTCACAATCCAATGATTCCATCCATCATCCAACATGGGAAAGGCTGCTCATCACTACTGCAGCTAAATAAGCACTCTCTGCTAGAGATCGGCTAAGATTTGAAAATCACCTTTTATTTAATGTTTCCCAAATAGCTACATGATTTTATTTTCTTGGTCTTCTACCCTAAGCTGTAAAACTGCTGTGCTTTTTTTCTTTTTCGAGATGGAGTCTCACTCTGTTGTCCAGGCTGGAGCGCAGTGGTGTGATCTCAGCTCACTGCAACCTCCACCTCCTGGGTTCAAGTGATTCTCCTGTCTCAGCCTCCAGAGTAGCTGGGACTACAAGCACATACCACCATGCCCGGTTAATTTTTGTAGTTTTAGTAGAGACGGGGTTTCACCATATTGGTCAGGCTGGTCTCGAACTCCTGACCTCAGGTGATCCACCCGCCTCAGCCTCCCAAAGTGCGGGGATTACAGGCGTGAGCCACCCTACCCAGCCTGCTTTTTTCTTAAATCAAGTTGCATTTCACACCAGTGCAGTGCTGGCTCCAGAGGAGGCAGGTAATCACCAGTGTTCTCCAGGAGGATAGGGGACATCCTCACCTTGGATAAGGAGCAGAATCAACAGGCTTTATTGAGTCATCGAGTTTTCTCCTTTCTACTTGGCAATCTAAGCTAACCAAAAAGCCTCCCATGCACCACACCTGACAAAATTAATTTTCTGTGGGTTAATCTTAAAATCCTTAGGACTCACTTGAATGGCTCACCTAGGAAATACAGTACCCACCTGCAGTGTCAGAAAGGAAACAAAGCACAAAGGCACAGATCACCATGGAACAGATCACTGTTCAATGCCAGCAGGCAAACAAGGCTGTCATGATCGGAGGACAAGGGCAAGTCACTGGTGATGTGCTTCCCTACCAGAAGGAGGACACTCTTCATGCGGCATGTTGCTGCCCGTACCTTGGTCACTTGACCTGGGAGCAGGGATATGCTAATAAAAAAGGAGGGGCTCATTCCATTTCTTTTCCATGCACGCTTGTTTTGAAAACATTCTGAGCCTTGCAGATTACATGATAATTATACTTAAGGGCTGCCAAGGAACTTCAGGAATAATTATCATATGATTTGCAGGTTTTCAAGCTCATGATAACACTAATGCTGAGAGGCCTTCTTTAGTCATTCACAGCAATTATCCTTCTCCAGAGTGCACTCGCTTGCAATCTTAGATTGTTTCTTGAGCCTGATAAGAAGCCAAAGAGGCTAAATGAGACGTGTTTAAAGGAGGCCCAGTGATTTGGGGGGATGTGAAGCTCCATTGGTCACAACTGGAAGGCCATCCAAATCAGAGCCTGTCACTGGAGCCACATGAAGATTGCAATTTAATAAAATCTAACACCTGCTTAGAGACCATTCTTGTAGTGGACACAAAGTGCCAGCCTCTAATACTCCTTCCTTACTCTTCATGGAAACCTTGAAGAGTGATTAAAAATAGTACTGTTTATGTCTCTGACCACAGAGCCAGTCATTTTCAGCACTTAACTGAAATTGCTCATGATAGTGTTTCTAACAATGGCCACATAAGTGGCAAATCCCTTAAGAATTTTGCCCTCTCAGCAGGTGGCAATCTGCCACCTTTATCTGATCATTTCTCTCCTCCTTTGGCATTGTAGACACCATTTTTTCCTGGTTATGACCCTACTTCTCTTTATCTTCTTTGTCGATTGCTTTTCCACTCCAGGGAGTTCTGTGTTTGACACACAGGAGGTGTGGGTAGTTGTTTACTCTGTAAATAAGTTGTTAGCCGTGCAGCACTGCCAAGGAATTGCACCAAATGTGTATGCATTAGCAGTTAAGAAGAGCGTGTGCAATGTGAGTGAATGGAGTCTGGTCATTTGTCATCCAATGCCTATTTAGCACCTGTTATGTGACAGATAACAGGCCGGCACTCGGATCATAACCCGGAGCAACATAGTCAGAAACAAACACAATTTCTCTCCTTGGTAAGCCTGGTCTGTTGGGAGGTTTTGATAAGTAAAAAGAAGACTGAGAGGCCGGGAGCGGTGGCTCACGCCTGTAATCCCAGTACTTTGGGAGGCCGAGGTGGGTGGATCACCTGAGGTCAGGAGTTCAAGACCAGCCTGGCCAACATGATAAAACCCCGTCTCTACTAAAAATACAAAACCTAGCCAGGCATGGTGGCAGGCGCCTATAATCCCAGCTACTCGGGGGCTGAGGCAGAAGAATCGCTTGAACCCGGGAGGCAGAGGTTGCAGTAAGCCGAGATAGCACCATCGCACTCCAGCCTAGGGGACAAGAGCAAGACTTCATCTCAAAAAAAACAAAAAAGAAGACTGAAAAAACATCAAAGAGATCTATCAACTTCTTGCTTGGAGGATGAGAGCAACCGTACCCAGACTTTCAGGTTGAGACTTAAAGGGTGATTAAGATTTGGAGAAAATTAAGAAGCATAAGCCAGGTATGGTGGCTCACACTTGTAATCTCAGCGCCTTGGGAGGCTGAGGCAGGAGGATTCCTTGAGGCC
Organism: Homo sapiens; assembly: GCF_000001405.40. Lineage (NCBI taxonomy): Eukaryota > Metazoa > Chordata > Mammalia > Primates > Hominidae > Homo > Homo sapiens. The sequence continues at coordinate 111,550,149 of NC_000005.10, forward strand.
CAGAGTTTGAGACCAGCCTGTGCTACATAGTAAGACTTTGTCTCTACAAAAAAATTAGCTGGATATGGTGGTGTGTGCCTGCAGTTCTGGCTACTCAGGAGGCTAGGGCAGGAGGACTGCTTGAGCCCAGGAGTTGAAGGTTACAGTGACCTATGATCGTGCTACTACTGCATGGTAGCCTGGGTCTTGCACATTTAGGAAGATTTGGAAGAATGCCCAAGTAGGGTGCAAGCAGTATGCTCAGGACACTCATTTTGCCTGACAGAGAACTTTAGGTTACCTGTGCTTAGAAGCACACAGCTACAGAAGGACAAGGGCAAGTCACTGGTGATGTGCCTTCTTACCAGAAGGAGGGCACTCTTCATGCGGCATGTTGCTGCCCATACCTTGGTCACAAGAAAACAGAGAAGTAGACCAGTTCAACCACAGTGAGAAGAGAGGAGAGAGCATATCTATTTGAAGCCTGATGACTGAGGCTTTATAGGACAAGTGAATCTTCACAATTGTGCCTTGTGAAGGCAACCGGGTATAAGGTCCCTTTCCTTGCAAGATAATTAATAAGATCCCCACAAGAGGGCGCCCTGGTAGAAGAAAGTCCTGGCTCATCCATTCACATCCTGTGCGCCTGACTCACTAAGCTCCCTCGGGGTAAACCAGGACCTTCAGAGAGAGGCCCCAACACGAAAACATCCCTGATGATGAAAGTAATGGACACTGGCCCACTGAAGTTCCTGGGGAGCTGAATCACAGGTGTTCTTGTGATTTCACAAACAAAAGACTCCTCTTATAGCAGCAGTGCTCTATTTTCTCCTAAGTCATATTCTGTGGGAGCCTCCCACTATTTGTAACAGTACTCATTAAGTTCGTACTTAACAAGTAAGCAATGAGCTGCTGTCTTTGGCCTCTAGAAAGATTCAAGGTGAACCTTTTGTCTTCTTTCATTTCACACCATACACATCAACATCAGATCTGCTGCAAGACCAAGAGATTGTATATTATTTTAGGTGAAATAATACAGTCATTTAGGCATCCCTTAGAAATATGCCTAGAAACTAAAGTCCCTTAGAAATTAAAGTCACTTAGTTTCTTAGTGATACTATCTTGGAATTCCCACCCATTTCCTCAGGAAGTGCTATTAGCAGTACAGGATGCAGAATTTAGTCTAATGAGCAGACAACATTGTGGGTGTTTTAAGAGCAGGCTGTGTCTTGAAAAAACAAATGGACCTGTATTTTTCTTTGACTAAAGGCCCCTTATTGGAAAGGTGCTCCCCGCTCCCTGCAGGTGTTGTCATGGTAACATGTGATAAATAATGGATATTAACTGATAAGGCCCTTACTTCCCTAGGCTCTTTCCAACTCTCTAAGAATGTTCTCACAATTTCATATTGTAATTCTGTATTGTTTTTCTTAGAGTCCCAAATTATATATGTTTCATGCTGCTCCCACAAAACCTTAGTTCCCCAGGTGTTAATTTTATGACAGCATATCTAACTGCATCCTCTGAGCAGCAGAGCACCTGTCAGTCTCTGCTAGATTGAACATGTCTAGGACAATAGCAATTGTTTCCAATTGTACGCATTTCCACCACCTTTTCTCCCCTGGTTTTTCTTTAAGCGACTGTTGTATCAAAGCGAAGGAAGGAAGTGACTAAGAGAAGGAAATTATGCCTAAGTCATTTTAAAAGGGCATTTTTCAAACGACAAAACTTTTTCCCAAGCAGGGGTTTCAGGCTAGGCTAAGGACAGTGTGGATCGAAACACAGATCCTTAAGGAGTTGAATTTCTTCTTTGCCGTGCTCCTACTCCTCTGCATACAAATTGTTCTTTGAGCTTTCACTAGTTTTCCCATTGTCTTCTCTGCATTCCCAAGCTCACTTAATTCATGGTCTGTCTGCCTCTCTGTCTCCTTTTTTCCTTAGCCTCCAGAGATGTGCATGCCTACTTTCTGTTTTCACAGCTTCATTTCCATCTCTGGCACGTGAGAGCCTCTGTGCTGGATGCAGACATATTACCTTTGTTTTCCTGGAGTCATCCAACTGCTGCCTGTTTCCAGCAGCTCCCTTCACATTATTTGACTCTGTATCATTGCCCTCAGCCACAAGGGTTAGCAAGGCTAATGGGTACAGTGAACTTAGCCTGTCTTTTTGTATTAATACATCCCGCCAGGAAAAATCATTTACAATGGCATTTAGGCTTTGCAATGGGAAAACAGGAAAGAATCTCGTTCTTTGTGGTCTCAAGCCCATACTGGCAGAGGCTGAGTTGCTATGAAATTTCCAGCTTCAGGCAGAGAAGGGAAAAAGTAGAGGGCACACCTAAAATACAGGAATGCACACGGGTGCACGCACCCTTAAGCATGCATTACGTTTGCCCAGTAATGTATGTGCACTTGAGTGCAAGCCCCAATTCAACCTCTTTCTATGTGTTGGATATATGTATGAGAAGAAGCCTTTTTTTTTTTTCATTTGACATTCAGTTAAGCTAAAAGCAAAAACAACCATCTGTACTGCCTTTGATAGAGTAGATTGTTAAAAGCTGTTCCCTGTCAGACCTTTTCTTTCAGCCTTGGTGAGGAGACACATACACATATGACACTTCTGTCATTCACATATGAAACACTTGTATTTCAACAAAGTCACAGGTCCTCTATAAAACCATCAGGTTAAATTCTAAATTCTTCCCAATGGCTGGCTCCTATGACCTTTGATTGCCATAGCAAAATGGAAAGCATTCACTTCACTTTTTGGTCTTGTGTTTTGTATGTATGTGTTTTTGTTGGTTTGTTTGTTTTTGCCACTGAGGGCACCAAACATTCTTTCTGATTGTGCTCCACATTTTTCATTAACAGTTGCATTTAAGCAGTTCATTCTAATTCTTTCCGTTGTTCCTGTTCTGTGTGAACTATCTGCTGGCAGTTACCATGCCAACCCCAAATCCTGGGGTCCTGCTGCTAGATCACAAGCTGCCATTAGCATATTTTTAATACCACCTGATTGCCCTCCAAAGACCTTCTACTAGCTGATCTCCATTAGCTTACAGTGTCAAGAGATTTGATTGCATATTTACAGTGTGGATCAGGGAGAGAATTTGCTGAGCTGCACAGTTAGTCTCCCAGGTTTAGCTTTCCATGAGTGCCAGGTTAGTTCCTTGGGTCCCATTTAAGGAGAAGTTCATGACAATTTTCTGGTACATGGAGGTATCAGTTCTTGCTTCCTAGAGCCAACTTACTATATAATATGGAACACCAACATGACCCTCAAACTTGCCGAAGACTTCTCTTAGTTTTAATTGAAAGATCAGCAGCTCTCCAATGTTTAGGAACCTGGGCAGGGGTGCTGTTACCATCTTGCTTTTTCTAACTTAAGCTAAACTGAATAAAGGAGGCAATATTAATCAGAAGTCAGATTCTCTTCAAAAAAAGGTTAGAGAGAGAACAGTGAATTAGAAGTATTTGAATAATTAAGAGTGTTAACATGATAGATTATTTTAATGAAACAGTTAAGAGCTTTTGAAATGAAGTTGCCATTTAAAGTCCTGAAGATGCTCAGCAACCAGTGAGCTAAGTAGATGGATTTTGACACCTAAAGTTAAGATAAGAGAAAAATAAAAAATAAATAAAATGAAGACAAGAGGATGTTTTAAGATGTGATTAAATTTGAATAAAGCAAAACAAGATTAAACAGTGGTTAAAAACAATTTAGTGCAGAGGAACCTTGCAAATTCAAGTGGTTACGGGGAGAAGACAGAGAAGGAAAATGAATGAAGTGAGCTGAATGAAAGAGGATGGAAGACAATGGGCACTGATTTTCCACTGCTGTGGAAACACAAATGACATAAGCATTACATCAGTCCAGAGAGTGCTGACCCCATCTAAAGGGAGTGTTTTTTCATTTGCTATCAGGAGGGCCCAGTGCTGCCAGATCTTCTCATAGCTGAAGAAAGTTTGAAATCTCACTGTACAGTTCAATGGTGTTAAATGCATTCATTGTGTTGAGCAACCACCACCATGATCTATCTCCATAAGTCTTTTGATCATGTAAAACTGAAACTCTGTGTTTATTTAGCAATAACTCTCCATACTCCTCTCTCCCTGATATGGTTTGGCTGTGTGTACCCACTCAAATCTCATGTTGAATTGTAATCCCCAGTACTGGGGGAGGGACCTGGTGGGAGGCGATCGGATCACGAAGGTGGATTTCCTTCTTGCTGTTCTTGTGATAGTGAGTGAGTTCTTACGAGATCTGGTTGTTAAAAGTGTGTAGCACTTCCGCCTTTGCTCTTTCTCCTGCTGGTCATGTGAAGACATGCCTTGCTTGCCCTTCACTTTCTACCATGATCGTAAGTTTCCTGAGGCCTTCCCAGCCATGCCTTCTGTAACTGCAGAACTGCGAGTTAATTAAACCTCTTTTCCTTGTAAATTAACCAGTCTCAAGTAGTTCTTTATAGCAGTGTTAGAATGGATTGATACATTCCCATTCCCTAACAACCACTTTTCTACTTTGTCTCTATGATTTTGACTGTTCTAAGTTGCTCATATAAGTGGAATCATACAGTATTTGTCTTTTGCGACTGGCTTATTTCACTTAGCATAGTGTCCTCAAGTTTCATCTGTGTTGTAGCATGTGTAAGAATTTCTTTGCTTTTTAAGGCTGAATAATATTTCATTGTATGTATATACCACTGTTTGGTTATCCATTCATACCATTGATGGACACTTGGATTGCTTCCACATTTTAACTATTGTGAATAAGATTGCTAGGAACATAGGTAAAAAAATGTCTCTTCAAGATACTGCTTTCAATTCTTCCTCTTTTTTTCTTTTCTTTTCCTTTTTTTTTTTTTTTTTAAAGTTATGGGATACATGTGCAGGACGTCTAGGTTCGTTACATAGGTTTACATGTGCCATGGTGGTTTGCTGCGCCTATCAACCCGTCAACTAGGTTGTAAGCCCTGCATGCATTAGGTATTTGTCCTAATGCTCTCTCTCTCCTTGCCCTATACCCCCCAACAGGCCTCAGTGTGTGATGTTCCCCTCTCTGTGTCCATGTGTTCTCATTGTTCAACTTCCGCTTATGAGTGAGAACATGCGGTGTTTGGTTTTCTGTTCCTGTGTTAGTTTGCTGAGAATGATGGTTTCCAGCTTCATCCATGTCCCTGCAAAGGACATGAACTTATTCTTTTTAATTGCTGCAGCTGCTTTCAGTTCTTTTGAGTATATACCCAGAAGTAGAATTGCTGGATCAGATGGTAATTCTATTTTTAATTTTCGAGCCACTACACTGTTTTCTATCATGGCTGGCATATTTTACATTCCCATCAACAGGGCACAAAGCTTCCGATTTCTGTACATCTTTGCCAAACACTTCTTATTTTCTGAAGTTAGTTTGTTTTTGGTAGTCGCCACCCTAAAGGGTGTGTGGTGGTATCTCATGGTAATTTTGAATTGCATTTCCTTAATGATTGGTGATGTCGAGCATCTTTTCATGTACCCATTAGTAGTTTGTATATCCTCTTTGGAGAAATGTCTATTCAAATCCTTTGCCCATTTTTGAATGGGGTTGTTTATATTGTTGGAGCTGTAGGAGTTCTCAATATATTTGTTAATCCCATACTGGATGTATGATTTGCAGATTTTTTTCTCCATTCTGTGTGTTACCTTTTTACTCTACTGATACCTTTTGATGCACATTTTTAAAGAATTTTTATGAAGTCTAATTTTCTCTTTTGTGTTTGTGTCTCTGGTATTATTAGGTTGGTGAAAAAGTAATTGAGGTTTTTGTCATTACTTTTAATGGCAAAAACCGCAATTACTTTTGCACCAACCTAAAATATCTAAGAAATCATTGCCAAATCCAATGCCATGCCATTATCCCCCTATGTTTTCTTCTAAGTGTGTTATAGTTTAGGTCTTATATTTAGGTCTTTGACATATTTTGAGGATTCTTTTTAACTTTCTAAAAAAATTAATTTATTTTTAAGTGACAAATTATTGTGTATATTAATTAGGTAGAATGTGATGTTTTGATTTACGTATACATTGTAGAAAGATTCACTGGAGCTAACTGACATATTTATCACCTTATGAACTTATCTTTGGGGTGAGGACATTAAAATTATATTATTTTGGCAACTTTGGAATATATAACACATTATTATTAACAGGCAGTACAATTATGAATCATTAAAACTTATTCCTCCAGTCTAACTGAAACTTTGTACCCTTTGATCAACATCTCCCCGTTTTCTATTTCCTCCCCTCGCTTTCAGCCTCTGGTAACCACCTTTCTACTTTGAGTTAAATTTGTAGCTAGTGTCAGGTAAGGGTCCAGCTTTTCTCTTGCATGTGGATATCCAATTTCCCAGCTCCCTTTGTCGAAAGACTGTCCTTTCTGCATTGAATGGCCTTGGCACCCTTTCAAAAATCATTTGACCGTATATGTGAGGGTTTTTCTGGACCTTCTATTCTATTTTATTGGTCTATATGTTTTTCTTTATGCCAGTTCCGCACTGTTTTTATTACTCTATCTTTGCAGTAAGTTTTAAAATTAGGAAGGGTGAGTCATCCAGCTTTGTTCTTCTTTTTAGAGACTGTTATAGCTATTCAAGGTCCCTTGATACTCCATATGAATTTTAAGATAGATTATTCTATTTCTGCAAAAAGTATTATTGGGATTTAATAGGGATTGCACTGAAGATCACTTTGTGTGGTATAAAAATCTCAACAATATTAAGTCTTCCAATCAGTGGACATGGAATGTGTTTACATTTATTTATGTCTTCTTTAATTTCTTATAGCAACATTTTGTAATTTTATTGTTTAAGTCTTTCAGCTCTTTGGTTAATTCGTAAGTATTTTACTCTTTTTAGTCTTGTTGTAAATGAGATTGTTTTCATGGTTTCTTTTTCAGTTCATTGTTAGTGTATAAAAAATCCAATTAATTTTTGTGTGTTGATTTGTATCCTGCTCCTTTGCTGAACTCATGTATTAGCTCTAACAATTGTTTGTGGAACCCTTAGCATTATCTACATATAGTAACATGATATCCACTGTGAACAGAGATAAATTTTACTTCTTCCCTTCCCATTTGGATAATTTTTATTTTTTTTCTGGCCTAATTGCTTTTGCTGGGTTTTCCAGTGCTATATCAAACAGAAATGGTGAAACTGAACATCCTTATTTTGTTCCTGATCTTAGAGGAAAAGCTTTCAGTCTTTCACCATTGAGTATGATGTTTGCTGTGGGTTTTTCTTTACTGAATTTTATTATGTTGAGGTAGTCTTATTCTATTTTCAGTTTGTTGCATATTTCTGCCATGAAAATATGTTGAATTTCCTCGACTGCTTTTTTCTGCACCAATTGAAATGATCATTCATTTTTTATTTTATTCTGTTAATATGATGTATTATGTTGAACATTTTTTTCTATGTTGAACTATCCCTGCATTTTAGAAATAAATCCCGCTTGGTCATGGTGTATAATTCTTTAAATATACTGCTAATTGTGGTTTGCTAGTATTATGTTGAGAATTTTTGCGTTGGAGAACTTTATCCCTTTTGTTCATAAGAAATATTGATCTTCAGTTTTCTTTTCTCTTAGTGTCTTTGTCTTCATTATCAGGGTAATGCTGAATTCATAGAACAAACTAGGAAGTGTTCTCTCTTCTTCAATTTTTTGGAAAAATTAGAGAAGTAGTGGTATCTGTTATTTAAATGTTTGGTAGAATTCACCCATGAAGTCATAATATCTGGTGATTTTGTTTGTCAGGAGATTTTTGGTTACTGACTCAATCTCCTTAATAGCTATAGGTCTATTTAGATTTTCTGTTTCTTCATGACTTGGTCTTGGTAGGTTTTATGTTCCTAGAAATTTGTTCATTTCATCTAGGTTATCTAATTTGTCGGTGTAAAGTTGTTCATAGTACTTCCTTTTAAGCTTTTTTACTTTTGTAGAATCAGGAATAATGTCCCCAATGTTATTTCTGCTTTTAGTAAACTGAGTCATCTCTTTCTCTCTTAGTCAATCTAGCTTAAAGTTTGTCAATTTCATTGATCTGTTCAAATAATCAACTTTTGGTTTCATTGATTTTTTCTGTTGCTTTTCTATTCTCTTATCTCTGATTTAATTTTTAATTATTTTCTTCCTTCTGCTGGCTTTGGGTTTAGTTTATTCTTCTTTAGTTTATTACTTATTGTAAGGTTAGGTTATTGATTTAAGATCTTTCTTGTTCTTTTAATGTAAACATTTGTAGCTATAAATTTCCCCTTTAGCATGACCTTCACTGTGCACTATATTCTGTAAGTTTTGGTATGTTCTGTTTTTATTTTTAGTTTTCTCTAAGAATTTCACAATTTCCCATTTGTTTTCTTCTTTGATCATTAGCTTTTCAACACTGCATCATTTAATTTCCACAAATTTGTAACTTAAAAAAATTGTACTGGTGTTATTGATTTCTAACTTTAACCTATTGTGGTTAGAGAAGATGCTTTGTATGATACTTGCCTTTTAAAGCCTAATGAAACTTAATCTGTGGTAAAACATACAGTGTATCCTCTAAAATGTCCCATGTGCATTGGAGAAACGTGTGCTGTTTTTGTTGGGTAAAATATTCTGTATATATCTATTATTATGTTAAGTCTGCTGTTTCCTTACTCGTCTTCTATCTGGTTGTTCTAGTCATTATTTAGAGTGGCATAATAAAGTCTCCAGTTATTATTGTAGAACAGTCTGTTTCTGCCTTCAATTATGTCAGTTTTTGCTTCCTATACTTTGGTAGTTATTAGGTGCATAAATAATTTTTATTATTATATCTTCTCACTGCATTAATATTTTTGTGAATATATAATTTCCTTCTCAGTGTTTTGTAATCTTTTTTGATTGAAAGTGTATTTTGTCTGATATTAGTGTAGCCACTTCTGCTCTCTTTTTGTTACTATTTCCATAGAATATCATTTTCCATCCTTTCACTTTATTTGTATCTTTGGATCTAAAGTGAGTTTCTTATAGACAGCACTTAGTTGGATCACATGTTTTCATCCATACTGCTGTCTTTTTATTGGAAAGTTTAGTACATTTACATTTAGAGTGATTACTGATAAGAAGAGACTTCTATTATTTCACTATTTTTTATTTTATATTTTATTTTTATTATTCTATATTTCACTATTTATTATTATATTATAGTGAAGTGTTTAAATTTTTCTCATGTCTAAATTCCCATACCATGGAGATTACATTTAACATCTTAAAGTGAATATGCTTTAATTTGAATTTATACCATTTTAACTTCAGTTACGTATAAAAACTCTGCTTGTTTACAACTCTGTCCTCACCTCTTTAAGTTGCTGATGTCACAGAATTACATCTTTATACACTGTGTGCCCCAAAACATAAACTAATAGTTTTTTAAAAATGTATTAGTCTCTGAAATTGTGTAGAAAACAAAATGTGGAATTAGAAACTGAAGTTACCATAATACTCATTTTTAAACTGATTTTAATGGCTTTGTCTCTTTAATCATGGTGTAAAAAAAAGTGGAACTACAAACTGTTGTTACAATACTAGCTTTTCTAATTGCTCACATATTTACTTTCATTGAGATATTTATTTCTTCACATGACTTTGAATTACCATCCATTGTTCTTTTATTTTATCCTGCAGGACTCCCTTGATCATTTTCTTTTTTTACAGAGAAGGTCTAGTGGTAATAAATTCTCTCAGCTTTAGTTTGTCTAGGAATGTCTTAATTTTTCCCTCATTTTTGGACAACAGTTTTGCCAGAAATAGGATTCTTAGCAGAGAGATTTTTTTTTTCTTTTAGCACTTTGACTATATGACCCACTATCTTCTAGCCTCCAGAGTTTCTGATGAGAAATTTTCTGAAAATCTTATTCATGATCCCCTTTTTGTGACTAGCCACCTTTCTCTGTCACTTTCAAAACTCTCTCATTGTCCTTTGTAAGTTTGTTTATAGTGTGTCTTGGTGTGAGTTTCTTTGAGTTCATCATTGAGCTTCTTGGATGTTTATATTAACATCAACATATTCAGGAAGTTATTAGCCATTGCTTCCTCAAATATTCTTTCTGCCCCCTTCTCTCTCTCTTTCCTCCCTCTGGAACTCACACAATGTATATGTTGGTCTGTTTGATGGCGTCCCACAGATCCCTGAGGATTCTTCACTTTTCTTCAATCTTTTTTCTTTCTGTTCCTCAGGCTTGATAATTTCCATTGTCCTCTTCAAGTTTACTGCTTCTTTCTTCTGTCTGATCAAATCTGCCTTTGAATCCCTCTGCCAAATTTTGCATTTTAGTTAGTGTACTTCTCAGCTTCAAATTTTCTTTTTGGTTTCTTTCTAGGTTTTGTATATGTTTATTAATATTTCCCTTTTGTTTATACTTCATTTCTTGACTTTCTCCACATCTCCCTTTGGTTCCTTGCTCATCTTCAAGACAATTGTTTTAAAGTCTTTATCTAGTAGTTCTCTTTCAGGAGCAGCTTCTGTTGCTTATTTGTTGCTCTTTGAATGGTCAATAGTTTCCTGTTTCTTTGTGTGTTTTATAGTTTTTTTTGTTGTTAAAAGCTGGACATTTGAATCTAATATTCTGGTAATTCTGAGAATCAGTTTTTCTCTTTCCCAGGTTTGAGTTATTGTTACTGCTTTTTAAAAATTGTAGGCTGTCTCTGGGCTGAGGATCAGCCTGAGATGTAAATTTAAGGTCTTCTCATGTCTTTTCTGAGCCTTTCTCTGGGCATGTGAAGTCACTTGCTAATTTTTCCCATATATGCAGTTATTTTTGGATGCCCTATTCTTTAACGTCTGGCTCCCAAAAGGAAAAAAAGAGAAAAATAAAGAGGGGGAAGGGCATCAGCCCTTTAAATTCCACCTCTTTGTTCACCACTCTGTGATCAGAAGCAGCAATAAGTGATGAAATATCCTTGATATTTGTAGGACAGGGTCCTTTTACGCCCACCCTGGCTCCTGGTAACTCTTTACATGCTGCTCCAGGAACACAAAACAACTTCTTGCCATGAGGCTAAGAGGTGGGGGATGGACAGCTGCCAATGTGCTAAAAGCTGCAATTGACTACAGTTTTTCATCCATGCCCTCCCCTGGAAATTTCAAGTCTTCGATAGACTCCAGAGTTCCAAAACAGTTACATCAGACAGAGTCTGCCAGTTCAATTGTTGTCTACAAGGGAAGATAGAATCCTTGTGCTTCCCCCTCTGCATCGTCCCAGTATCCTCTTAAAATGAAGTAATTTTTAATTCTAGAACTAATATATTATTAAAATATTAAATGTAAATGACTAAGGAATTACATTCTGATAGAGAACAATACTAGATGAAGTTTTCTGCTAATCTGTATCCTCAGGTAAATTTTCATGAGCCTAGGCATTTGCTTTATATAATCAAGCAATGCCAGAAGAGTGGGATGGACAATGAGCAATGTAAGAATTCAAAGACAAAACAAAACACGGTTGTCTGGTATGGTTATAGATGGCTTCAAGAAGAGGTAGGACTTGATCTGTCCTTCACAGGGTCATTAGATTTGAAAAAACAAAAACAAAACAAAACAGGTTAGAGGGGAAGTTTTTTCTGGGCAGAAGGCGCAGTAGAACCATGAGTTCAATGGGAGGAAACTATAAGATGCTTTCTTTTCTACTGGACAGACTGAACCATCACAGAGGCAATATTGGGCAAAACAAACATTAACACAAAGCAAAACAAAGAAAAAACATTACTGCTTATTTACAGTCCTTAACTTCCCCTATTAGGGCTCAGAGGCATGAAAAGTTTAACTTATTTGGGGAGTACAAACTCAGGTATTTGAATAAGGCTGCCTGAAAACCTGACAGTCTAAAAGGCATGCTTTAGTGCTCACAACATTTACCTACATTGTCTTCATGTGGCCACACTTTCTCCTAATTTCCCTCAAAAGACTTTGTACACATAAGGTTAATTATATTTCTTCATTTATGTTTATTACTTCTGTATGCTGTCACTGTTAATAGACGACAAGCTGAATTTTGAACTTCACTTGTAAGCTTTGGATCTCAAGGATGGATTTCTCTCAAAGAGTCAAAAGTTTATTTGCCTACTGAAGTAAATTGTAGGTGCCTTCTCTGACACCAGCTTCCTGTGATCTTCAAGGTTTTGGTGGTTTCAATATTAATTTGACCAGTAAATAATTAGATTAAACATTGCAATAGTCTAGTTATTGATGTAGAGTTTGGACCTTTTAAATAATAAGACTCTGCCTGTCTGATACAACTTGATTACACACCTGTTTCTAAAGAACTGCTTATTAGAGCTTTCCCTGGCAAAGTCATAATACGGATGAGACTGTGAAGTTAGTTCGTCTCCAATCAGAGCTGCCCTGGACAAGAGTCTGAAGATGTGTATGTGGTGTGTGTGTGGTCGGGGGGTAGGCATCCTGGAAGGATGCCAACAGAGGCTTGCTTGGGACAGTCAGGAGGAAGAATGTTAATTAAAAGTCCAGTTAAGTAGGCTCTAAAAAATAATAAATCAAGAAGTTGATTAGCTAATGGGGCTGAGTGGAACGGGATCCAAAGCATCAAAGTGAGGGTCAGAAACAGGATGATTGGAAACAAAGCCAAGTCAGGAAGCTCCCTGGGAAGTCTAAGACAATGTTCTGGCAACATCTTATGCATAGGTTGATGAACCCAGCTGAACAAGGCCCTTTTCTGAACAGTACTAGAGACTGGGTGAATCCATATGATTTGATAGGAAGGGAACAATATTGATGAGCCCAGCTGAACAAAGCCCTTGTTCTGACAGTACCCGAGTCTTGGTGGATTCATACAATTTGGTGGTCAGGGAGCAGTATTGACAGGTGATTTCGCAAGCACTAGTTTTGGAGCATTGTTTTCATAGTCCGTCAAATGAGATATTTGTACTGATGATTTGTCAAGTCTGCATGAATGATTACATTCTCTGACACCATCTGCATATCGCATCCAAAGCTCTGAGCTCATGCTTCTCCTAGAGCCAGCTAGTTCTTCCTTAGCATTTGCAAATCTATTCCTGGTAAACATGCTGCAAATCAACACTGTTCCACCCCAGGTAACATCTGAGGAAAGCAAATAGCTAGGGCAGAGCAACATAACACCCATCCTTCCTCAGCAGTGGAAGGCACCTCAGTTAGCACTTTCTGCAGGAAGGAAATGTCTGTGGAGTGTTCCTTTCCATATGTCCTAAGATCAAACCCTGGAATCTGAGAAAATCCTTGTGATGTGAATGTGTCATCCTATAAAATTAAGTATACCAATCAGGCTGCAAGAAAGTGAGTAAAGTGCATGCCAAGTTTGCCTGTGGTAGCATAAATGCGTCTTAGCTGTTTCCTGAAGATAGGAGCTGGAACTCTTATGGGGAAAGCTGACTGAGCGCACACATTTCACCCTTGGCCTACTTTGTTTATCTTGAGACCACTGAAGCATTTAGTCTAGACCGTACAGTGTTTTCAGTGTGTCCTGTTCATTCTTTCCCAAGCATCTGTTTTTTCTCAAGCCCCATGTGACTCACCTTACATGGCCTTCTGCTGGGATCCAAGAACTCCTGCGAATGTCCTATCCTGTGCTTGGGTCATTGAAGACATCTGTTAAAGCCTGGGGCCTGTCCTTTGAGGTGACTTCTCAAGCAATATGAAGTTGAATTTTCTTTCTGGACAGGGAATTTAAGGCCTTTGCATATGACTTTATATGGGATTTTAGAATTCAGTGAAGGGAACGGCCAGGGAGCTCTTGCCTTTGGAACTCCTACTACAGGTCTGCCATTCTGGGAACTTCTCATGGTAGAAGCATTAAAATCCTTCAGGAGACTTCAGCCACCACACTTGTTCATTTTTACATCATTCATTCCCATTATATCATGGTTCTCACTATTTTTTTTTTACTTCTAAAGTGTTTAAACTCACCAGTCAACAAGTATGTATTGAGTCCTAACACAATATAATTGTGTTAAGCTAACTGCTTTACAAAGGCAGAAGCAGAGCTCTGATCTCAAGAAATTTAGACCTGACATAAGATGATAAAATAATTCATACAAAGGAACATCTACTAAGGCAAGGTGGTGTGTCATGAAGGCCTAAACTGTGGATGGCAGACAACAAGTTTTGTGGAAGTAGAACCTGAAAAGAGAGCAATGGTGTCTATAAGAATTTTAATGCTTCCTAATAGAAATTGATTTGTTCTAGGCTTTGTAGGATGGGTAGAAATTGAATTGTGGGTGGATAATGAGGACTTTATAGGCAAAATAAATTATCTGAATTCATTCAGATATGTAGAAATAATGTACTTAGTGATGCATAAGACAACAGTCCAGATTCAGTTTTATTTGGTTTTATTTCCTACAGTATAGTGAGGAATAAAATTGGGGTTGATCAAGGCTTTACAGATTTGAGAAGCCTTGAAAACCCTACAAAAATATTTAGAATGGATTTCATAAGAAACAAAAAAAAAGCATCAGATAATATTTCTGCTGCATAGAGCAGCATAGGAAGATAAAACTGGCATCTGTGCCCAGGAAGGACCCAATTGCATGGAGTGAGAGACCAGCCAGGAACCACAGTCTCAACAATACGGGCAAAGGCAAGTGAATCCAGAAGATATTAGAGGCAGGGACAGAGAGGAAAAGACAGACATGTGAGACATCAGAGCAGAAAAGCATCAGGACTGCATGCATGCAATGGAGAGAAAGGAATCAAAGAGAGAGAGACAATGGGATAGTGTTCTGAAAGACTCTAGATCAAATTTCTCTGGATGGATCTAAATTTCCCTGACCATATAGACCATACAAAGGACATCCACTTTCCACTCAGCTTGATTCATTCATCCAAGTGACGTGTCCTAACTGTTGGTAAGCATTTTGTTGTTGTTGTTGTTTTCCTGTGAACAATCGGTGAATAAACCCTTTAGTTTTTTTGTGCCATACAGTCTCTGTCACAAATCCTCCACACAGCTGCTATAGTGCTAAAGCATCTGCTACAATGTGAATGCATCCCGCAAATTTCATGTGTTGGAAACAATCACCAAATTCATGCTGATAGTATTAGGAGGTAGGGCCTTTGTGATGATTATGGTAGATGTGGCAGATTAGGGTAGTTATGATTAAATAAAGTCACAGGGTGGAGCCTGCATGTTGGGACTGGTGGCTTTATAAGAAGAGGGCACGCTCTTGCCCTCTCACCACGTTATGACATAGCAAGAAGGCTCTCATCAGAAGTGGCCCCTTGACTGTGGATTTACCAGCCTCCAATACTATGTCCAAATAACCTCTATTCTTTATAAACTACCCAGTCTGTGATACTCAGCCGTAGCAACAGAAAGTGACTTAAGAGAGCATCTTTTTTTTTCTTTTTTATAGCTCCTGGACTCAGCCTCACATTTTCTTATCATTTCTTCTTCTTTTTTTTTAATACCTTTGTTCTTTTTTTTTATATACACTTTAAGTTTTAGGGTACATGTGCACAACGTGCAGGTTTGTTACATATGTATACATGTGCCATGTTGGTGTGCTGCACCCATTAACTCGTCATTTACATTAGGTATATCTCCTAATGCTATCCCTCCCCCCTCCCCCCACCCCACAACAGGCCCCGGTGTGTGATGTTCCCCTTCCTGTGTCCATGTGTTCTCATTGTTCAGTTCCTACCTAGGAGTGAGAACATGAGGTGTTTGGTTTTTCGTCCTTGCAATGGTTTGCTGAGAATGATGGTTTCCAGCTTCATCCATGTCCCTACAAAGGACATGAACTCATCATTTTTTATGGCTGCATAGTATTCCACGGTGTATGTGTGCCACATTTTCTTAATCCAGTCTATCATTTTTGGACATTTGGGTTGGTTCCAAGTCTTTGTTATTGTGAATAGTGCCACAATAAACATACGTGTGCATGTGTCTTTATAGCAGCATGGTTTATAATCCTTTGGGTATATACCCAGTAATGGGATGGCTGGGTCAAATGGTATTTCTAGTTCTAGATCCCTGAGGAATCACCACACTGACTTTCACAATGGTTGAACTAGTTTACAGTCCCACCAACAGTGTAAAAGTGTTCCTATTTCTCCACATCCTCTCCAGCACCTGTTGTTTCCTGACTTTTAATGATCGCCATTCTAACTGGTGTGAGATGGTATCTCATTGTGGTTTTGATTTGCATTTCTCTGATGGTCAGTGATGATGGGCATTTTTTCATGTGTCTTTTGGCTGCATAAATGTCTTCTTTTGAGAAGTGTCTGTTCATATCCTTCTCCCACTTTTTGATGGGGTTGTTTGTTTTTTTCTTGTAAATTTGCTTGAGTTCATTGTAGATTCTGGATATTAGCCCTTTGTCAGATGAGTAGATTGCAAAAATGTTCTCCCATTCTGTAGGTTGCCTGTTCACTCTGATGGTAGTTTCTTTTGCTGTGAAGAAGCTCTTTAGTTTAATGAGATTCCATTTGTCAATTTTGGCTTTTGTTGCCATTGCTTTTCGTGTTTTAGACATGAAGTCCTTGCCCATGCCTATGTCCTGAATGGTATTGCCTAGGTTTTCTTCTAGGGTTTTTATGGTTTTAGGTCGAACATTTAAGTCTTTAATCCATCTTGAATTGATTTTTGCATAAGATGTAAGGAAGGGATCCAGTTTCAGCTTTCTACATATGGCTAGCCAGTTTTCCCAGCACCATTTATTAAATAGGGAATCCTTTCCCCATTTCTTGTTTTTGTCAGGTTTGTCAAAGATCAGATAGTTGTAGATAAGCAGCATTATTTCTGAGGGCTCTGTTCTGTTCCATTGATCTATATCTCTGTTTTGGTACCAGTACCATACTGTTTTGGTTACTGTAGCCTTGTAGTATAGTTTGAAGTCAGGTAGTGTGATGCCTCCAGCTTTGTTCTTTTGGCTTAGGATTGACTTGGAATTGTGGGCTCTCTTTTGGTTCCATATGAACTTTAAAGTAGTTTTATCCAATTCTGTGAAGAAAGTCATTGGTAGCTTGATGGGGATGGCATTGAATCTATAAATTACCTTGGGCAGTATGGCCATTTTCATGATATTGATTCTTCCTACCCATGAGCATGGAATGTTCTTCCATTTGTTTGTATCCTCTTTTATTTCCTTGAGCAGTGGTTTGTAGTTCTCCTTGAAGAGGTCCTTCACATCCCTTGTAAGTTGGATTCCTAGGTATTTTATTCTCTTTGAAGCAATTGTGAATGGGAGTTCACTCATGATTTGGCTCTCTGTTTGTCTCTTATTGGTGTATAAGAATGCTTGTGATTTTTGCACATTGATTTTGTATCCTGAGACCTTGCTGAAGTTGCCTATCAGTTTAAGGAGATTTTGGGGTGAGACGATGGGGTTTTCTAGATATACAATCATGTCATCTGCAAACAGGGACAATTTGACTTCCTCTTTTCCTAATTGAACACCCTTTATTTCCTTCTCCTGCCTGATTACCCTGGCCAGAACTTCCAACACTATGTTGAATAGGAGTGGTGAGAGAGGGCATCCCTGTCTTGTGCCAGGTTTCAAAGGGAATGCTTCCAGTTTTTGCCCATTCAGTATGATATTGTCTGTGGGTTTGTCATATATAGCTCTTATTATTTTGAGATACGTCCTATCAATACCTAGTTTATTGAGAGTTTTTAGCATGAAGGGTTGTTGAATTTTGCCAGAGGCCTTTTCTGCATCTATTGAGATAATCACATGGTTTTTGTCGTTGGTTCTGTTTACATGCTGGATTATGTTTATTGATTTGCATATGTTGAACCAGCCTTGCATCCTAGGGATGAAGCCCACTTGATCATGGTGGATAAGCTTTTTGATGTGCTGCTGGATTCAGTTTGCCAGTATTTTATTGAGGATTTTTGCATCAATGTTCATCAGGGATATTGGCCTAAAATTCTCTTTTTTTGTTGTGTCTCTGCCAGGCTTTGGTATCAGGATGATGCTGGCCTCATAAAATGAGTTAGGGAGGATTCCCTCTTTTTCTATTGATTGGAATAGTTTCAGAAGGAATGGTACCAGCTCCTCTTTGTACCTCTGGTAGAATTTGTCTGTGAATCCGTCTGGTCCTGGACTTTTTTTGGTTGGTAAGCTATTAATTATTGCCTCAATTTCAGAGCCTGTTATTGGTCTATTCAGAGATTCAGCTTCTTCTTGGTTTAGTCTTAGGAGGGTGTATGTGTTGAGGACTTTATCCATTTCTTCTAGATTTTTAGTTTATTTGCGTAGAGGTGTTTATAGTATTCTCTTATGGTAGTTTGTATTTCTGTGGGATCGGTGGTGATATCCCTTTTATCATTTTTTATTGTGTCTATTTGATTCTTCTCTCTTTTCTTCTTTATTAGTCTTGCTAGAGGTCTATCAATTTTGTTGATCTTTTCACAAAAACCAGCTTCTGGATTCGTTGATTTTTTGAAGTGTTTTTTGTGTCTCTATTTCCTTCAGTTCTGCTCTGGTCTTAGTTATTTCCTGCCTTCTGCTAGCTTTTGAATGTGTTTGCTCTTGCTTCTCTAGTTCTTTTAATTGTGATGTCATGGTGTCAATTTTAGATCTTTCCTGCTTTCTCTTGTGGGCATTTAGTGCTATAAATTTCCCTCTACACACTGCTTTGAATGCGTCCCAGAGATTCTGGTATGTTGTGTCTTTGTTCTCGTTGGTTTCAAAGAACATCTTTATTTCTGCCTTCATTTCGCTATGTACCCAGTAGTCATTCAGGAGCAGGTTGTTCAGTTTCCATGTAGAGTGAGCGGTTTTGAGTGAGTTTCTTAATCCTGAGTTCTGGTTTGATTGCACTGTGGCCTGAGAGATAGTTTGTTATAATTTCTGTTCTTTTACATTTGCTGAGGAGTGCTTTACTTCCAAGTATGTGGTCAATTTTGGAACAAGTGTGGTGTGGTGCTGAGAAGAATGTATATTCTGTTGATTTGGAGTGGAGAGTTCTGTAGATGTCTATTAGGTCTGCTTGGTGCAGAGCTGAGTTCAATTCCTGGATATCCTTGTTAACTTTCTGTCTCGTTGATCTGTCTAATGTTGACAGTGGGGTGTTAAAGTCTCCCACTTTTACTGTGTGGGAGTCTAAGTCTCTTCGTAGGTCTCTAAGGACTTGCTTTATGAATCTGGGTGCTCCTGTATTGGGTGCATATATATTTACGATAGTTAGCTCTTCTTGTTAAATTGATCCCTTTACCACTATGTAATGACATTCTTTATCTGTTTTGATCTTTGTTGGTTTAAAGTCTGTTTTATCAGAGACTAGGATTGCAACCCCTGCCTTTTTTTGTTTTCCATTTGCTTGGTAGATCTTCCTCCATCCTTTTATTTGGAGCCTATGTGTGTCTCTGCACGTGAGATGGGTTTCCTGAATACAGCACACTGATGGGTCTTGACTCTTTATCCAATTTGCCAGTCTGTGTCTTTTAATTGGAGCATTTAGCCCATTTACATTTAAGGTTAATATTGTTATGTGTGAATTTGGTCCTGTCATTATGATGTTAGCTGATTATTTTGCTCGTTAGTTGATGCAGTTTCTTCCTAGCCTCGATGGTCTTTACAATTTGGCATGTTTTTGCTGTGGCTGGTACTGGTTGTTCCTTTCCATGTTGAGTGCTTCCTTCAGGAGCTCTTTTAGGGCAGGCCTGGTGGTGACAAAATCTCTCAGCATTTGCTTGTCTGTAAAGTATTTTATTTCTCCTTCACTTATGAAGCTTAGTTTGGCTGGATATGAAATTCTGGGTTGAAAATTCTTTAAGAATGTCGAATATTGGCCCCCACTCTCTTCTGGCTTGTAGAGTTTCTGCTGAGAGATCAGCTGTTAGTCTGATGGGCTTCCCTTTGAGGGTAACCCGACCTTTCTCTCTGGCTGCCCTTAACATTTTTTCCTTCATTTCAACTTTGGTGAATCTGACAATTACGTGTCTTGGAGTTGGTCTTCTCGAGGGGTATCTTTGTGGCATTCTCTGTATTTCCTGAATCTGAATGTTGGCCTGCCTTGCTAGATTGGAGAAGTTCTCCTGGATAATATTCTGCAGAGTGTTTTCCTACTTGGTTCCATTCTCCCCAGCATCCTTAATAATACATAAACAAATGAGCTTGGCTATGTTCCACTAAAACTTTATTTACAAAAACAGGTTGAGGGCTAGTTTGGCTCACAGGATGTAGTTTGCTAAACTTTGCCCTGTAACATTTGAATTTGCAATCCTTGGCCTTTGAGGCCCAAAGTTCTTGCCCTGGGTCTTCCTTCTGATCCTGTCTACCATTTCCTACTACTTACTCTTGATTCCAGCCATAGCACACTACCTGCTTTTCTCAAAAGATATCACAGATTTTTACATCCAGAGCGGTATACTCCAGTCCTCCCATGCTTGTTACCCCTCATTAACTATTTCTCATTATTTGAGGATGAGTTCAGAAGTTACCCCATTAGGGAACATTTTCTAAATCCCCCAACTCCCCCCACAACAGCAGATGAATACTCTGTTACCTGTTTCCATAGCACTTTAAAATATCTCTACCTTAACCCTTATCATAGCATATTTCTATAATTTTGGAAAGAACTTTGTCTTCGTTTTCTTTGTATTTCACACCCACCCCTCACCCAAACCAAATATCTAAAACAATTCCCAGAATACAGTAGGTGTTTAAGAAATGTTTATGCTGTGAGAGCATATAGTTTTAAAAGGAATTTGGGTTTCTGATCAAGGGAGACTGCATTTTTGCCAAGCCCAAAATAATCGTTTTATAAGATAGTTAATAAAAAGTACAAAGCTCTAAGAGACAAATACCTATCAAAAGGGCATCCCCCCCCCAAAAAAAAAACTCCTTTATTTTATTTCTGAAATAATATTAAGTGAATTAGTAGATACTTTGCTATCAATGGATTCTATTACTTAGAGGGTGGTATTTCTTTTCTTAAATTGTTTCAAAAGTCAAAATTATGTAAATAGTCTTGCCATTTTCTCACAATGTCAGAAGAGGAGTATAAAAATATATTTGTCCATGATCAAGATCTATGAACATAACCTGGTCCCAGGCTTCCTGAGAATGAGATGACTTTTCTTTTCCTTCTATAACTATGATGATTGAGATAATGGTCAATTACAACATTCTCTTCTCCCTTGAAGCTCCGACATTTGGGTTTCTTTCTTTACTTTATAATTGAGATGTTATTGGTTGTGTTGAGGATCAGTACATAGACATTTCAATTTGTACACAATTCTTAGCATACATACCAAAAATCTGAAAGGCCATGAATTGTAATTTCTTTACACAGTCATTCCAGGGGCTTTCTAGCTTAAAATTTGGAGGTAAATTTTCCTTAAGAGGCTATCAAGTACCAGTATCTTCAAATGTTGATAAGCTGTTTCATACATCCCACCAATTAATAATTTAATAACATATATACTACATACTCAAATTTTCAATCTTAAACACTACATTAACAAAGTTGTTAGGAAAATGGGACTACCACAGCCAAAGATATAACAAGAGTGCACACAATTCTGACAGGGAGAGCCATGATCAAGGAGCAGTTTTCTTTAGGAAACAAATCTAAAAAACAACAAGAAAATAGAAGTGATTCAAAATGCTCAAGACATTAAATGCAGGAGTGTGACTCCATATTGCCATTTAGTATGTTTAGTATTAGAGGATATAAGAACTAACTGCCTATTTATGGAATGTTAAGCTGACACCCAATACAGTCAAAGCCTCCCATAATTCAATATCCCACACTATTTTCTGATTGTACCAAAAATAATCAACCAGCTAATGTTTTTACCCCTTAAAAAAGAATTTACACTAAAAAAAAAAATGAGATAAGGTGGGACTTCCTCTTTCTCAAAAAAAGTTTCCTGAGCTACTAAAGAAACTTGCATTTATAAAATAGTTGATAGAAATAGTACTCTGGATTGTACAAGGGAGACAGGGACCACTGATAAGGTGGGGTATATGATATTAATCAGAATTGGCTTCTTTCTCTCTGGCTTCATCAGAGGCTGGACATTCTTCAGTTTTAGTTTCTCCATTTTGTGCAGGTAAATCTTCTTTAGTTTCTTGGCTAGCCACTTTGGCCTGTTTACCCTTTGCTTCCCTGCCCAAAAGGAAGGTCAGCTCAGCACAAGGGGTGGTGAAGGAAGAGCCCAAGAGGAGATCAGTGAGGTTGTCAGCTAAACCTGCTCCTGCAAAAGTAGAAATGAAGCCAAAAAAAGTTAGCAGGAAGGGATAACTCTTCAGACAAAAAAGTAGCATTACAGCAAATTATTCAAGTGCAATTGTGTAAAAATTATTCAAATGCAATTGTGTAAAAATCCTCTTGACACAGAACAAGATAGAAAGACTTCAGACTATCTCCTATTTCCACTGACCCCACCCATGTCATAACAAAACATACATTTCTTGGAAATGAGATGGTTCTAATTTTGTGTTACCACGTTCTTTCAGTGACAGTATATTGTCCATTCCAGTTGAAGAAAGAAATGTAATGTGGTAAATATCCAAGAAACCTTGGACAGAAGAGCCAGATTAGTCCACGGGCATCAGCACATTCCACACCTTATTTCTTATTGACTAGTATCAGATGAACTCAGTAGTCCATAAATCACAGAAGACTTTTGGAGTTCAGCCATTTTCCAAGAAACAGCGAAGTAAAGGCTGTGGGAGCCAACTGACTTGGCCAAAGCGTAAAGCTCGTAAATGTCAATTAGCCCACAAGAACAAGCATTTTGTGCCACCAAGCATGGGTATGTCAACTTTAGCAGTGCAGAGAACTCTTCCAACAAGTTTAAACAGGTTGTAAGTTTGTGTAGCATATTTGTCTTGTTTAGGGGATCATTTAATTTCAAAGCACCTTGCCTCACCATCTTATATTATTTTTTTATATGCTATGTGTTAAGAAAGTTTGATTTCTGTTTGCTACAGATTCAGATAATCTGTTAGTCCCCATTAATCTCTACCTTTTGGGTCCAAGGATGATACTCCTGGTTTTCATAAACTCCAGCCAAGACACCACATGCTTCTTCAACATCACAACACTTTCTTTCAGCCAACAATTATATATTATTATGCTTGGTATTGTCTATTTGTGATCAGGTCCATTTCTACCCCTGGATTTGCCCAGACCCTGATATACTACTTTCCTATAACCTTTACTCTTTCTGCCTTATGAATCATCAAGTCAGATAAGATCCAACTAAAAAGTATTCATACATTCAATATATATTCATCTTGGGTTTCAGAAGGTTTTGGTATCCGTCTATTAATTGTTCTGTTTCAAATGAATGTCCAATAAACAGCCAGTAATTGACATCCAAAGGAAATGTACCAGCAGCCTCAGGACATCCTGAGGCCAGAAACAGGCTGGTCTTGTTGACCCTTTCTGGGACCTATCAAGGGGTTCATGCCACCCCACAGTTGAAGACAGATACCAAGAAAGATAGCCATGATGGGAACCATGAGAACATTCAGAACCAGAAATGCTCCATATGGGTAGTGATATGCTTAATCTGAACTACAGGGGATGGCCCAGTTGGTCCAAGAAAGTTTACAGACTGTAGAGCATGCCTAAACTTCCAGACTAGGACAGTCTGCCCTTATAACAAAATCTCTGCTTTACCTAAGTGCTCTCAGTACTGATCAAGCCTTTATCTCATGCAACCTTGACGTGAATCCTCAGAGGATAAACACCCAGGCATGGTTATGGGGAAAAGGAAGAGAAACCATATGCATGAGCAAATTACAGCTTCAACATGTGCGGTGGGGCTGTTTCCAAAAACAGAGGAGGGCTTATAAGTAGGTGTTCGGTTGGAACTCCATTGTAGAGAGTAGTGAAAATGTGGAGTGGAACAATATTTGAAGTATGCACAAACGCCAGATAACCTGGCCAAAGAGTAAACAGTTTGTCCCTCACAAACAAGACAAGTAGTCCCATTATGGGTCATTTGTCCTTTGGCTATATTAGAAAATATTTCTCAAAGTTATAACACCTGAATTATTGGAACTTTCTGGTACCCTAATTTTAACACAGGAGGAAGTATTGTCCTGTGGTAAATGAATACAAAGTTCACCGGGTAAAATTTTTTAAATGCTGGACCTGACTCTAGAAGTCAGGTATATACATCCTTTAAATGTATATCCTGTTCCACTGCATTAAATGCTATGTGTGGTCTAGAATATGTGCACCCCTAAATTTAAACATGTACATCCTTAAAGTGAGCCTCCTTTTGACATGTAGATTAGAGCTTGGAAGGCTTTGGGGGAATACCACAAGTGGAGTTCTGACTGAATAAATGATGTTGCCTTCACTCATCTGACTGCCAAGCACACCATGGGATGAGTAGTAAAGAAGCACAGGAAGTGAAATGCGCTTGATCATCTGCATCAACAAATGCTTTTGAGTCTAGTCACATGGCAGTCACTGTAATAGGTTTGAAGATAGGGGAAGAAAAGATCCTTGCTCTCAAGAACTTACAGATGAACAAAGAGTACAGACAATGATTCAGAAAATGTACTTGTTTTGATAGGGATATACATAAAATGCAACGGAAACATTGCAGTGGGGGCTATCACAGAATTTGGATGGATAGTGTGTGTGTGTTGTTGGGGGGTGGTTGGACTACATCACAGGAAACTTCTTGTAGGTAATGACCTCTAACTTGGAAACTGAAGGATGTTTAAGAATTAGCAGAGGAGTATTAAGGTACAGGCTAAGCTGCTCTCCAGTGCCTCAACAAGTTACAAATTTATCTCTTCATTTTATAAAAATTCCAACATGGGAAGGTAGTGCAAGGATGTAGGAAGCTCTACATCATTACGTCATTTAGGAACCCTAGTTCCTACTGTCAAGAACATGAAGGGTCTGAGATTTTATCTACTTGTGAGATAATGATTTCACATGTCATAGTTCCATGAATGGAAACAGATACGAGATTCCTGGGTCAGAGCAACAACGGACCGTATTAGTCAACGCAATAGTGGGAGCCAGAATATCAGCATTTGTTCCAGTTACCTGAGGCTCAAATCTCACAGGACACAATGAAAGGAGCAGGAGACATCTGTACTGGCAGTGGTTTACTTTATAAGAAAGGAACCCTAAACTTTGAAAATGAAATCTTTCATAATCAGTAGTAAGTCTGCCTGACTTTTGCCCCAGAGGAAGACATTGTTTTTACTATCCTGAGTAGTTAACACATTTTCCCAGTGCTCTGGAAGAAGACACTATCTCTATCTTCCAAGGCTGTTTGCTATACCATGGGCCTTGAAAAGAAAAGAAGAAAACAGAGTAATTCAGAACCCCTGCTCAAAGCTGGGCAGAAAAGGCAGAAAAGTAAGACCCATGGAGAATTGTCTTTCAATGCCTTTTTTTTTAAATTTATTATTATTATACTTTAAGTTTTAGGGTACATGTGCGCAATGTGCAGGTTAGTTACATATGTATACATGTGACATGCTGGTGTGCTGCACCCACTAACTCGTCATCTAGCATTAAGTATATCTCCCAATGCTATCCCTCCCCCCTCCCCCCACCCCGCAACAGTCCCCAGAGTGTCATGTTCCCCTTCCTGTGTCCATGTATTCTCATTGTTCAATTCCCACCTATGAGTGAGAATATGCAGTGTTTGGTTTTTTGTTCTTGCAATAGTTTACTGAGAATGATGATTTCCAATTTCATCCATGTCCCTACAAAGGACATGAACTCATCCTTTTTTATGGCTGCATTGTATTCCATGGTGTATATGTGCCACATTTTCTTAATCCAGTCTATCATTGTTGGACATTTGGGTTGGTTCCAAGTCTTTGCTATTGTGAATAATGCCGCAATAAACATATGTGTGCATGTGTCTTTATAGCAGCATGATTTATAGTCCTTTGGGTATATACCCAGTAATGGGATGGCTGGGTCAAATGGTATTTCTAGTTCTAGATCCCTGAGGAATCACCACACTGACTTCCACAATGGTTGAACTAGTTTACAGTCCCACCAACAGTGTAAAAGTGTTCCTATTTCTCCACATCCTCTCCAGCACCTGTTGTTTCCTGACTTTTTAATGATTGCCATTCTAAGTGGTGTGAGATGGTATCTCACTGTGGTTTTGATTTGCATTTCTCAGACGGCCAGTGATGGTGAGCATTTTTTCATGTGTTTTTTGGCTGCATAAATGTCTTCTTTTGAGAAGTGTCTGTTCATGTCCTTCACCCACTTTTTGATGGGGTTGTTTGTTTTTTTCTTGTAAATTTGCTTGAGTTCATTGTAGATTCTGAATATTAGCCCTTTGTCAGATGAGTAGGTTGTGAACATTTTCTCCCATTTTGTAGGTTGCCTGTTCACTCTGATGGTAGTTTCTTTTGCTGTGCAGAAACTCTTTAGTTTAATTAGATCCCATTTGTCAATTTTGGCTTTTGTTGCCATTGCTTTTGGTGTTTTAGACATGAAGCCCTTGCCCACGCCTATGTCCTGAATGGTAATGCCTAGGTTTTCTTCTAGGGTTTTTATGGTTTTAGGTCTAACGTTTAAGTCTTTAATCCATCTTGAATTGATTTTTGTATAAGGTGTATGGAAGGGATCCAGTTTCAGCTTTCTACATATGGCTAGCCAGTTTTCCCAGCACCATTTATTAAATAGGGAATCCTTTCCCCATTTCTTGTTTTTCTCAGGTTTGTCAAAGATCAGATAGTTGTAGATATGCAGCGTTATTTCTGAGGGCTCTGTTCTGTTCCATTGATCTATATCTCTGTTTTGGTACCAGTACCATACTGTTTTGGTTACTGTAGCCTTGTAGTATAGTTTGAAGTCAGGTAGTGTGATGCCTCCAGCTTTGTTCTTTTGGCTTAGGATTGACTTGGCGATGTGGGCTCTTTTTTGGTTCCATATGAACTTTAAAGTAGTTTTTTCCAATTCTGTGAAGAAAGTCATTGGTAGCTTGATGGGGATGGCATTGAATCTATAAATTACCTTGGGCAGTATGGCCATTTTCATGATATTGATTCTTCCTACCCATGAGCATGGAATGTTCTTCAATTTGTTTGTATCCTCTTTTATTTCCTTGAGCAGTGGTTTGTAGTTCTCCTTGAAGAGGTCCTTCACATCCATTGTAAGTTGGATTCCTAGGTATTTTATTCTCTTTGAAGCAATTGTGAATGGGAGTTCACTCATGATTTGGCTCTCTGTTTGTCTGTGGTTGGTGTATAAGAATGCTTGTGATTTTTGCACATTGATTTTGTATCCTGAGACTTTGCTGAAGTTGCCTATCAGTTTAAGGAGATTTTGGGGTGAGACGATGGGGTTTTCTAGATATACAATCATGTCGTCTGCAAACAGGGACAATTTGACTTCCTCTTTTCCTAATTGAATACCCTTTATATCCTTCTCCTGCCTAATTGCCCTGGCCAGAACTTCCAACACTATGTTGAATAGGAGTGGTGAGAGAGGGCATCCCTGTCTTGTGCCAGTTTTCAAAGGGAATGCTTCCAGTTTTTGCCCATTCAGTATGATATTGTCTGTGGGTTTGTCATATATAGCTCTTATAGTTTTGAAATACGTCCCATCAATACCTAATTTATTGAGAGTTTTTAGCATGAAGGGTTGTTGAATTTTGTCAAAGGCCTTTTCTGCATCTATTGAGATAATCATGTGGTTTTTGTCTTTGGTTCTGTTTATATGCTGTATTACATTTATTGATTTGTGTATATTGAACCAGCCTTGCATCCCAGTGATGAAGCCCACTTGATCATGGTGGATAAGCTTTTTGATGTGCTGCTGGATTCGGTTTGCCAGTATTTTTTATTGAGGCTTTTTCCATCAATGTTCATCAAGGATATTGGTCTAAAATTCTCTTTTTTTGTTGTGTCTCTGCCCGGCTTTGGTATCAGGATGATGCTGGCCTCATAAAATGAGTTAGAGAGGATTCCCTCTTTTTCTATTGATTGGAATAGTTTCAGAAGGAATGGTACCAGTTCCTCCTTGTACCTCTGGTAGAATTCAGCTGTGAATCCATCTGGTCCTGGACTCTTTTTGGTTGGTAAGCTATTGATTATTGCCACAATTTCAGATCCTGTTATTGGTCTATTCAGAAATTCAACTTCTTCCTGGTTTAGTCTTGGGAGAGTGTATGTGTCGAGGAATTTATCCATTTCTTCTAGATTTTCTAGTTTATTTGCGTAGAGGTGTTTGTAGTATTCTCTGATGGTAGTTTGTATTTCTGTGAGATCGGTGATGATGTCCCCTTTATCATTTTTTATTGCATCTATTTGATTCTTCTCTCTCTTTTTCTTTATTAGTCTTGCTAGCAGTCTATCAATTTTGTTGATCCTTTCAGAAAACCAGCTCCTGGATTCATTAATTTTTTGAAGTGTTTTTTGTGTCTCTATTTCCTTCAGTTCTGCTCTGATTTTAGTTATTTCTTGCCTTCTGCTAGCTTTTGAATGTGTTTGCTCTTGCTTCTCTAGTTCTTTTAATTGTGATGTTAGGGTGTCAATTTTAGGTCTTTCCTGCTTTCTCTTGTGGGCATTTAGTGCTATAAATCTCCCTCTGCACACTGCTTTGAATGCGTCCCAGAGATTCTGGTATGTTGTGTCTTTGTTCTCGTTGGTTTCAAAGAACATCTTTATTTCTGCATTCATTTCATTATGTACCCAGTAGTCATTCAGGAGCAGGTTGTTCAGTTTCCATGTAGTTGAGAGGTTTTGAGAGAGATTCTTAATTCTGAGTTCTAGTTTCATTGCACTGTGGTCTGAGAGATAGTTTGTTATAATTTCTGTTCTTTTACATTTGCTGAGGAGAGTTTTACTTCCAAGTATGTGGTCAAATTTGGAATAGGTGTGGTGTGGTGCTGAAAAAAATGTATATTCTATTGATTTGGAGTGGAGAGTTCTGTAGATGTCTATTAGGTCAGCTTGGTGCTGAGCTGAGTTCAATTCCTGGGTATCCTTGTTGACTTTCTGTCTCGATCTGTGTAATGTTGACAGTGGGGTGTTAAAGTCTCCCATTATTAATGTGTGGGAGTCTAAGTCTCTTTGTAGGTCACTCAGGACTTGCTTTATTAATCAGGGTTCTCCTGTATTGGGTGCATATATATTTAGGATAGTTAGCTCTTCTTGTTGAATTGATCCCTTTACCATTATGAAATGGCCTTCTTTGTCTCTTTTGATCTTTGTTGGTTTAAAGTCTGTTTTATCAGAGACTAGGATTGCAACCCCTGCCTTTTTTTGTTTTCCATTTGCTTGGTAGATCTTCCTCCATCCTTTTATTTGGAGCCTATGTGTGTCTCTGCACATGAGATGGGTTTCCTGAATACAGCACACTGATGGGTCTTGACTCTTTATCCAATTTGCCAGTCTGTGTCTTTTAATTGGAGCATTTAGTCCATTTACATTTAAAGTTAATATTGTTATGTGTGAATTTGGTCCTGTCATTATGATGTTAGCTGGTTATTTTGCTCGTTAGTTGATGGAGTTTCTTCCTAGTCTCGATGGTCTTTACATTTTGGCATGATTTTGCAGTGGCTGGTACTGGTTGTTCCTTTCCATGTTTAGCACTTCCTTCAGGAGCTCTTTTAGGGCAGGACTGGTGGTGACAAAATCTCTGAGCATTTGCTTGTCTGTAAAGGATGTTATTTCTCCTTGACTTATGAAGCTTAGTTTGGCTGGATATGAAATTCTGGGTTGAAAATTCTTTTCTTTGAGAATGTTGAATATTGGCCCCCACTCTCTTCTGGCTTGTAGATTTTCTGCCAAAAGATCCACTGATAGTCTAATGGGCTTCCCTTTGAGGGTAACCCGACCTTTCTCTCTGGCTGCCCTTAACATTTTTTCCTTCATTTCAACTTTGGTGAATCTGACAATTATGTGTCTTGGAGTTGCTCTTCTCGAGGGGTATCTTTGTGGCGTTCTCTGCATTTCCTGAATCTGAATGTTGGCCTGCCTTGCTAGATTGGGGAAGTTCTCCTGGATAATATCCTGCAGAGTGTTTTCCAACTTGGTTCCATTCTCCCCGTCACTTTCAGGTCCCCAATCAGACGTAGATTTGGTCTTTTCACACAGTCCCATATTTCTTGGAGGCTTTGCTCATTTCTTTTTATTCTTTTTTCTCTATACTTTCTTTCTTGCTTCATTTCATGCATTTCATCGTCCATCACTGATACCCTTTCTTCCAGTTGATCGCACCGGCTCCTGAGGCTTCTGCATTCTTCACGTAGTTCTCGAGCCTTGGTTTTCAGCTCCATCAGCTCCTTTAAGCACTTCTCTGTATTGGTTATTCTAGTTATACATTCTTCTAAATTTTTTTCGAAGTTTTCGACTTCTTTGCCTTTGGTTTGAATGTCCTCCCGTAGCTCGGAGTAATTTGATCGTCTGAAGCCTTCTTCTCTCAGCTCGTCAAAGTCATTCTCCATCCAGCTTTGTTCCGTTGCTGGTGAGGAACTGCATTCCTTTGGAGGAGGAGAGGCGCTCTGCTTTTTAGAGTTTCCAGTTTTTCTGCTCTGTTTTTTCCCCATCTTTGTGGTTTTATCTACTTTTGGTCTTTGATGATGGTGATGTACAGATGGGTTTTTGATGTGGATGTCCTTTCTGTTTGTTAGTTTTCCTTCTAAAAGACAGGACCCTCAGCTGCAGGTCTGTTGGAGTACTGGGCCCTGTGAGCTGTCAGTGTGCCCCTGCTGGGGGGTACCTCCCAGTTAGGCTGCTCGGGGGTCAGGGGTCAGGGGCCTTCCAATGCCTTCTATCTCTGTCCTCTAGGGCAGGAATTGGCAAACTATGGCTTGCAAGAAAAATCTGTCCTGTGTCCTGTGTCTGTAAGTAAAATTTTACTGGAACACAGCCATGCACATTCATTTATGTACTCTCCATGGCTCCTTTAGTGGCATAAATGAGTAGTTGCAACAGAGATTGTATGGCCTATTTACAGAAAAAATTAGCCAACCTCTGCTCTAGGGTATGGCCCTCTTCCATCTGATTAAAGCTGGTTGATGAGTACCATATCCACAATCCAGTGTACAGGAAGAGGGAAAAGAGGAAGGAGAGGCAAACAATTTCCTATTTAAAGCATCTGACCCAGAAGTTGACTTCTGTTTCACTTCTTACTGACCAGAACTTAGTCACATGTTTTGTCAGGAGTCCCCAGAGTTTTCCCAGTTTCATGGATTCATTAGAGGAACTCACAGGACTTACCATATAGTTGTACTCATGGCCAACATTTATTGCTGCAAAGGATACAAAGGAAAATAAGCAAAAGGAAAAGGCACTTGGGGCAAAGTCCAGAGGAAATCAGCTGCAAACTCCTCAGAGTGCTTTCCCAGTGGAGTCACCCAGGATGTGCTTAATTCCTCCTGCAACAAATTGTGAGAAATATAAAATTCTATCTACCAGGAGAGTTAATTAGAGATGCAGTACCAGGGTTTTAATTGGGATTGGTCATGTCGGCCCTCTCTGCCTGAGCATATCCCCAGATTCTAGACTCTCAGAGGAAAGAAGATATTCAGCATTAGCTATATTTCTTGTACAGTTTAGTTACAGTGAGCCACTCATACTGGGGACTGGTGAGAACCCTCCTGAAATCCAGGTTCCTAGATGCAAGCCAAAGGTCACCCTTCCAAGTAGGCCTTACTAAGGAGAGCAGACTCAGCCTGCTATGTGAACTCTTCATGGCACACATGCCTACACTCAGCTCCAATGGAGGCTGAGGACTGCAGTCTAATGAAGTGACTGTGTGCCCAACTAAAACTTGGGAGGTTAGATTATTAAAAGCAAGATGAATAATGGATACTGTGTCTGCTGCAAAGGGAAGACAAGGGACCAGGGTAGAGTTTCTCAACCCCATCATGATAGACATTTTGGGCTGGACAGTTCTTTGTTGTTGGGGGCTGCCCTGTGCTATCAGTAGAACCCTTCTCAGTCCTGACAATCAAAAATGTCTCCAGATATTGCCAAATGTGCTTTATGGGGCACAGTTGTTCCAAGTGAGATCTAAGCCAGTGTGTGAAGTCCGGAGAGATCAGGCCTTGCTCATGAAACCTCAAGTAGTTCGTTATACTCCGAATGTAAAATGTGAGATGGAGAGTGGCAAGACATAAGGCTGAAGCTGCAAGCTGCAAGCTGGGGCCAGGTTTCAAAGCAGTTGTGTGCCATAATGGGAGTTTGGAGTTTAAGAAATCAATTAAAGATTTGAGAGCTACTGGGAGATGTTTAAACCAAGGATCATATTTGATTTTCAAAAAACCAATTTGACCTACACATGAAGAATTAATTGAAAGATAAACAGTATGGAGTCAGGGAGACTAATTAGAGGAATGTTTTGCTTACTCAGATATGAAATTTTGAGGAACAAAATGAAGACATTAGCAGTTGAGAAGAAAAGATGGGTTTGAAATAGAAATAGAAAGAAGACTTGATAACTGATTAGAGATGGTAGAATTTCACTTGGGGCATCTGGGTAAATAGGTTACCATTCAGTGAGATAACAAAGAAAAGGAGAACAAAGTAAGTGGAAGAGTGATCAGATCCCTCTTTGACTTACTGTTTGACATGATCGTGGAATTTCCAACAGGGACTGATGATATGTGATGAATTATCTGATATTTAGACACTTGGTACAATGTGGGCAGTAAGATATGAAACCCTCACACACAATCAACTATGGCCAATGTTCCTTTCCTACTTAAATTTTAAAACCTGATGTCTTACTTTTAATAGTATATAAAACTACTGTTCCACCAACCTTTTTGGATGGGGAGAATGACTCCTTCATTCAAATTTTATTCAGATGGATTTTTAAATATTGCAATTTACTAGCTACTCAAACATACTCATTTCTGCCTGGACTAAGTGTCATTTCTTGGGCATGATTAATGTTTTGGCTTTAGTATCTGTTTTCTGCTTTGAGAACATATAATCTACTGGCATTCAGTGCTCTCAAGTAGAGATAATCCTTGCAGGGAGTGAAGTACAAAAAATTTAAGCACAGTTATAGACACCACTATTCGGAGGTTAAAACAATTTAACCAGATGGCATTTCATACTGGTGACTATGCTTAAAAGACTTCCTCATCTTCAGTAGAAGGTATGCTGTGTCTGGCAGAGTTGCTAAATTTGCATTTTCTTAGGCAAGATATGCATCACGTAGTTGAGAAATTTTTTGGAGATTAGTTACTTTCATTACTAGTCAAGGCACAAAATGCTAAACCTTAGAGCACTGATTCTGAGCCCTTGCATACCTCAACCCGTAATAATAAGAGAAAGTTCCTGTATACATTCCTTGCAGAGTGTGATTTGAGAAAAAGCAGGGGGATGAAATTCAGGTTCTAGTCTTTAATGACTTGAACACAGATGTTGCTGTTGACAGGCGGAGATATGTTGAGTGTTGTTTCTCCATTTGCTTAGCAAGATTTGACATGTGGTGAGCCAGAATAGAAATCTGAAGAGTTGAATCAAGATGTGTTGAGAGAACTTTGGGTGTAAGAAGTGATAAAAGAAGCAGGTCTGGATATACAACATTAGGTGGCAGATGGAAACTTTTTCAAAAAATATCTTTCCAGGATTGCCTGCTTGGATAAACTGATTGGTAAATTTAGTTGTCCTTAGAAAAGAATTTTTAAAATACAGAGGATACACAGCCAGTATATCATCACTCTAAACAAACAGTGCTCATTGTTCATCTATGTGCATTTGTTCACATTATGATAAGTGCTTACAGATGGGTCTGGCAACCTGAACTGGAGGAAATAAAATAAGGTGATGGGGCTGGGGTGGGGTGGGTTGTGCACTAGGTCCCAAACTACCAGTCTTCCAGGTCTTCGTGACTCATAGTCACTGGTTTCTAATGTTGGAAAAGGCCAGGCCATGTACCACAGATCTGTTAACAAGAAGGATGAACAGATGCCGTTAAGACAGAGGACATTAATATTTATAGATCTCTTCTTTGATAAAAGAAAATAGTCATCCTTCAAAATATCTGTTGAGTGATAATACAGACCCGGCACCATTCCAAGCACTAGATCTTTGTTCTTAATATTGCCACATCTTAAGCATGAGCCAGTTGGATATTCTGTACTGCCCGTAAAAGCCAGGAGTTAATTTACTGCTGCAAAATACTCTTCTCTCACCAACCATCCTTGCTAAATTTTGAAACTTTATTCATTATTTTTAAATTGTCTACCACATCTTTTTCTCCTTTGTGACTGTGCAGACCTGTTTTATTTTTTGCAACTAAGATAAGTAGACTAGATGAGCTTCATTGCCAGGAGAAATCACCTCCCATTTAATGCATTGAGGTTGCCTTCAGGCCAGTCTTCTCAAAGAGAGTGCTATGGACCTCATGCGTATTAAAATTCATATCCCATATTTTCATATCCCATTTTCAAATTAGCCTGTTAGCTGGCATTTTTAAAAAACCTTATAAAGTCACTAAGCTATTAATGACTGATACCCATGAGGAGGGTTATTCCTTTTCGAGTGTATTTTTCCTTCATTTATTCGTTCTATAAATATTTATTAATCCTTATGCTAGGCATTGGAAACATGGATTTTGTCACTCAGGGTCCTGAAAGGAAAAGCTGGCACACTTAAACTGTGTGATTTCAGGAGGATATCATAAACTGACTATTTACAAATTGTGAGTAGGTTGGAGTTAAGTCATGAAGAATGAACAGTGTTACTTCCTGGGGCTATTATCAGCAGGGGTGGTGAAGTCATTGCTACCACTAAAGAAGAGGTGAGAGGAGGAAGACTGAGTCAGAGAGAGCTGTGTGGAAAGGGCTAACTGACAAGAAGCTGTGACCTTCAGTTCTAGGAAGCTGTCAGCTCTCGATGGCCTTGCAAGATGGACTTTGGGCAGAAATAAACATCTTGACCTCATTCTTTTCACATTATTCAATCTCCTGTGGCACCTTCTATTAATCAAAGCCCACAGAATATTGCTGATACCGTCAATGCAGATCAACTTTTTTTAGGACCATAGCACTGTGAGAATGCAGGGAAATAGGTCTGCAAAGATAAAAAAAAAAAAAAAGTATGTAACACAGATAAATAAGATAGTTCCTTCTCAGGAGCCTAGGGCAGTGCCTTCACATTTCACACTTCAGCAGACACAGGAGTGCCATGAAGGGCTTGGGAAAACATATTCTTTAGCCCTACATCCCAGCAGTTCCGACTCAGTAGATCTAGAGTAGGAGCAGAGAGTCAGCATTTCTACCATTTTTGCCTCTGCTGCTCTTCTATAGGTCACATTTTTGGGTAGCACTGGTCTGACATTTTGAGTCAGGGCAACACAAAACCCTAAAGAATGGACATCTAACAGTGGAATGTCCACTCTGTTACACTAGTTTAAGAGACATTGTGCTACTTTCTTAGCGCACTGTTGCCAAGCCTGCTTTCAAGGCAAGCTTATCTTATCTGGAAATCACCAAAAAAGAGACTTTTGAATTTGCAAGTAAGAATGTAAGAATGGTCATGGGCTTTAAAACTTTTTCAGAGGATTCTTAAACAAATCTTCCTCTCTAAAGAAGCTATTGCCTTGTTTAAAGTAAGCAGGAGAC
This sequence comes from Homo sapiens, assembly GCF_000001405.40. Lineage (NCBI taxonomy): Eukaryota > Metazoa > Chordata > Mammalia > Primates > Hominidae > Homo > Homo sapiens. The sequence continues at coordinate 111,585,667 of NC_000005.10, forward strand.
ATTTTATTCCCAGTGTGCACAAAGGTTAGTCTATATAGAGACACCATGTTTACTGTTGAAATATATGTAATTTAAACATTTTTAATTAAAAGAGAATTGACATCAGGTTTTTGTTAACAATTTTCTATAATAATTTTTTACAAGCTATGATGGTTAATTTTGTGTTTCAACTTTACTGCACTAAGGGACTTCCAGATAGTTGGCAAAAGATTATTTTTAGGTGTCCGTAAGGGTGTTCTGGAAGAGATCCTCATTTGAATTGATGAAGTGGGTAAAGCAGATGGCCCTTCCCCACGTGGGTGGGCATCATCCAATCTACCGAGGTCCTAAATAGAACAAAAATGGCAGAGGAAGGGCAAATTCACTGTCTCTAATTGGGCTGAAACATCCAGCTTCTCCTGCCCTCAGATTTTGGCGTTCTAGCTCCTTGGACCCAGACCAGAAGTTACACCACAACCATCCTCTCCCAGACTCTCAGGCCTTTGGATTCAGACGTGATTACACCACCAGCTTTCCTGGTTCTCCATTTGCAGGTTCTCTGCAGCAGATTATGGGACTTTCTGGTTTCCAAAACTGCATAAGCCAATTTCTATAATAAATCTCCTCTTATCTTGTATTAGTCTGTTTTCACATTGCTATAAAGAACTACCTGAGATGGGGTAATTTATAAAGAAAAGAGGCTTAGTTGACATAGTTCTGCAGGCTGTACAAGAAGCATGGCTGGGAGGCCTCAGGAAACTTATAATCATGACTCTGAAGGTGAAGGAGAAGCAAGCATGTCCTACCAAGATGGAGCAAGGGCAGGGGAGGGGAGAGAGGGTGGGGGTCCGGGGTAAGTGCCACATGCTTAAACAAACAGATCTCATGGGAACTCACTCACAAGACAGCAATAAGGGGACAGTACTAAAGCATTAGAAAATACCCCCATCAGCCGGGCGCAGTGGCTCACGCCTATAATCCCAGCACTTTGAGAGGCCCAGACGGGCGGATCACGAGGTCAGGAGGTCGAGACCATCCTGGCTAACACAGTGAAACCCCCTCTCTACTGAAAATACAAAAAAATTAGCCGGGCGTGGTGGTGGGCGCCTGTAGTCCCAGCTACTCGGGAGGCTGAGGCAGGAGAATTGTGTGAACAGGAGGCAGAGCTTGCAGTGGGCCCAGATCGCGCCACTGCAGTCCAGCCTGGGCGACAGAGCGAGACTCCATCTCAGAAAAAAAAAAAAAAAAAAGAAAATTAAAATTAAAAAAAAGAAAATACCCCCATCATCCAATTACCTCCCACAAGGCTCCTGCTTCAACACGTGGAGTTTACAATTTGACATGAGATTTAGGTGAGAACGCAAAGCCAAACCATATCATATCTGTATTTATATCAGTATCATCTATATCTCTTCTATTGGTTCTCTTCTTTGGAAAACCCTAATACATAAGGAAACTATCAAATGAAAAAAAAAATAAACAACAAAACATTTGTAGGAAGCATGCAAGAAAGCATGGGAAGCAGTCTCTCAAATATTCTTGAATAAGCAAAATTCCTTCTTATTAGTGATTCTTTCTTTAGCATCATGTCATGAGAACAATGTACAGCTAAACAACAATAATGAGGAGAGTGGCTCAGAGATAAAGTACCCAGGGACTAGCGAATAAGGGAGAATCAAAGTGTTTGAACTGATGGATCAATCACTTTGCACATGTATAAATTGGTATCTCACTTCAAAAATATTGTTATTTCCCATTAGCTACTCTGAATTCTCTCATTCCTTTATCAGTCAAGTTTCTCCTTAGAGGAGAGCAAACTCATTGTTCTAATTTTTTATGTCGCATTCATCTTTTGCCTGTTGATTTCTGACTCCTAACTCATCCAAAACTGCATTGACAATAGTTGACATTGGCTGTTTGACCTCTCAGCTGCATTTGATGACATGGACCTCTTCTTTTTCTCATTGGTTTCTGTTTTATTACTTTCTTCTGGGTCATCTCCTACTTTCTTGATGATTTCTTCTTATAACCCTATAATATCTGACTGTCATATTGCTCAGACTCTATTAGAGACATTTTCAAAAATGTCCAGAGCAACAACTCAAAGCAATTTAGTCTCTGGTCCTCAAAGAATATCAAAGGGAATCTAACTCACCCTCACTTATCAAAGACTCCTACATCACTCACATGTTTTCTTAAACCTCACAGCTGGTCTGGAGCCTCTTATACCACAACCTCTAAATTTCTCTCTCTCAGTCCCAGATATAAGATTCTGTTTCTTTATTCTCTCACTCACTTCTTCCATCCACCCTTGATTATGTAGACTTAGTTGGTTTGTCTTCCTTTCACTTTCCTTACTACTTTGCAAAGGGGAAGAGGCAGGAAATGAGGGTCTGAATATAGATTTCTTTGTAAAGCATGGGTGAGGGGCAGAAGAAAAGTATAGAGGGGTGATGACCCACATGTAAGTACTTTGGCTTTACCACATTCTCATTCTCTTTATTTGCCCCCTCTGACTCCACCTTCCCCTGAAATGTTGGCATCTGCCAAGTTCCATGATTGAATTTCTCTTGCAGGTTTTTCTCAGCTACTTTTGTGATCCTAACTTCCTCTTTGAATGGGAATCATTAATAATTTTTCTTCTCCCATGTAAGTCTCACGTCCATCCCATACTAGACATTGCCACTTGGATAACCTACTGAATACCCAGTGTTCTCCGAATGGCACTCATCATCTCGACACATGCTTTTGCCCCACTGACCTCATGACAGTTGTTCCTTGTTGTTCAGTCCAGTAAGCTTGGCATCATCCTTGATCCACCTTCCCCATACTCCACCTCCTATCAATAACTAAGTCTTAGGTTATCCAGTTCCAAAGTCCTCTCAGATCCATTGCTCCTTGTCCGTCCCTATATGTCTGACCTAATTTATACCATGAATATATCTCTCCTAAACTCTTCCAACAGCACTGTAATTTTTCCTTTACCTTCAGGCTAGCTCTCCTCAAATCAATCTCCTTTGCCACTGACAAAGTGACCTATCTAAAATGCAAATATCACCCTGTTATTATTCTACACTCCACTATTTAAAACGCATCAGTGCCTGCCCCATTATCTATAAGATTCTGGATCCTTTAAGATCTGAGCTCTACCAGTCTCTCTCTTTAGGCTACACTCTTCTGAAAGGTTTTCCAATGCCTCACAAAGTATGTCATTCTAGCCTCTGTGCCTTGGCTTGTGCTTTTCTCTTCCTCTGAACTGTCCTTTTTACTCCACTGGTTAATGCTACCTCCTCTCTTTACCCCTCTCTACTAGACTGAGATAAATGACTCACCTTGTTGTTGCTGTTCCCATCTTATGCTATTTATCTCATTGTATTTTCATGTCTGCTTATTATTGTTTTATAAATTTCTTCTAAGTGTTTTAAGGACTATCAGACTGGAATCCAAGTTTAGTTAGGGGAAAAAATCACTGAACTAGAAATCATGAGGATTTGGGGTCAAGTCAGATCAGCTATTAATTTGCTGTGAAATCTTGGTCAAGTCACTCCCCTTCTCTGGTTCATCTTTCATAGGAGAAATCTGGTCCAATCTTTCATAGTAGATTAAGATTATGAAGCACATAATCTTAATCTACTATGCTCTGATTCCGTTCTATACCTTCTATACTATACATTCTATACTGCCATGTTAAAAGAGAGTGTTCACTGATGTTCACTCACTATCCTTTCTAATTTCCCTTCATTACTCTGCTTTCTTTTTCAAGGGTTTTATTAAAAGTAGTTGTTCTCAACCCTGAATCTCTGTGCTACTTTAAAAAATACAGATGGCTGGGCTCTGTTCCAAGAGATTCTGGTATTGTTGGTCTGGTATAGTACTCTGTTATCAGTATTTTTTTAAAAAGCACTTCCAATGATTCTAATATGCAGTCAAGATTAAGAACCATTGACATAAAACAGTGATTCTCAAAGTATGGTCCCCAGACCAGCAGCATCAGCATCACTTGCGAACTTTTCAGCAACTAAATTCTTGGGCTCCAACCCAGGCCTGTTGAATTAGAAACTCCTATCCCTATAGGAGATTCTGAAACACACGAATTCATTGACTCTCCTTGAATTCTTCCTTCCCAAGACCAACAAACAGGAATTAGAGGGCAGTGCTACAGTTTTAGAGCATTGTTTCTTAGGGTGTTTATCTTTAAAAATGTTCTCTCAGACAACCAAAATCAGATTCTAAAAAGTTGTTTATGCCATCCTTACATCTAAGTAGAGAGCCTCTTTGGCGGAACCAGAGTTGACATTTAAAATAAAATTAGGTCAAGGCGTAGAATGAAATGATGAAATTTATCTTGGAGAGCAGTGAGGCATTTCTCTGGCTAGGACTTAGGATGGGAGTGAGAATCAGGCACGGATGTTGTTCACATGGCAGGACCTTTGGAAGAAGGCTTGCTAGAATTGGTAATGATGTTGCCTCTTTCTTGCATGTAAATCTCTGATATCTAACTCTTTCTCACAAGTCCTAAAATGAAATATATAGTCTGGGTCAGGGGGAGGTTACCAGTCAGCCAACATTCAGAGAATTGGGTATTTTTCCTAATTAGTGTCCTGTGAAATAAAGCATTGGTTTTAAATCCGTACAACTTGACTGCTTGACCTTATGTCAGCATTGGTAATATTTTAGCTTCATAATTTTGTCCACATCATCCTCTTATCATCTAAAGGTAGGGGGTACAGATGATAGCAACATGTACTAATTTTCACTCTCTCAATTCATTTCGACCACAAGGTAGTGGGAGACATACTCTATGGGGGATAGAGATAGATTCTTGTCCTAATGTTTGCTTTTTTATCTGTTCAAGAAATTTCTCTTACCTAAATTATAGAGCTGTGGAAATGTAATTATTCAATCATCAATTCATTCTTGAACAAAATATTTCTGTTTGAAAACAATAGTTTTATAGTTATCACATTTTAAAATATACAGTTATTTATTTGTTTAATTATTTGTCAAGTTCTCTCAACAGACTGTAAGACTTATTAAGACAAGACCATGTCAGTTTTTTTAACCACAGTATAGCCAGTATCCAGCACTTGGTAGGCACTCATTATGTAGTGAATAAATGAAATACTGAATGGCTGCATCAAGTGTAATACAGGGGGAGAAAAGAGTACCATGATCAGACATGGCAGGCTCATAGCATAGTCTGGGGAAGGTGTAAAGACAAATACAAATTAAAAATAAGAGGCTAAATTCTCCCTGTTAAAAAGAAGGGAAGAGATTTTCTGTCTCTCCTTTTTTCCTAGTACCTAGGTGAGGGGTTGATAGGTGCAGCAAACTACTATGGCAAATGTTTACCTATGTAACAAACCTGCACATCATGCACATGTTTCCTAGACGAGAACTTAAAATGAAATAAAATAAAATTAAAATTAAAAAGACAAAAAAGTAAAATTTCTAATGATAACACTTTCTCTTTGAAATATATAAAAATTATTTTATCAGCTTCATTACCAAGGAATGTCTTTCTCAAGGACCTGAGAGCCATCTCTTTGAACTGCAAGCATTTTTTTAAAAAAAAGGGATTTTTCATTTTTTGCTTGTTGATTTAAGTTCCATATAGATTCTAGATATGAGACCTTTGTTGGATGCATAGTTTGCATCTATTTTCTCCCATTCTGTAGGTTTTCTATAGACACTTCTCAACAGAAGACAGACACACAGCCAACAAATATATGAAAAAATGCTGATATCACTAATCATTACAGAAATGCAAATCAAAATTATAACGAGACAGTCAGAATGGCTATTAATAAAAAAACAAAAAAAAACAAATACTGTAAAGGCTGCAGAGAAAAAGGAACACTTACACAGTGCTGGTGAAAATATAAATTAGTTCAGCTGTGGAAAGCAGTTTGGAGATTTCTCAAAGAACTTAGAATTACCATTCAACCAAGCAATCCCACAATTGAGTATATACACAGAGGAAAACAAATTGTTCCACCAAAAAGACACAAGTACTTGTATGTTCATTGTAGCACTACTCATGATTGCAAAGACATAGAATCAACCTATGTGCTCATCAGTGGTAAACTGGATAAAGAAAATGTGGTACATATACATCATGGAATATCACACAGCCATAGAAAAGAAATGAAATCATGTCCTTTGCAGCAACATAGATGCAGCTGGAGGCCATTATCCTAAGACAACTAAGGAAGGAACAGAAAACAAATATGGCATGTTCTCACTTATAAATTGGAGCTAAACACTGAATACACATGGACACAAAGAAGAGAACAACAGGCACTGGGGACTGCATGACAGGGGAGGGGGGTGTGGGTTGGATGGCTACCTATCTGGTACTATGCTGACTACTTTGGTGACAGGAGCTTTCATACACCAAGCCTCAGTGGCATGCAATTTACCCATATAACAAATCTGCACAAGTATTCCCTGAACTTAAAATTTAAAAAAAAAAATTAAATAAGAAGTGCAAGCATCAAGAGAGATGGCACGTCTATCTCCCAGTTTCTGTGGCTGGATAAAAATCTAACTTCAGGCCAGGGCAATCAGTCAAGAGAAAGAAATAAAGCATATTCAAATAGGAAGAGATGAAGTCAAATTGTCTCTGTTTGCAGATGACATGATTGTATATTTAGAAAACCCCATCGTTTCAGCCCAAAATCTCCTTAAGCTGATAAGCAACTTTGGCAAAGTCTCAGCATACAAAATCAGTGTGCAAAAATCACAAGCATTCCTATACACCAATAATAGACCAACAGAAAGCCAAATCATGAGTGAATCCCCAATTACAATTACTACAAAGAGAATAAAATATCTAGGAATACAATTTACAAGAGATGTGAAGGACCTCTTCAAGGAGCACTAGAAACCACCACTCAAGGAATTAAGAGAGGACACAAACAAATTGAAAAACATTCCGTGCTCATGGATAGAAATAATCAATATCATGAAAATGGCCATACTTCCCAAAGTAATTTATAGATTCAGTGCTGTCCTCATCAAGCTACCATTGACTTTCTTCACAGAATTAGAAAAAACTACTTTAAAGTTCATATGGAACCAAAAAAGAGCCCGTATAGCCAAGACAATCCTAAGCAAAAAGAACAAAGCTGGAGGCATCACGCTACCTGACCTCAAACTATATTACAAGGCCACAGTAACAAAAACGGCATGGTACTGGTACCAAAACAGATATATAGACCAATGGAACAGAACAGAGGCCTCAGAAATAACACCACACATCTACAACCATCTGATCTTTGACAAACCTGACAAAAACAAGCAATGGGAAAAGGAGTCCCTATTCAATAAATAGTGTTGGGAAAACTGGCTAGCCATATGAAGAAAACTGAAACTGGACCCCTTACTTACACCTTATACAAAAATTAACTCAAGATGTATTAAAGACTTAAATGTAAGACCTGAAACCATAAAAACCCTAGAAGAAAACCTAGGCAATATCATTTAGGACATAGGCATGGGGAAAGACTTCATGACTAAAACACCGAAAGCAATGGCAACAAAAGCCAAAATTGACAAATGGGATCTAATTAAACTAAAGAGCTTCTGCACAGCAAAAAGAAACTATCATCAGAGTAAACAGGCACCCTACAGAATGGAAGAACATTTTTGCAATCTATCCATGTGACAAAAGGCTAATATCCAGAATCTGCAAAGAACTTAAACAAATTTACAAGAAAAAAACAAGCCCATCAAAAAGTGGGCAAAGGATATGAGCAGAGACTACTCAAAAGAAGACATTTATGTGGCCAAAAAAGATATGAATAAAAGCTCATCATCACTGGTCATTAGAGAAATGCAAATCAAAACCACAGTGAGATACAATCTCACACCAGTTAGAATGGCGATCATTAAAAAGTCAGGAAACCACAGATGCTGGAGAGAATGTGGACAAATAGGAACACTTTTACACTGTTGGTGGGAGTGTAAATTAGTTCAACCATTGTGGAAGACAGTGTGGTGATTCCTTAAGGATCTAAAACCAGAAATACCATGTGACCCAGCAATCCCATTACTGGGTATATACCCAAAGGATTATAAATCATTCTGCTATAAAGACACATGCACACGTATGTTTATTGCAGCACTGTTCACAATAACAGACTTGGAACCAACCCACGTGCCCATCAGTGATAGATGGGATAAAGAAAATGTGGCACATATCCACCATGGAATAGTATGCAGCCATAAAAAGGGATGAGTTCATGTCCTTTGCAGGGACAAGGATGAAGCTGGAAACCATTATTCTCAGCAAACTAACAGAGGAACAGAAAACCAAACACTGTATGTTCTCACTCATAAACGGGAGTTGAACAATGAGAACACATAGACACAGGGAGGGGAACATCACATACTGGGGCCTGTGAGGGGGTGAGGAGCTAGGGGAGGGATAGCATTAGGAGAAATACCTAATGTAGATGATGGGTTGATGGGTGTGGCACACCACCATGACTTGTGTATACCTATGTAACAAAACTGCATGTTCTGCACATGTATCCCAGAACTTCAAGTATAATTTATTTAAAAAAAGGAAGAAAAAAGAAATCTAACTTCAGTGGGCATCTTGCTGCAAGTTGCAAAACTACCTCCTACCATAAAGGTGTGAGAAGGTTGTTGTGTGTGTGCATGTGTGTGTGTTTTTTTCTAGATAAAGCTAATAAGGTAACACAGATGTTTACCCCAATTACCAGGGTCCCATGAACTATGTATATCAGATAGTACTGTAAAGTCCTTACATACTATAAAAACATGTACATAATTTATTGTATCTGCTTGGCTATAAAAAGGGTGTAACTTCTTTCTGTCTTTGTTATCTCTTAGGGGATTGCCTGTGATATGCATTATATTTTGGTTCAATGTTCATTTAAGAATAAAACTCTTTTCTGTCTATACTACCTTTGTGGAGAGGTTTTCTGGGATGGGAGATTTTGTTTTCAATTGTATTTTCCCAATACAGATAAGGGACAACCAATGGAGAACTGATAGGAGGGCAGAAGTTACCTGTGTGAAGAAGTGGAAGAGTGTCTCAGTCATGTGAAAAGGAACACAGATATCAGAAGGAACTAGTTGCAAGAGAAATGCAGGGAAGAACCAGGCACTAAAGAGCCTCCTAAGTTATGTTAAGGGATTTGAGCTTTATCCTGAGGTAAACTGAACAAGCAAGGTGGTATTATAATAGGATTTGCCTTTAGGAACCATCACTCTTACCATAATGAGCAGAAAGAATTGGAAAGAAGTGTCAGTGGATATAAAAAAATAAAGTTAGGTGAGAGATTCAGTTATCAAAATGGGTTATAATGATAACAGCAATGATAATAATGGTAATAATTGTCACTGCAACTAATACTTTCTTGAGCTATGTGCTGGTCCTTCTTCTAAGCCCTTCACATGTATGATCATTAATTTTCACAATGCTATGAGGTTTATTATCATCTCTGTCTACAGGTGATAAAACTGAAGCATAAACAGATTAAATGACTTATTCACAGTTATTATGAGGTAGAGTGGGAGTATGAACCCTGGTTCCAGGGATAGTTCTCTCACTGTCTCATGATACCATAGTTTGGATGAGGGTGGTGGCTCTACACTGTCTCACTATACCATAATACTCTACACTGTCTCATGATACCGTGATTTGGATAAGGGTGATGGCAAAATGGATGGGCATAGGTAGATTGATTCAAGAAATATGTAGAAGGTAAAATAGGATGTGAGGATTGACTGGATATGGAGAATGGGCAAGAAAAATATGTTAAGGATGTTGCTAGTTTCAGATACTGATGTCATGGGATCCTTGGGGTCTTGCTTTGCCAGCCAGAAAACTCTGTGGCCGGTTGCACCTTCTGCCTGAGTTTTGCTCACATCTGCTGGGCTTGCTCCTCCCACTCGGCCCAGCAGGGTCTGCTCACACTACTGGCCTGAATCCCACACTTGCCAAGGGCAAGCCAGGTGCAGGGTGGTGAGGGGTGCATGGCACATGAACGTGAAGAGTGAGTGACTGCTCCCACTCTTGGTGCCTGCTCCGGGGTGAAGCAAAGTTGTGGCTGAGCCCAGGTGTTTTCACAACCCCAGCTGGGTGTGCATGTGCTAAGGGTGGCACTGACATCCCAGCCCCCTGCTGCCTCATCCCCATCTGGACTTTGGGCACACATGGGCACAGGAGGGAGTCCAAGGGAGTACTCAGGGTGGCTCTGTGTGGGCCTGCAGGCACCCTTTGGCAGGAACAGCCTGGGCACCATGGACAACATGATTGGTGGTGGCAGGAGGCAGACAGGCTCCTGGGCAGAAAGGGGCAGGTCCCTGGTGAAGCTCCACCTTCAAGCTGGGGTTGGCCTGAAGCCTGGGAACCAGACTGTCAGTTCCTAGTGGCCCCAAGTGAGAACTTATTGTACATTTTCCAGGCCCACCCATGGTCACCTGTGGACCAATCAGCATGCACTTCCTCCCTTCTGAGCCCATAAAAACCCTGGACCCAGCCAGGCTCACACAGGCATCAGGACTATCAGCTGTGGGAAGGAGTCACCCAATTCAGGTCTCCTCAGCTCATTAGGTTGATTTGCCTGCATAAAGGAGCTGTCCACTCAGTCCACTCAGTGGAGAGTGTCTTCTCTCCACTGAGAGCTGGACACTTATTGGGACAACCTGCTTGCAGAAAGGAACTACCCACTCTGGGTCTCCTCTCCACTGAGGGCTGCGCTCATCAGGATGACCTGCCTGCAGTAAGGAGCTAACCACTTCAAGTCTCCCAAGAGCTGTTCTGTCGCTCAATAAAGCACCTCTCTGCCTTGCTCACCCTCCAGTTATCTATGTACCTCATTCTTCCAGGACGGAAGACAAAAACTCGGGACCTGCCAAATGGTGGGACTGAAAGAGGTGTAACACAAACAGGGCTGATACATACTCCCATCTCCCGCCACACACCCTACTTGCCACATTGTAGGCAACAAGAAGGAGAGAAGAGCTGCAGCCTTTCAGACAGCCCAGACCTAGGGGCTTCCTGAGCCAGGGCTGTGACACCCTCTTTGGGGCTCTGTGGTTCCTGGCATCTCCAAGCTTCCAGGCAGCACCACATTCCCCTTGTACAAACACAGGTGCCCACAGCAGAAGATACTTGTGCATCAGATCCAACCGCAGGCTTGCATGGAGCTGGCGCCTGTGCCTGCAACTGGAGCTGCCCGCCCCATGACAGCAGCTGGCGTGCCCAGCTGTGTGCAGTGGCCAGACCCTGTGCTTGCTTGCTCATGCACCCCTTGCTGCTCCACACCTGGCTCACCACTGGCAGGCGTGGGAGCTGAGCAAGTAGTGTGAGCTGAGCACAGCCCAGCAGGTTGACTCAGCAGAATGAGCCCAGGGAGCCCAAGCAAAACTTAGGCAAAGGCACCACTGGCCACAGAGGTTTCTGGCTGGAAAAGTGACACCCCAAGGATCCTGAGACACAGGCCATTCACTGAGGCAGAAGTACAAAGAACACAGCAGTTTTGGAAGAGAAGTAAGAGAACTTGTAGGACAGTTGCACTGAGGAGCGGGGTAAAGATTTCCAATGAGGTGGTTATTATGTAGCTCTGAAGCTCAGAAAGGAAGACATCTCTGGGCACATGGATAGCAACTGAAGTTGTAGGAACAGACCAGAACACCCTAGGAGAATGAGCACAGTAATAAGAAGAGGTATGATCCAACTCCAGGGGAACAGCAAGAAAAGAAACGTCACCCCACAGGAGATTAAGAAGGCATGTCCAGAGAAGTTTAGGAAAAAAATATTAGGAGAGTTTGGTATTTGCAAAGCCCAGAGAAAAGAATGTTCCCCAAAGGAGGTATGGTTAGTAGTGTTAAGAGCTGCCACAAAAATCTTCTCAGGCTCAGAAAGAAGAGAGTCTGGGACCCTCCCTGCCAAACCATCATCCAGTCTGAACATAAACTAACTCAGTATCTCAAGAAAGATTAACATGGCAAGACTGTGACTTGAATTTAGTTTTAAAAGTTTAGACCGCGATGACTTTTCCCCTACTGGTATGCCATATTGCTTTCCTTCTGTAAAGCTAAATATGTAAAATAAGACATCACAAATTCTCCTGCTGCCTCAGGAAAAAAAGTGCAGAAAATGAAGACTTGTGCAGTAAGCCATCTGAGAATTTGTCTCTGGAAAATCAAAACCAGCCATTTTCATAGTTTCCCCTTAAAGCTCTGCAGGTGACAAGGATGCTATTTACTCTGCAGCCTTCCCTTATTTGTGACCTGCATCTCTTAGTATCATTTTATTAGTTGGCAAGTAACTTGGCATTTTCTTTTGGAAGCAGCTTTGGGGTGAGTTAATGATGTTTGCAGAGATTTTCTTTCTTTTTAAGATCTCCTAATGGGATTTTTGGCTGGTTTGTGTAGGTTAATATGGAGCCTAATATTTATGTTTGAAAATTTGGGAGAATGACTAAATAACATTTTCATTCTATGCATCAAGGAAAATTCATTTCATTTTGTCACCTGACATTTGAAGATAGCTTTAAGGTTTTATTTTCTCTCTCCCTTTATTCATTCCCTCCCAAGCTCTTCTCTACTTCTCCTGCTGTCCCCACTATTGGATTGTTCATCTTTATCAGTTTGGAAACAGAATTGCAATGTGATTTTCCACTTGGTTTCTAGTGGAATGGAATTTTTGGAAGTTTTTCTATCTTCTGGCTGCATGTGGGTAATAAGGAACACTCTCTCCATCAGGGCTCAGAAAACATTACAATACATACCTAAGAGGAATGGTTGAGGCCTGAAGTTGAGGTGCCTAGGTCAGTATATAAAATAAGGCCAGACTTGAAGAAATGGAGAAAGTAATGAACTACTGGCGGGTCTTAAAGGGCTAAGGGAAACTCTTTTTACCTTTTCCTTGTCTCTCTGTATTGAGTCCTCATAGAAATGAGCTAGTGTCGGTTGGAATTTTGTGCAGGGCTCTGCCAATCAAGTTTTAGTACCTGATAGGGGTGATAAATGATAGCTCGAGATAAGATGTGAGATAGTGAACAGAATGTCTTTCCTGACAGTGCCAGGTAGGCTTTTTTCCCCCTTAATTTTATAAGTGAAAATCACCAAGTTTGGCTTCATTCAGTTCTGAACATCCACTCCTAGCTTTGCTACTGTTTGCTGAACATTTAGCAACTTCTGTAATGACTCTGGGCTTTGCTTTCTCTACCTTGAAATGCAAGCAGCATCGTCCCATCTTTCCAGGACAGTGGGATATGGGATATTTAGGTTGCAGGGAAAGAGAAATCAGCTCTGTGGGCACCTAATCTCTTGCAATCTCCCTGCACTACAAATTAAGGTCCTAGCTGGGATACCACTTGTAGGGATGCAGGGTGTCATTGCTTCTAAAAAATTAACTGAAGAGCCTTCCTTTTCAGGAAGAGAAGCATGGAAAATTCTAAGCTGCTAATAACTCCTCTGAGGAGCTCGTAGACTCAAGGTGGTAGAAGGTAGAGGTGACTAAGGCTTTCTGGAGCCTGGGGGAACATGAGCCACAGTGCAGATGTTCTGTAGGAGGCTGCCTACCTTCACTTCCCTGATAGTAGTTGCTGGCAACTACTCTCTGCTCCAGCATTATTGGGAGAAGGATTCTCCCTCACTCCCCACGTTGTGGGTAGAAGGTGGTGATGCATCTCCTGGACTTCAGGGATGGGCACATGACCTGGATCTGGCAATGAGATTATAGTACTCCCTTGGCCACCATGACTGGGTCAGTGTCAGCCAGAGGAAACTAGTTGAGTGTGTGTCAAGTGCAAGTAGCATCCGCCACCTTCTTTCTTTTGGGGTTGCCAAGCCAGAGGAATGTAAGCCTGGATCTGCCATTGGACATCTTTGCCACCAAGTAAGTGCAGCTGGAGAATGGAGTGAGCAGAGAGGGAAACGCAGAGGAGAGATGGATTTCTGACAACATCAAAACCACTCGAGCATCTCTTTTCTGCTGTGCCTGAAGCTAGACCTACCCCAGAACTTTTCAATTATTGAACCAGCTTTTCAGCTTAAGAAAATTTTTGATAACTTTTATGTTACTTGCAACCCAAAGAACCCTAATATGATTATTGACAGAGGGAATTTTTAAAGGTGTTTTCATTGTCCTGAATCTTTGAAAATTGGCCAATACTGGGGATGTAACACACACCTCTGAAAAAGTTAAATAACCATAGAGTGCTATATGTATTATATAACATTAGTATTAGTTTTTAGTATTGGCAATAGTATTAGTTTTTATTGCTGCTGTAAATCTTAGTGGTTTAACACAATACAATTTTTTTCTTTTTTTTAAGTTTTATTTTAGGTTCAGGGATACATGTGCAGGTTTGTTATATAGGTAAACTGCATGTCTTTGGGGGTTTGGGTACAGATCATTTTATCACCCAGGTAATAAGCATAGTACCCAACGGGTAGTTTGTTTTTTATTGTCTCCCTACTCCCACCCTCCACCCTCAAGCATTCACCAGTGTCTATTTTCCTCCGCTTTGTGTCCATGTGTTCTCGTTTAGCTCCCACTTAAAAGTGAGAACATGTGGTATTTGTTTTTCTGTTCATGGATTAGTTTGCTTAGTTTAATGGCCTCTAGCTCCATCCATGTTGCTACAAGGGAGATCACAATAAAACTTATTATGTACAGTTCAATAGTTCAGAAGTTTGATGGGTCTAATGATGCTATATCAAGATGCCAACAGGGCTGCATTCTTTTCTGGAGGCCTTAGGGAAGAGTCCAATTCCTTACCTTTTCCAGATTCTACAGGTCATCTACAGTTTTTGCTTTATGGATCCTTTCTTCCATCTTCGAAGCCAACCACATACCTTCCATAATCACGTATCTTTCTTTGACTCTTCTCTTTTGCCTCCCTTTTCCACTCTTAAGTACCTTTGTGATTACATTGAACCCACCTGAAAAACCTAGGATACTCTCCCTATTTTAAGGCAGCTGAATAGCAACCTTAATGTCACCTGCAGCCTGAATGTCCTTTTTGTCATGTAAACTAACCTAGTCACAGGTTCTGGGCATTAACACGTGGACATCTTTGGGCAACATGACATTATTTTGCATACTGCAAGTGCATTCTCCTTTCATAGCAAGAAATATTTTTTTTTTCAGTTGCCTGCTTACTTGCCTGCTTCTCTAACAGACTGTGACTATCTCCTTTTCCCAATCTTGTTCCAGTGTCTACCATGAAGCTTGTTCCATAGTCAGTGAAAATTATAATTTCTGGGTTTGTTAGCTACAGAAGATCGGGGAAAAGACAACTAGGCAGGAGATTAGGCTTTCTGGAAAGTGATTGACTTTGTTATTGCTGTCTCTTTGGCACTTACATCATAGATTTGCAAAAAAAAAATGTTTGGGAAGTGAATGGATAAATAAAGGTGGAATTTGAGCTGGACCTTGAAAGATGGGTAGCATTTGAATAAAAAAATGAACAAGTTATGCCTAGGGCTCAAAGAAGAGTTGATGAAAGTAATAGCTGGTGTCTAGGGCTCACAGAGGAGAGGATAGGTTTTTGAACAGGCAGGGTCAGGCTGGGTTACAGACAGCCTCGGGAAGCAGCCTGGGGAGTAAAGGCTTATTGTTCTCTGTAGACAGTAGAAAATCCCCAGTGCTATTACATACCCTACATCAAGCTTACTCCTTTGGAGATCTCATCCAGTCCCATCAATACCATCCGTACATTGATAACTCTCAAATGTGTGCTATATCCAGACCCAGTTTTTCCTCAGGACACCGTGCTCACATACTCAAGTGCCTGCTTGACATTTCCATGCAAATATCTAAAAAAAGAATTTCCAATGCTTCAAAATGAACTTCACATGTTCGAAACAAAACTTCTGACTCTCACACCTTTCCCCAACTTTCTCTTTTCCTGGTGTTCTGCATCTCAATGAATAAATACTCATGTCTTCCAACTGCATGGGAGAAAAACTATGGTGTCTGCCTTCTTTCACACCCCACATTGAACTTATCAGAAAATCCTATCTGCTCTACCTTTAAAATAATTCCAGAATTCAACAACTACTTCTCAGTACCTTTGGTACTAAGTCCTAGTCAAGTCACCATCATCACTCCTCCAGGGTTATTATAATGGATTCCTAACTGGTCTCCTTCATTTCACCATTGTGCCTTCAGTCTCAATAAAGTAGTCAGAGGAATCCTTTTAAAATTCTAATTATACTTGTATTCAAAACCTGCAGTGGCTCTGAATCCCATATAGTACAAAAGCTAAAGTCCTTACAATGGCCTACAGTCCCCACACCATGTGGCCCCTGTCTTCTTCCCTCCCACTCATCCTCATTGCCTACCATGCTCTCCTCTCTCACATGCACTCTGCTGCAGGCACACTGGCCTCCTTGCTGCTCCTTGAACACACCATGTCTGCATCTGCCTCAGGACTTTGGCACAGTTCTGCACAGTTCTCTCTATATAGGCTGCTCTTTTTGTAGATCTTTCCATGACTCTCTCTCACATGCTCACTCATCCGTTTCCTTAAAGTCTCTGCTGAAATATCACCTTACCAGAAGGGCCTTCCTTCACCACCCAATATAAAATATTATCCCCTCCCCAACATTCTCTATTCTGCTTCCTAGGCATTCTTCCTCTCCATAGCATTCACCAATTCAAGTGCATCTGATTTACTTCATACTTGTTTATTTTGTGCCCTCTCCACTAGAAATGTAAGCTCCAAAATAGCAGTGACTAGGCCTATTTTTTTTTTTTTTTTTTTTTTTTTTTTGAGGCAAAGTCTCGCTCTGTCACCCAGGCTGGAGTGCAATGGTGCTATCTAGGCTGACTGCAAGCTCCACCTCCTGGGTTCATGCCATTCTCCTGCCTCAGCCTCCTGAGTAGCTGGGACTACAGGCGCCCACCACCACGCCCTGCTAATTTTGTGTGTGTGTGTTTTTAGTAGAGACGGGGTTTCACCATGTTAGCGAGGATGGTCTTGATCTCCTGACCTCGTGATCCGCCTGCCTTGGACTTCCATAGTGCTGGGATTATAGGCGTGAGCCACCGCACCCGGCTGACTAGGCCTATTTTTTGGTAAAGTATTCTCAATGTCTAGAACAGTACCCAGCACATCGTAGGAGCTCAAAAAGTATCTGTTGCATGAATGAAAGAATAATGAAAAATAGATTAGAAAGAGTTATCTGATAGTGGAGCAGGGAAGAATGAGGTGGATACAGACTTCAGGCTATGGAACCTCCTAGGAGATGAAGACAAAAGTCCAGGTGCTTGGATGGAGGAGTATGGGAAAGCAGAGACAGCGTGAAAAAAGTCCACACATACAGACCATCTCAAACACCGGAAATGAAGGTGAAAGAAGAGTCAGATGACTTGACAGTTTTTAGATAGGGAAACAGAAATGTGAGTGCCACTAAGAGAAAGATGGTGTTAGTACTGTGAACCCCTGTAATGAACAGGTGCTAAGTGTTTTGGCTAGATTTCATTTGGCATGTCTACAAAATGTCCAGTTGGATGGCTTCTCTCAGGAGAAAGGACAAAGACTAGGAATGTGTCTACTTTTTTGCAGGGCTACTTGCAGAAGCCTGAAGAGTCAGGCTTATTGCATGAGCAGGAGTCTTTGTGCTCACTTGTACCATTGTCTCGTCCTGGGCCAGGGCTGGTATCCAACTCAGTTTAGGAAATAATCAGATGGTGCGTCCTGCTTGAGAAGCAGTGTGTTTAGAGCATGGCGTGGTGGGAGAGAAGATCAGCCATGGGAAGTTCCAGGAAAGTGCTGAGAAGGAGGATAGAGACAATTAACCCAGCAAAATAACAGCAAGAGCATATGTTTACCTCTATTTTTTTATGTTGTTGCGAAAGTATGGAATTAGGATTTCTGAAGAAAGAAAAACACCATTTTATAGGAAGTGTTATGGAAATTCTTGTTTCATGAGTTGAGTGAGGCGATCTGTAACTTTAAGTTCACTGATAACTGTACTATGTTGGTAACCCTGACTGCTCAGGAATGTGCTAGCTCATAAATCTTGCTTGACCACCCATTGCTCTCTTGTTAACCCAGCTGAGATTTCACTTAAGTGGTTTTATCAGTTAAATATTGGCAGAGTCCTGTGTTCCTACCACTCAGCAAAAAACATGAGTTGCCTTTTCCAGAGGGATGATGATGTGAGTAGAAAACCTTTCATACATTCATGAGTGAGGACAACATGGCCCTTGCTATGGAGGCTGTAGTCACTGAGAGGATGGAGCTGACTCTAGATCGGAGCAGATCCTCAGATGCCAATGGGGGACAAGTCGTTTAGGCAGAACCCCATCAATTACCCAGTGGACCTTGATAAAAAGATGCTATTCCCAGGATGACTGAACCCTCAGCAAGTCATTGACTGATTCTTGCCAATTCCCTTCAGATATACTTTTGAAATTGGTAATGGTTTATCTCTAGCTTGTAACCTCTGAAGCAACAGCTATGAATAACAAATTTCTCTCTTATTTAAAAATACACACCTGTCTGTCCTCCCTCAATGTACCATGCAATCGACACTGGCTCTGATTTTTCTCTCAGGGTGCCTCACTCCTCCACTTGTCTCTGTGGAGCAAGTGGTTGATTTACCTTGTGTGGTGTGAATAGATTCTTAGTGGACATGTTACTTTGGTCAAATATTTACCCAATTTTCATACTCCTCTGTCAAAGAAATGGACGACTTTCACTTTTGCTAGATTTTTGCAACCTCAAATGGAAGATAACACAGTATAGTGATATATGATATGGATTTCTTGTCTCCGTACATCATGGTCACTCTAGCATCATTATGGTCTAAGCCCAAGAAATCCTGTTTCTATGCCTGTGACCCTCCTGGGGAGGTGAAGCTATACTGAAGCAGAAAAGCTGTGGCCTTCTACGTCATATTTGGGATCATGCTTCTTCTTCATTACTTTGTACTGGGACATTGCAATGAACTAGGCATTCTTCCTCAGGACTTCAGATCTCATCCTCAGTCTACTGGAATTTTCCTTTTCAGACTGCTTTTTTTCAAAGGCATTTCTTTCCTCTCCTACCTCTCCAGTACACTAGCATCAACTCTTCAACTAGAATAAATACAGGACAGATATACAAATACAGGAAGGACCACTGCTCTCGAACAAGCCAGGAGCAATTCCCGAGACAACAAAATGCAAAGCCTGACAACCTGATTGGCAGAGTGAGAGAAAAAATACCAGGAGTCACTAAATTACTTTCCTGATAAATTACCCTGCACAGAACAACGATACAACTGTAGATGTTATGCAAACTTATACAGGCCAGGTTTCTAATCCTCTGTTTATAAAATGGGTATCTTGTAGGGTTGTTATAGGAAATAAACACCATAGTTTCTCAAAAAGAGTAAGAAATTGTTAATTCAGTTATTTATTCTTTCCACAAATATTAGTGAGTTTCCATTATATGATAGACACCAAGGAAGAGGCAGTGTGCTTCTATGAGTTTGACATTCTAATAAGAAGCTTGAATAAAAAGAAGGAAGCAGTCAGCCACATAGAGTCAAGAGGAAGAGCATTCCTGGTAGGGGGAACAACTAACACAAAGGCTATAAGGTGGAAATAAGCTCTGCACCTCAGAAAACCAGAAAAAGACCAATATGGCTGGAGCCTGATGGGTAAAGGTAAGAATAGAGAGGGAAGTAGGGGTCAGCTCATGTGAGATTTGTAGATGAGGATAAGTAGTTTGGATTTCACATTAAGTACAATAGGAAAAGTAGCATGTTCTGATTTACATTTTGAAAGATCATGTTGTCTTCTCTATGTACAGGATTGCAAGAGTGGAAGTAGGAAGATTGGGTTGTCAAAGACAGTCATTCAGGAAAGAGACTATGTGGCTTAGATTCTACAAATAGAACGTTCTACTTTCGGACAGTAAAAGTTGAGTCTTAACTGTTTTTCCACAGCATCTGTATACAAGCATTTTGAGTAAAGCAACTTCCCTTATGATCTATATGAAAAGGTCTTTGTGACCCTTTTTAAACATCCAATCTATTTAATCTCTGTGTCACATGTAAATCTGGTATGTTTATGGGTCAAAGTCACAGAACAGGATTCTAGAGCTGGTGAGAGACCATATGGTATATTCTTTGCCTCAGCCTGGCTATACTCAGAACCTTTCAGTCCATATGTGTCTACTTAAAAAATTTTTCTAATAACTTTATTTAGATATGGTTTATATGACACAAAATTCACCTATTTGAAGTGTTGAATTCAATGGTTTTTAGTGTATTCACAGATGGGTGCAACTGTCACCTCAAGCTAGATTATTTTTATCAACCCCAAAGAAATTGTATATCCATTAGCAGTTTACTCCCCATTTTTCATATCCCCAGATATAGGTAAATATTCACCTACTTCCTCTTTTTCTGAATTTTTTTATTCTATAAATTTTATATAAATATAATAATAAAATATGTGGCTTTGTGTGACTGGATTCTTTCATTTTGCATAATGTTTTCCAGGTTGATCCATGTTATTGCATGTATCAGTTTTCTATTAATTCTTATTGATGAGTAATATTCTGTTATAAAGATACAGCATATTTTCTTTATCCATTCATCAGTTGATGGACATTTGGGTATTTCTACTTTTTGACTATTATGAATAATGCTAATATGAATATGCATGTACAAATTTTTGTGGATATATGTTCTTGTTTCTCTTAGGTATGTACCTAGGAATGAAATGGCTAGGTTGCGTAATAATTCTGTGTTTAATAAACTGCCAGACTACTTTCCTGATACGTTTTGAAAGTACTTTCTACCCAGTCTAAGAGACTGCAACCTGTACACTGGCTGCAAATTTCTTAACTTCCTGGTCAGGAAGTTTTTATTCACAATGAATCAAAACCTTATTTTTCCTTATATAAAAGTAATGTTAAAAGCATAATCCCTTAGTTTCCTCCAAAGAAAAAGCAAAAATGAATGCATTAGCTTACTTTTCTTCCCTTTAAATAATTTCTTATTTTTCCTACTTATTTATAAAAAATAATTTCTGCTTTTATTTTAGATTAAGGAGTATATGTACAGGTTTGTTATATGGGTATATTATGCAATGCTGAGGTTTGGGATACAAATGATCCTGTCACCCAGGTAGAGAGCACAGTACCCAATAGGTAGTTTTTTTCGCTTTTTTTTCTTTTTCTTTTTTTTTTTTTTTTAGACAGAATCTCACTCTGTTACTCAGGCTGGAGCGCAGTGGCATGATCTTGGCTCACTGCAACCTCCATCTCCCCGGTTCAAGTGATTCTCCTGCCTCAGCCTGCCAAGTAGCTGAGATTACAGGCACCCACCACCACACCCGGCTAATTTTTGTATTTTCAGTAGAGACAGGGTTTCATCATGTTGTCCAGGCTGGTCTCGAACTCCTGAGCTCTGGTGATCTGCCTGCCTTGGCCTCCCAAAGTGCTGGGATTTCAGGCTTGATCCATTGTGCCCGGCCTCCAATAGGTAGTTTTTCAGCTCTTACCCTCCTCCTTCTCTTCCCCAGCCCAGTAGTCCCCAGTGTCTATTGTTCTCATCATTATGTCCATATGTACTCAATGTTTAGTTCCCAATTATAAATGAGGGCCGGGTGCAGTGGCTCATGCCTGTAATCCCAACACTTTGGGAGGCCAAGGTGGGTGGATCACTTGAGGTCAGGAGTTTGAGACCAGCCTGGCCAACATGGTGAAACCCCATCTCTACTAAAAATGCAAAAACTAGCCAGGCATGGTGGCATGTGCCTGTAATCAGAGCTACTCGGGTGGCTGAGGCAAGAGAATTGCTTGAACCTGGGAGGCAGAGGTTGCAGTGAGCTGAGATCGCACCACTGCACTCCAGCCTGGGTGACAGAGTGAGACTCCATCTCAATAAAAAATAAAAATAAAATTTAAAAAAAGTTATAAATGAGAACATGTGGTATTTGGTTTTCTGTTCCTGTGTTAATTTACTCAGGATAATAGCCTCCAGCTGCATTCATGTTGCTGCAAAGGATATGCTTTCATTCTTTTTTGTGGCTTCATAGTATTCCATGGTGTATATGTACCACATATTCTTTATCCAATCTCCCATTGACAGGCACCTATGTTGATTCCATGTCATTGCCATTGTGAATAGTGCTGCAATAAACATATGTGTGTATGTGTCTTTTTGGTAGAACAATTTCTTTTCCTTTGGGTATATATTCATTAATGAGATTGCTGGATCAAATGCTAGTTATGTTTTTAGTTCTTTGAGAAATCTTCAAACTGCTTTCCACAGAGGCTGAACTAATTTACATTCTTACCAAAAGCGTATAAAGTACTCCCTTTCTCTGCAGCCTTGCCAGCATCTGTTATTTTTTGACTTTTTAATAATAGCCGTTCTGACTGGTGTGAAATGGTGTCTAATTGTAGTTTTGATTTGCCTTTCTATGATGATTAGTGTGTTGGGCATTTTTACACATTTGTTGGCTGCTTGTATGTCTTCCTTTGAGAAGTGTCTGTTCATGCCCTTTGTATTTTTACTTGCTGAATTGTTCAAGTTCCTTATAGATTGTGGATATTAGACCATTGTTGGATGCAGAGTTTGTGAATATTATCTCTCATTCTACAGGTTGTCTGTTTGTTGTCACTTTGGTTTGCTGTGCAGAAGCTCTTTAATTTAATTAGATCCCACTTGTCAATTGTTGGTTTTGATGCAATTGCTTTTGAGGAATTAGCCATAAATTCTTTGCCAAGGCTGATGTCCAGAATGGTTTTTATTTCCAGAGTTTTCTTCCAGGATTTATTGTTTGAGGTGTTGCATTTAAGTCTTTAATCCATCTTGAGTTCATTTTTGTATATGGTGAAAGGTAGGGGTCCAGTTTCATTTTGCATATAGCTAGCCAGTTATACCACACTATTTAATAAATTTGGAGTCCTTTCCCATTCCTTATTTTTGTCAACTTTGTCAAAGATCTAATTGTTGTAGATATGTGTCTTTATTTCTGGGTTCTTTCTTCTGTTCCATTGGTCTACGTGTCTGCTTTTGTACCAGTACCAAGCTGTTTTGGTTGTTGTAGCCTTTTAGTTGGAAGTCAGGTAATGTTATGCTCCCAGCTTTGTTCTTTTTGCTTAGAGATTGCTTTGGCTTTTCGGGCTCTTTATTGGTTCCATATGAATTTTAGAACAATTTTTTTCTAATTATGTGAAAAATAACGTTAGTAGTTTTTCAGGAATAGTGTTGAATCCGTAGATTGTGTTGGGCAGTATGGCCATTTTAATGACATTGATTCTTCTAATCCATGAGCATGGAATGTTTTCCCATTTGTTTGTGTCATTTATGATTTTTTTTCTGCCATATTTTGTAGTTCTTTTTATAGATACCTATCACCACCTTTGCAAGGTGTCTTCCTGGGTATTTTATTTCTGTTGTGGCTATTGTAAATGGGATTGCACTTTTGATTTGGCCCTCAGTTTGAACATTATTTCTGTATATAAATGCCACTGATTTGGCCAGGCACGGTGGCTTACGCCTGTAATCCCAGCACTCTGGGAGGCCAAGGTGGGTGTATCACGAGGTCAGGAGATCAAGGCCATCCTGGCTAACACAGTGAAACCCCGTTTCTATTAAAAAAATACAAAACATTAGCCGGGCATAGTGGCGGGCAACTGTAGTCCCAGCTGCTTGGGAGGCTGAGGCAGGAGAATGGCGTGAACCCGGAAGGCGGAGCTTGCTGTCAGCAGAGATCGTGCCACTACAGTCCAGCCTGGGTGACAGAGCAAGATTCCGTCTTAAAAAAAAAAAAAGAAATGCCACTGATTTTGTTTTTGTTTTTGTTTTTGTTTTTGTTTTTGTTTTTTTGAGATAGGCTCATTCTGCCACCCAGACTGGAGTGCAATGGCAGAATCTCAGCTCACTGCAACCTTGGCCTCCCGGGTTCAAGTGATTCTCCTGCCCCAGCCTCCCAAGTAGCTGGGATTACAGGTGCACTCCACCATGCCTGGCTAATTTTTTGTATTTTTAGTAGAGGCAGGGTTCCACCATATTGGCCAGGCTGGTCTCGAATTCCTGATCTCAGGTGATCTGCCCGCCTGGGCCTCCCAAAGTGCTGGGATTACAGGTGTGAGCCACCGTGCCTGGCCTACTTATTTTTGTGTATTGATTTTATATCCTCAAACTTTACTGAAGTCATTTATCAGTTCTAAGAGCCTTTAGGTGAAGTCTTTAGCATTTTCTAGGTATAGAATCATTTTATCAGTGAAGAGGAATAATTTATCTTCTTTTCCTGTTTGGATTCCTTTTATTTCTTTCTCTTGCCTCATTACTCTGGCTAGCACTTCCAGTATTATGTTGAATGGGAGTGGTGAGAGTGGGCATCCTTGTCTTGTTCCAGTTCTTCAGGGGAATGCTTCCAGCTTTTGGCTGTTCAGTCTGATATTGGCTGTAGGTTTGTCATAGATACCTCTTATTATTTTTAGGCATGCTTATTTAATGCCTAGTTTCTTGAAAGTTTTTATCATGAAGCGATGTTGGATTTGATTGAGAGCTTTTTCTGCATTTATTGAGATGATCATATGGCTTTCATAATTCTGTTTATGTAATAAATCACATTTATTGATTTGCATATGTTGAACCAAACTTGCATCCCAGGAGTAAAACCTATGTGACTGTGGTGAATTAACCTCTTGATGAGATGCTGGATTTGGTTTGCTAGTGTTTTGTTGAGAATTACTGTGTCCATGTTCATCAGAGACTTTAGCCCGTAGTTTTCTTTTTTCTTTGTGCTTTTGCCTGATTTTGGTATCAGGATGATGCGAATTTCATAGAACGAGTTAGGGTAGGGTCCCTCCTCCTTGATTTTTTGGAATAGTTGCAGTAGAATTGGTACCAGTTCCTCTTTGAATGCATGGTAGAATTCGGTTGTGAATCCATCTGGTCCAAAGCTTATTTTGGTTGGTAGGTTTCTTATTTCAGATTCAATAAGAAACTTGGAACTTGATATTGGTCTATTCTGGGTTTCAACTTCTTCCTGATTCAATCTTAGGAGGTTGTGTTTCCAGGAATTTATTCATTTCTTCTAGATTTTTGCATGCATAGAGGTGTTTATAATAGTTTCTGAGGATCTTTTTTGTTTCTTTGGGATCAGATGTAATGTTACCATTGTTATTTCTAATTGTGCTTATCTGAATCTTCTCTCTCTTTTTCTTTGTTACTCTAGCCAGTTGTCTAATGATCTGTTTATCCTTTTGGATAACAAACTTTTGGTTTCATTAATCCTTTGTATGGATTTTTGGGTCTCAATTTCACTCACTTCTGCTCTGATTTTAGTTACTTCTCTTCTGCTAGCTTTGGGCTTAGTTTATTCTTGTTTTTCTAATTCCTCTGTGTGTGTGATGTTAGGTCATCAATTTGAGCTCTTCCTGACTTCTTGAGGTAGGGTTTCCTCTTAACACTGTTCTTGCTGCATCTCAGAGACTTTGTTATGTTGTGTCTCTGTTTTCATCAATTTCAGGTAGTTTTTTGATTTCTTCCTTAATTTCATTTTCCAAAAGTCATTGAGGAACAAGTTGTTTAATTTCCATGTAATTGTATGGTTTTGGGAGATATTTATGTTGATTTTCATTTTATTCCACTGTGGTCCAAGAGTACGGTTAGTATCATTTTTTGTCTGGAATTGGTGGGGTCTTGGTCTCACTGACCTCAAGAATGAAGAGGTGGACCCTCGTGGTGAGTGTTACAGTTCTTAAAGGTGGCGTGTCCGGAGTTTGTTCCTTCTGATGTTCGGATGTGTTCTGCGTTTCTTCCTTCTGGTGGGTTCGTGGTCTCGCTGGCTCAGGAGTGAACCTGCACACCTTTGCAGTGAGTGTTACAGCTCATAAAGGCACTGCGGACCCAAAGAATGAGCAGCAGCAAGGTTTACTGCAAAGAGCAAAAGAACTAAAGCTTCCACGGTGTGGAAGGGGACCTGAGCAGGTTGCCACTGCTGGCTGGGCAGCCTGCTTTTGTTCCCTTATCTGGCCCCACCCACACCCTGCCGATTGGTCCATTTTACAGAGAGCTGCTTGGTCTGTTTTACAGAGAGCTGATTGGTCTGTTTTGACAGGGTGCTGATTGGTGCGTTTACAATCCCTGAGCTAGACACAGAAGTTCTCCAAGTCCCCACTGGATTAGCTAGAAACAGAGCACTGATTGGTGCATTTACAAACCTTGAGCTAGACACAGGGTGCTGATTGGTGTATTTACAAACCTTGAGCTAGATACAGAGTGCTGATTGGTGTATTTACAATCCCTTAGCTGTACATAAAGGTTCTCCAAGTCCCCACCAGGTCAGCTAGACACAGAGAGCTGATTGGTGCATTTACAAACCTTAAGCTAGATACAGAGTGCTGATTGGTGTATTTACAATCCCTTAGCTAGACATAAAGGTTCTCCAAGTCCCCACCAGACTCAGGAGCCCAGCTGGCTTCACCCACTGGATCCCGCACCAGGGCTGCAGGTGGAGCTGCCTGCCAGTTCCGTGCGGTGTGCCCGCACTCCTCAGCCCTTGGGTGGTCAATGGGACCAGGTGCCATGGAGCAGGGGGTGGCGCTACTCAGGGAGCTCAGGCCCCGCAGGATCCCACGGGGTGGAGGAGGGGCGGGGGCGGGGTGGGCGCGGGCATGGCGGGCTACAGGTCCACAGCCCTGCCCCGCGGGAAGGCAGCTAAGGCCCTGCGAGAAATTGAGCACAGCGCCGGTGGGCCGGCACTGCTGGGGGACCCAGCACACCCTCCGCAGCTGCTGGCCCCAGTGCTAAGCCCCTCACTGCCCGGGGCTGGCCGGCCCGCCACTCCAAGTGTGGGGTGCCAAGCCCATGCCCATCCGGAATTCTAGCTGGCCTGCAAGCGCCACGCGCAGCCCCGGTTCTCGCCCGTGCCTCTCCCTCCACACCTCCTCGCGAGCTGAGGGAGCCGGCTCTGGCCCTGGCCATCCCAGGAAGGGGCTCCCACAGTGCAGTGGTGGCTGAAGGGCTCCTCAAGTGCAGCCAGAGTGGGTGCCGAGGCCCTCTAGGAGGCGCCAAGAGCGAGCGAGGGCTGCGAGGGCTGCCAGCACGCTGTCACCTCTCAATTTCAAAGTTTTTGAATTTATTGAGACTTGTTTTATGGCCAATCATGTGTTCAATCTTAGGTTGTGTTCTGTGCACAGATGAGAAGGATGTATATCCTGTGGTTGGTGGGTGGAGTATTCTGTAGATGTCTATTAAGTCCAATTGATCGAGTGTTGAATTTAAGTCCAGAATTTCCCTATTTTTCTGCCTTTATAATTTGTCTAATGCTGTCAGTGGCATGTTGAAGTCCCCAACTATTATTGTGTGGCTGTTTAAGTCTTTTCATAGGTCTAAAAGTGTTTGCTTTATGAATCTGTGTGCTCAAATGTTGGGTGCATACTTATTTATAATAGTTAAGTTTTCCTATCAAATTGAACCCTCCATCATTATGTAATGCCCATTTTTGTCCTTTTTTACCGTTGTTGGTTTAAAGTCTGTTTTATCTAATGTAAGAATAGTGACCCTTGCTTTTTTTGTTGGTTTCCCAGTTCCATGATATATCGTTCTCCAACCCTTTACTTTGAGTCTGCATGTCGTTACACGTGAGATGGGTCTCTTAAAGAGAGCAAACAGATAGGTTTTATTTATTTTATTTTTCTATTTTTTATGGCAATAAGTCTTTATTTTTTGTACAGGGTGCCACTGCAGGTAACCATCAGAGAACACACTGCTATTTTTGAAAATACAGAACTGAACAAAAGCATTTTAGCATGCTGCCTTACTGTACATAGAAAACTGGTGAGCGTCTTCAGACACTAAGACCAGGAAATACAATGGGTTAATGCTATTTTTTGATATGTTTTTGAATCACTCAGCAGTGTTAATGTAGACTATCTTTACCTGAAAGCAGAATTACAATCACTCACTCTGGCAGCACTCACTGGGCAATTCTAAAATTCAGGTCTAGTGAAAGGTAGGCACAACCAACAAGCAAGCAAGGAACAGATGCCATGTCTGCTTTTGAAGGAATTGACTGATTATGAATGAGGCTCTGCAGATTTTAAGAATTGATACAGCCATCTTAACAGCTTAATATTGAGTTTCCCTTACTTTGTATGTTGGCAGTCAACAAAAGCGAGAATTTCCGAAATGAGCTAAATAGGATTAAAAAGCAGAACCCTGTCCGTATGACAGAATTGCTGCTTCACAACTTTTGCCCAGTTATTTATTTATCTAACTAGCCACTCTATGCCTTTTAAGTGGATGGCTTAGACTGTTTACATTCAATATTAATATTGAAATGCTAGGTTTTTATTCCGTCAAAAAGTTGCTAGGTAGTTGCTTTGTAGTTTCTATTGTGTAGTTACTAAATTTATAGGGTCTGTGGACTATATACTTGTGTTTTTGTGGTAGCAGGTATTGTTCTTCTGTTTCCATGTTTAGAACTCCCTTAAGGGTCTCTTGTAAGGCAAGATTAGTGGTAATGAATTCCTTTAGAGATTGCTTGTTTGGAAAACATTTTATTTCTCCTTCACTTATGAAGCTTAGTTTGGTAGGATATAAATTTTTGGTTGGAATTTATTTTATTTAAGAATCCTGAAAATAGGCCCTCAATCTCTTCTGCCTTGTTAGGTTTTTGCTGAGACATCCACTGTTAGCCTGATGGGGTTCCCTTTGTACATGACCTGACCTTTTTCTCTAGCTACCTTTATGTTTTTTTCCCTAGTGTTGACTTTGACAGTCTGGTCACTATATGCCCTGATGATGTTCATTTTGTATAGTATCTTGCAGGTGTTCTCTGGATTTTCATATCTCCATGTCTACTTCTCCAGCAATATTAGGGGAATTTTCTTGGATTATTCCTTCAAATAAGTTTTCCAGTTGTTTACTTTTTCTCCTTTTCTCTCAGAAATGCCAATAATTCATATGTTTGGTCACTTCACATAATCCCATACTTTTCAAAGACTTTGTTTATTTTTGAAAATTATTTTTTCTTTATTTTTTTCAGACTGGGTTAGTTCAAAAGACTGGTCTTTAAGCTCTGGAATTCTTTCTTCTGCTTGGACCAGTCTATTAATAAAGATTTTTGTTGCATTTTGAAATTCCTTAAGTGAGTTTTTCAATTCCAGAAACTCTGACTGATTTCTTTTTAAGATGTCTATCTCTTCCTTCCTTTCCTGGATTGCTTTAGAAGTC
Source organism: Homo sapiens (assembly GCF_000001405.40). Lineage (NCBI taxonomy): Eukaryota > Metazoa > Chordata > Mammalia > Primates > Hominidae > Homo > Homo sapiens. The sequence goes on from NC_000005.10 coordinate 111,614,842, forward strand.
TCTTTGTGTTGTTTTGTCTTGGATCTCATTGAGCTTCCTTGGAACCTATGCTTTGAATTCTTTATGTGTCATTTCTGAGTTTCCATTTTGATTAGGGACCATCGCTGGAGAGCTAGCGTGATCCAAATTTTCTATGGTACCAGAATTCTTGTGCTGTTTCCTTCTCATTGGAGATGTTGGCACTTCCAATTTTTGTAATTCTTTTCATGTGGATAGGATTTTTTCTTTCTTTTCTTATAATTAAATATTTTTTCTTTCCCTTTCCCCTCCTCCCTAGGGGGTGTGACTGTTGAGAATTTTGGGTAGACTCTTTTGGCTTTGCTTCTATAGCCTTATGCATTTCTGTGGGCAGCTTTTATATTGATCTGTGTAGTTCAACCTACAAACCAGTAGATGACACTTATGGGTAAGAACCACCTGCAGCCAATGCAGATGGGTATATACTTGATCTTTGCTTACTGGGAAGAGCTCTCTGTTACCTCAGGCAATAGGCTGATCTGTGGAGTACACAGTCGTCTGAATTCCCTGCTTAGCCCTGTGGAGTAAGAGGGACAAAGAAATGTGGGCCTGGATTGGACAGGCCTGCCTACAGGTCCCCAAATGGCAGGCACAAGCACCAATGCCAAAGAAAGGTCTAGTGGGTGGCCACTGAGTGCCCAGATGTGTGCCTGAGTATGGAGCTGGAAAACCTCCTTGGCCCCAAATTCTGTGAATGAGGAGGTGGGTGTCAATCTAAACTCCTAATCCAGGAAAGTGGGTGCTCCAGATGCCTGGAGATCTGCCTCGGTATGGAGCAAAGAGGGCTCTGTTGACCCATGTTTTATGCACAGGAAGGCTGGGGTCGCTCAGGCTGCTGATCCAGGTGAGTGGGAGCTCCAGCTGCCTGGAGATCTGCCTGGATGTGAAGCAGAAAGGGCCCTGCTGCACCACAATCTATACACAAGAAGAGTGGGGCAACTCAGGCTCAGGCTGCTAATCCATTTAAGTGGGTGTTATGACTCCCTGGTGATCTCCCTGGGCATGGAGCAGAGAGGGCCCCGATGCATCACAATCTCAAGGGAGCAGGCTGGGGCACCCAGCAATGACACATGCAGACCAGTTCCAGGTCTCCAAGCTGGCTCTGGATGCAAGTCTCATTGCCTATGAGAAACTACAGCTGCAGCAGCTCTCCTACCACCCCAGACCTGCAACAGGGGGAAGCACAATTCCACTGCCTACTGCTGGGATGCTTTCCATACTCACCACTCAATTCTGGTTGTGACGGCCCCTACCCCAATCCATTGCAAGTGCTCCAATCTCTGGCCTTAGAATAAAATGTCTGTGTGACCATGCTGCTGAGTTGCCAAAGAATGACTGACATTGAGCCTGGATTATAAATGGCTTCCTGCTCTTAGTCCTGGGTCTGGAAAAATGCCTGCAACTTTTCCTAGTGTTTTTCCCTCTCAGCGTCTCCAAGCCTCTCCACCAGTTAGCTCAAAGTTCTCTTCCTTGGTCTGGGTTGCATGGATCCCCAGTGGAAGGGTAGGTCAAATAGGGAGCCTCTTTGCCCCTCTCAAGTAATAGGGCTTTGCCCACTTTTATAAGCCAGACACTGTCACAGGGGCTGTTGGCCCACCTGCTCCTCCCCTGGGCTATCCTTTCTATTCCAGTGGATTTCCATTTTCTTTCTTAAATTAAAGCTCACAGAGTTGATCTTAATGCGCTACTTTGCTATTTTCAAGTGGCTGAGTTACACTAAAAGCCTCCAATCCACCGTCTTAGGGAAAAAAAACCTACTTATAGCCTCCTTCACTTAAAGAAATCAAACAAGATGCAGCACCCTAAAAAGGATCTGACCAGTGCCATCCATTACAAAAGATTGCTTTCCTAGTAACAGCACATATTGCTTTCTTAATTATATTTAGAGTCACTTTGATGACCCACAGGCTTTTGCCCACCATACTTCCATGAGTTGAGTTAATCTTCTCTCTCCTCTCTGTGAGGTTTTCCATACTTTTGTGTATCACCCTACATGCCAATGCTTGAATCTAGTGTTCACTTGGCTCCTGAAATTGAGGCTTTCTTTCTTGCCCACCTTCACCTGTAGATGAGAATCTTATTTATTTCTCTATTTTGGCTCCATAACAGCAGCACACATTTTTCAGAGGCTCAGAAAAGGGACCTTCCTCTGAAGTGAGCCCTGTTTTACATTCTGAGCTCCCTTTAGGCTCTTCCCTTTAAAATGAAAGAAGCTGAATTCTTCTCATGTTCAACATGATCACTCAGCTTGGATCACATCTCTTTATGAACCAATGCTTTCTATTTATTTTGTTCATTCATTCTTTTCTCAACAAATAGTTATTGAGTGCCAGCCAGGTACTGTTCTAGGTTCTGATAACACTATAGTGAACAAAACAGACCAAGACCCTACTCCTATGGTTTGTATAGTGAATGTTATGCAATTTAAGCATAAACAAGCTTGAGCTGTGAGATAAAAATCATTTGAAAGTTACTTTATATTTTCTGGCAAAGTCTACTTTCTCCCCACTTTTAGAAAATAAAGCTATAAGACAGAGAGATTACTTGACTTGTTCATAAGCAGTCCCTGGTAGAGCTAAACTGGATCTAAGATGTTAGACTCTCCGTGTTCTTTTCACCACACTGGGCTAATGGAAAAGGTTTGAGAAGTCACTCTAGCTGACAGACACAACATGAGTTCATGTAGTGCTTCTTAGTTATAGGAACATTTATGAGATGTTAGCTGATGTTGCTGTAGATCTTGAAATGAAAGAACACAAAGAACATGGAAGAGAAGAAAAACCAAAAAGTAGTGTTTGAAACTTCTTTGGTGAACCAGACCCCTTTACTTCAGTAAGCTTCTACAAAGTCAGACTTCCAAGTTGCAGCAAATAGTGTGAGCAAATATATATGACTTAGTGAATCTTTCAAAAACAGATCCCTTTTGTTTTCTTCAAGGGAACATAAAAGCTGCTTTCAGAGAGCAAGTTAGGCAGTGAATTTTCTTGTTTTAATTTCAAAGTTCAGCATGTCATTTTACATTCCCAATGGCTTCCTGTTTCTCTTTTCCTTCAGAGTTAAGATTAACAGCAATTTTCCATCTCGAAAACGATGCAAATGTTCCACCCTTATGGATTACAGAGGGGCTGGGTTCATGAATGTCATGGGAACACCCGGGCCTGTAGGAGGTAGCTTGGGCTTTTTTAAAGGCTTCCCTGTAGACTGGGCAAGGGGGTGGCTTTTCCTCACAGTAGAGGAAGATAATTCCAAATTCCTTTTTTTTTTTTTTTTTTTTTCAAATTAAAAGCCCATGCTCAGAGTCACCCTTCCAAGGCTTCTAGTTGTGCAGCCTGGGAAAATCACCCTTTGTGATGTCTACACTTGCTCTAATGCTGAGTATCATGAGTCTTCCTCCATCCCTGAGGCCGGAAACTGTCAATGCTGACTCCATGCTGTTGGGCCCCTGCCTCTGTTAGCACATCCTTTCCCTTCTACAACCTCAGGGGAAGCAATGAGGAATTAGTGGGGACAGAAAAGACTAGAAACAGGAGTAAATCTGTACCAAGAAAATGTACTTCTAAGAAAGAAATTAAAGAGAAGGAAGCATTATGGTGACTCAAAAGTGAAATATTTACAAATCAGCAGCAAATTCGGAGATTTTAAAAAAAGTTTACAAAGAAACACGACAAAATCTTTAGGAAATCTCCATCCTTCCACACTTCCTCATCACTCTACCTACCCCCCCAAAACACACACACACACGCACACACACACACACACACACACACTCTAAGTTGCCAACAAATGCAGTCTGGCAATAAGTGGCAGTAAGGGATTTAATCATTTCCCAAGTGAAGCGAGGGAAGATCTGTTCCTTTGTCTCTAGAATTTATGATTCACAAGACGTCAAACAACCCTACACACTGCAAATGGAAGCAATCGTGTTGCCTGACAGAAATCCCTCTGTCTGCATTTGTTTGCTTAGAGATGATGCTTGTTAGAACCATCAATCCTGGGAATCAAAACTCTGGTTCTCAGCTGTCATCTTGCCACATATTGCCTTTAGCTAGATCTTGAAGATATATCTACCTTTCTGTGGTCACTGAGGTAAAGTGAGATTCTTTTGAATTCCGTCAGTATTTTTTTTTTCCTCTGGAGTGTTAAAAATGAGTACTACATTTTCTGGCTTCAAGTCAATCATAGTCTTGTCTTTTTGAAGATGATCAGAGGCAGTGTAACCCAGTGAGTATGGTGACCTTATGTGCATGGTCTCTGTCAAAGACTGCTAACTGGTTTGAACATGAAGTTGTGGTAAACTGTATCTTTCACTTATGACTTAGGTTCCTCTGAACTGTTGGATGGCTGCAGATCCCAATAAATTTTTCCAAACAGTCATAGCCATGTAAGAATATAAGACTTCACATGTCGTAGAAAGTTCCCAGGAGGATGGTAACTATTTTTTGTGCTTATAATTATAAGAGCGGATCAGTATAACTTTCACTGATATTATATCATGGTAACTACACATCAATCACGTGGTGATATAATTAATCTTCAGGAACCAAATTACATTCATTCTGATCCATCACCCTTACTAGGATCCAAAAGAAATGCAGAACTATTTACAATTTAATAGAAGAAACAGAACTAACACCCAGGAGGCATTAGAATGGATAAGGCTCTAGAGCCAGACTATAGATTTGAATCCTGATTGTGCTACTCACTAACTGTAAGACCATGGAAACTTTTCTTAATCTATGTCATGCTTTGGTTACCCTACCTGTAAAACTAGGATAATAATAATAGAGTCTGCCCCATGAAGTTATAATGGCCAAATGAATTAATACAACAGCTCTCCATATCTGCACATTCAACCAACGGTGGATGAAAAATGTTCCAAAAACTAATAAAAATAACAGCATCACAATAAAAATAATACAAATAACAATAAATATAACAACTATTTATATTAGCATTTACATTGTAATAGGTATAAATAATCTAGAGATTATTTAAATTATATGGGAAGGTATGTATAAGTTATATGCAAATACTACATCATTTTACAGGTACTTGAGCATCTGCAGATTTTGGTATCTGTGAGGGTCTTAGATCCAGTCCTCCGTGGATACCAAGGAACAGTTGCACTTTTAAATGTTTTTGAAGTGTTTAAGCCATGATAAAGGCTCTGTAAATGTTAGATATTAATATAGTAACTGCCTTAAAAAACTAGACTAATTTGGGACCAACTGATAATAATATTAACCACATTCAGAGTTCAGAACACATATATATGTCAATAAAGTCTGGAGAAGTTAGAGCTGGCCTTATGGAGGGGGTGATACTGAAGCTCAGTTTTGTATACAGGTATAACTTGCAAGGTGAAGGAATAATTCTGGCAATGTCATACATATATAAATGAAGTGAACGTTGCACATAAGGAGGAGGCTGAGGAATATGTTCCACAAGAGCCAAAGCTGCGAGATCCTCAGGCAACAGCTGCGAAGAATAAGCACTCACTGTCCAAAATTCTTCCCAAACCAACTGATTGGTAGTGAAGGTGATAGAATGAGTACATTGCAAAAGATGACAGAAAACAATTTTAGAAGTAGAGTTAATTTATACTAGTACAAGAAAACAAGCACCATTATTGAGTAGAAATTTAGAGGAGTTACTAGGAGGCTGTATAAATCAGACTACTAAGTTGAAAATAACAGAATTCATTCTGTCTGTTTTAAGCAGAAAATGAACTTATTAAGGGATATTAACAACCTCTCAGAATGGAGAAGGAAGAATAGAATCAAATTGTAGAGCTATACAGCCCAAAACGATGCTTAACCATGCCTCTCTAGCTAAAATTTCCTGCCACCGCTGTTCAGCACCTACCACATTCAGGACTGGATAACAGAAGCCCCATTAGTGCCATCTCTGGATTAATGGTCTAAGTCAGCCTATGGCAAACTCATAGGCTAATTGCCTATTTTTGAAAATAAAGTTTTATTGGAACACAGCCATATACATTAGTTCACAAAGTGGCTGTGGTGGTTTTTATACTACAACAGCAGAGTTGAATAGTTACAATAGAGTCCATGTGGCCCATAAAGCTGAAATATTTATTATGTGGCCTTTTCCAGAAAAAGTTTGCCAAAGCCTGGTCTAGATACTTTTTTACCCCTGAGGAGGAAAAGGGACCCATTCTAGAACCAAAAATGAAACCATGGCATACCCTACCGATCAGCACATTCTCTCTATCCTCAGATACAGGCTACAATAAACAGAAGCAGCTTCCATAGAGAAGTGAGCAAAGTCTTCAATGGAAAGATAAGAATGTTACTAATAATCACAAAACATTTGAAACAAACTAACCTTAGTTTGCTTATTTAGCAAAATATACAGATACATAGAAGATGAAATAATCCACAAAGAAAAAGTTATCAGAACAGAGAATACCTTAAAATAAGTGACTTCTGTAGAAGTTTAAGAGAAGATATTACATCCAGAAAACAAGACAAGTTGATTATGCTAAAGAAGCAATTTGCAAGTGTGGAAATTTTTAAAAATGTGATCATAAAAACAAGAGATGCATGCATTTAGCTAAAAGGTTTTAAAAAATAGTGAGTGAAAATTCTTCTAGAAAACGTGTTAAAATAATGAAGATTTTAAAAATATGAGTGGTATGAAGGATAGATGAGAAGTTCCCACATCTCTCCTGAATGAGAAAATATAAAAGACAAGGAGAGGGTAAGGGGCCAGGGGTAATCTGGAGAAAAAAAAAATGAATTTTTATATTAAATGGCCCCTGAATGCTGAGCAGTCTGAGTGTAAAGTGGAAAACAACCTTTCCTCTTTTTTTTTTTTTTTTTTTTGAGACGAAGTCTTGCTCTGTCGCCCAGGCTGGAGTACAGTCGCACGATCTCGGCTCACTGCAAGCTCCGCCTCCCAGGTTCATGCCATTCTCCTGCTTCAGGCTCCAGAGTAGCTGGGTCTACAGGCGCCCACCACCACGCCCAGCTAATTTTTTGTATTTTTAATAGAGATGGGGTTTCACCATCTTAGCCAGGATGGTCTCAATCTCCTGACCTTGTGATCCGCCTGCCTCAGCCTCCCAAAGTGCTGGGATTACAGGCGTAAGCCACTGTGCCCGGCCCAACCCTTGCCTTTCTACATATTTTGTATGACACCAACGATAGAAAACCTTAAAACTCAGAGGAAAAACCGTAAAGCTCTCTTTGGGTTTCACAGCTGGAGTTACCTCAACAAAATGAGAACCAATTTGGCATCAGATATTCCACTGACACAGTACATCCTACAAAATAATAAAGCAGATATGAGAAAAAAGATATAATTATGAGTAAAATTTTAGTATTACAGGAAACTACCATATGAAAAAATCCATATGAAATGAATATTTTATAGGAAAGCAGCACCTAAACTTGCTAAAAGTGGAAAAAAAAAAAGAAAAAAAAAAGAAAAGGTACCCAAAGATCTACACCATAAAAGGCAGCCTATCCTGATCACCAAACTTTTCAAGAACAGATAATTTCTGTTTTGTAAACTATTAAAAAGATAGAATAAAGAAAGTTTTGGTAACTTGAATTGTGAGGTTAGCATAACCTTTTCACCTACCCAAATCAAAAAAAAAAAAAAATGGCATGGAAAAGGGAAACTGTAGATAAATATAACTTATGAATGAAGCTGCAAAACTCTTAAATAATTGTTAATAAATTAATCTCAAAAATGTGTAAAATGAATAATGACTCATATCATTTTATCATTCCGTTTCTTCCCCTTTATTAATTTGGAAGTTACAGCCTCTTTTCATTCTTTTACATTCTTTAGTTTGTTAGTCATTTGGTGTTTTTAATAACGAATTTTTATCTTTTCCTCTAGCTTTTCAATTATTTTCAGCAGAAAGGGTAGTTCAAATTATGTCGTCCACCATTACTAGAAACATAGGCTCTGGAACTTTCATTTTGGGAAAAAATAAATCAGTGCCCAATTTCACATCAACGTAAATTCTAAATGAAATGCAGGATTAGGAAAAAATGAAGACTTTTTAATATGGTTATCCTTACCAAAGGAGGTGGTTAAAATGAAAGGAGGAGGATTTTTTTTCTAAGACACAAAACCCAAATGCTATAAGGTAAAAAAGGTGAGTAAACTGGACCACATACAAATTTAAATTTGTCTAAATTTAAATTAAACTCATTACAAATTTATAATTACAAATTTAAATTTACTTGACTGAAGACATCTTAAATAATGTTAAGAGATAAAAGACAGCTTGAGAGAATATATTTGGAGTCCACATAACAAAAATAATATCCGTAATATGAAGGGGGATTTATATATAAATAAGAAAATGAAAAGGAACTGGGGCCCCTCCCAAATGAACCAAAATTATCAGCAAGCAATTCACAGAACAAAAAATGCAAATGACAAGTAAAGTTAGGAAAATCATCAACTTCACCAATAATTAGTGATTTGAAACCAGACTGTAGATAAACTAGCACTGGTATATGCTGCTGGCAATAGCAAAACTTGTATTTACCTTTAGCCAGCATTTTACCTCTGATTATCTATCTAAACAACATTCACACAGGTTTACACAATGCTTATTTGGAAATCTTTGATGCCATTCTGTAAGCAAGTGATAAATAAAGGGAAATATATCCAAAGTGTGAAATGCTGTGTAGTAGTTTAAAATATGTAGATGGATTCATATGTGCTTAAGGGAAATATCAGTATGACATGATAGTAGGTAAAAAAAGTAAGTTTGAGAACTTTTTTAACTATTAAAAAATTTCTTTGTGTATTTGCACACACATATTTGTCAATGTTAAAGCAAGACCAGAAAGATGTACGAACTGTTAGCAGTTATTGCATCTGGGAGGCATCTGAGAGTTGGATGTGGGAGAGTGGGAACTTTTGTGTTTCCCTACATACTAATGTATTTCTTCAATATTTTATAATGAGCTGTATTCATGGATTACTTATATGTTAAAAGAAAAAAATATGGTGCATAGGCTGTGAGATATAATTGAAGGAGCCTGAACTTTAGAATCAAGCAAACTTGGCTTCTATAAGCCTGGTTGTTGCCTTCTGGCTGCAGGACTTTAGGTAAGTCACTCAAGCTCTCTGAACCATCATCTGAATTTATCAGTCCTTAAAATGAGGGTAATCACATAAAAATATCCATGTAAATGTCAAATAATGCTTTATACATAATAAGTTTGCAGTAAAATCAGCTATGTTCCTTCTCTTGGGGAAAAGAAAAAAGTAAGCAGACGTAGCGCAGAGAACTCGTAGTGACTTGATTCAAAATATGTTTTAGGAAGATTTGTTTGGCAATTCTTAAAAAAAATAAAATCCATTGTCATGGCTTCATCTTTTCTTTTCTTTCTTTCTTTTTTTTTTTTTTTTTTTGGTCTAAACGTTGGTATTGTAAAATTGTAAACCTTTGGGATGAACTATTTGTTCTTCATTTTCAGACATGACCTAGCTGAAAATCTGAACAAAAGAATGAAAATTCCCTAGGGAAGCCCATAACTGTGTAGCTTTATTTGATCCTCTCATAATCAGCATTGTGGCTAAGCTCCCGTGGAGGCCTTCTCTCTAATTGTTTTTCACCAGGAGTATTTTCCTTTCAGGTTTCTAAGCTATCACTACAGGTACTGAAGTATAACCAATTATTCCTCAGTAAGTTGAAGGATACCTTGAAGGTAGACCTAGTTCAATTAGAGCATGAAACGTTGTCATCACAGATATTCCATGAGGATTTCTCAAAGTTAGGATAGACATTCTGCATTTTCCTGGAAGATAACTGATATTCTGGAAAGATAGTTTCATATTATATGCCCCTATCTGCCTAGCCAAAGCCCAGTGCTCCTAGTTTCATCAATCAGGATAACCTTCACATTCTAACACATGCCCCTAGGGGATAATATTTGGCTGTGGTGGACTTAATGATAATAATAGTAACAAATTCTACAAATACCTACAATAGAGGAATGAGACTGTGCCTGTTAACAATCTTCCCACTAGGGTTCTCTCATCCTATGTCTTTGTCTTCATCTTCTGTTCACACAATAAACCATCCTGATTGAATCTCCAGATCTTG